>NC_000011.10:71964786-72267817 GCF_000001405.40 Homo sapiens
TGTGTTTTAGTACAAGTTAGCAACCTGTCAGGAATGTTGTGGAGGGGATGTTTGTGATTTTTTATGGGATGGTTGACTGGACTTCTTGAAGTCCTCCCAGTTAGCTCTGAAATCTGTATCAAATTGAATTACCCACAAGAGGTAAAGGCCTGTCTTGTTCTTAGAGGATGAAGCAGACCTGCCTAGAGACAGGATGAGGTTTTCATTCTGCAAAAGTTATGTTTATTTGTTATAAAAAAATTTGAACAATGTAACAGTATGTGACATAGAAATCAAAAGTGTCCCAGAGGGAACCACTGTTAATCAATTTGTTATAGATAGGAAAAATCTGCAAGTGTGTGTTTATAAATTTTTAGATGTTTATGACATCCATTAGGTTCTGCGGCATTTTTCACCTAATACTATCTCTCAAATATCTATCCATATTGGTGGGTATATCATCCTCTTAAACTAATGACTGCATAGTAATTTTTTTTTTTTTTTTTTAAGACAGGGTCTCTGTTGCCCAGGTTGGAGTGCAGTGGTGTGATCTTGGCTCACTGCAACCTCTGCCTCCTGGGCTCAAGGGATCCTCCCACTTCAGCCTTTTGAGTAGTTGGAACTACAGGTGTGAGCCACCATGCCCAGCTCATTTTTGTATTTTTTATAGAGATGGTTTTATGTTGTCCAGGCTGGTCAGGAACTCCTGGGCTGAAGTGATCCATCCACCTCGGCCTCCCAAAGTGCTGGGATTATAGGAGTGAGCCACCACGCCTGGCCTGCATAGTATTTTGGAAAATAGATCTCAAATAAAATTTAATTTACCTTTATCGATTGACTTGTTAATTAACAGTTTATCACAGTTGCAAGCAACAATTTAGTAAGCTTCTCATACATAAATTACCTGCATACCTGTGCAAGCAGTTTTATAGAATGCACTCCTAGAAATGAAATTGCCTGGTCAAAAAATATATGTGTTTTAATTATTAGTGGAACTTGCCAAATTGCCCTCCAAGAAAGTTATAGCTATTATAGTTTACAATCCATCAACACAGATTTAACAGAGCTGTTACCCAGTGTTAAAGAAGGTGTAGGGTATAGTCAGTATTTTTAATCTTTGTCAGTGTGATAAGGTGAAAATACCTGATTTTATTAAGTATTTCTCTGATTATTAGTGAAGTTGAGCATGTTTTCATGCTTAGTGGTCATTTGGCTTCTTTCAATTATTTGTTCATATCATTGACTAGATTTATATTTGATACATTTTTTTTGAGACAGAGTTTCCCTCTTGTTGCCCAGGCTGGAGTGCAATGGCACAATCTCAGCTCACCACAACCTCTGCCTCCCAGGTTCAAGTGATTCTCCTGCCTCAGCATCCCGAGTAGCTGGGATTACAGGCGTGCGCCACCATGCCCAGCTAATTTTGTATTTTTAGTAGAGACAGGGTTTCTCCACGTTGGTCAGGCTGGTCTCGAATGCCTGACCTCAGGTGATCCGCTCACCTTGGCCTCCCAAAATGCTGGGATTACAAGTGTGAGCCGCCGTGCCTGGCCTGATATTTCCATTTTTATCGAAGTAATACATACCATAGTTTTAAAAGTCAGATAGTTCTACAAGACTTCAGAAGCAAAACACATTGGTCCCCTGCCCAACTCTGTCAGTCGCTGATTCTTCTGTGGCAACTACTTTTATTAATAACTTTTTTAGTTCATTTCTGATACTTTTTTTTTTTAAGATACAGGATCTCAGTCTGTCACCCAGGCTGGAGGGCAGCAGCTCCATCATAGCTCACTGCAGCCTCAAACACCTGGGCCCAGGCAATCCTCCTGCCTCAGCCTCCCAAGTAGCTAGGACTACAGGTACACACCACCACGCTTGGCTAATATATATATATTTTAATTTTTTGTAGAGTTGGCTCTCACTATATTGCCCAGGCTGGTCTTGAATTCCTGGCCTTAAGTGATCCTCTTGCCTTAGCTTCCCAAAGTGTTGGGATTATAGCATGAGCCACCACAATTGGCCTTGCGTTTTTTAAATAACATGTTTATACTGATGTATAAATTTCTACTTTATTATATTTAAATATAATATTTGTGGGTTTTTTGTTTTTTTTTTTTGAGACGGAATCTCACTCTGTCACCCAGGCCGGACTGCGGACTGCAGAGGCGCAATCTCGGCTCACTGCAAGCTCCGCTTCCCGGGTTCACGCCATTCTCCTGCCTCAGCCTCCCGAGTAGCTGGGACTACAGGCACCCGCCACCGCGCCCGGCTAATTTTTTGTATTTTTAGTAGAGACGGGGTTTCACCTTGTTAGCCAGGATGGTCTCGATCTCCTGACCTCATGATCCACCCGCCTCGGCCTCCCAAAGTGCTGGGATTACAGGCGTGAGCCACCGCGCCCGGCCAATATTTGTGTTTTTTAAATAACATGTTTATACTGATATAAATTTCTACTTTATTATATTTAAATATAATATTTATGTTTTTTAAATAACATGTTTATACTGATGTATAAATTTCTACTTTTAAATATTATATATTGACTTCCTACTTTGGAAGGTAATAATTATGTGGGTTTTTTTTGTTTTTTTTTTTTTTTTTTGAGACGGAGTCTCACTCTGTCACCCAGGCTGGAGTGCAATGGCATGGTCTCGGCTCACTGCAATCTCTGCCTTCTGGGTTCAAGCGATTCTTCTGCCTCAGCCTCCCAAGTAGCTGGGACTACAGGTTCATGCCACCACACCCAGCTAATTTTTGTATTTTTAGTACAAATGTATTTTAGTACAAAATACAATAGTATTTAGTATTTTGTATTTAGTACAAATGTATTTTTGTATTTTTAGTACGTGGTTTCACCATGTTGGCCAGGATAGTCTCGATCTCCTGACCTCGTGATCTGCCCACCTTGGCCTCCCAAAGTGTTGGGATTACAGACATGAGCCACTGTGCCTGGCGGTAATAATTATCTTTTACTGCTATACCTATACCCGTTACATACTACAAACATTTCCTCCTCCCAATTTTTAAATAAATATTCATTGTTTACATTATTAAGTATTATATGTAAGTATTATTCACAAGATGTATTATTCACAGCTTGAGCCATATGATATATTTGGTACATTTTCTTTCCTTTGCTCAGGTTTCTTTTGGAATGTTTCTTACTGATTTGTAAGAGCTCTTTGTAGGTCAGGAATAAGCCTTCTGACATAATTTGCTACGGATATCTTTCCCCAGTTTGTCATTTGATTTTATTTGTAGAATTGGTAGAAAAATTTTTATAGATTAGATTTATGAACGATCTTTTTTTTTTTAAGATGAAGTCCTGCTCTGTCGCCCAGTTTGGAGTGCAGTGGCATGCTCTCGGCTCACTGCAACCTCTGCCCCCGGTTCAAGCGATTCTCCTGCCTCAGCCTCCCAAGTAGCTGGGATTACAGGCTCCTGCCACCATGCCTAGCTAACTCTTTGTATTTTAGTAGAGAAGGGGTTTCACCATGTTGGCCAGGCTGATCTCGAACTCTGGACTTCAAGTGATCAAACTGCCTCGGCCTCGCAAAGTGCTGGGATGACAGGTGTGAGCCACTGCCCCCAGCCCAATTTATGAACGATCTTGTTGGCTAAGTACTCTATTGTTTGCTATTCTGTTTGGATGGCCCATCTTGCTGTTCCTGATTTTCTATCCTGGTTCTTATAAAGTTCTTCTGCCTGCCTAGGCATATTTTAGGTAATAGCCATAGCTACCAATTTTACAATTCTTGTGGACCTCTCATTCTCAAATCTGCTGTAGGTTAAAGGTCAGTTCTAGAGAGGAGAAGCAGAGCATAAATATAGTTGGGACATTACCACCTATGTAATTACGTAGACATAATTAATAACACTAGCTAGCATTTATTGAGTACTGTCTATTTATTTGTTCAGTCAGTAGATATTCGTTGATCCTTTCTAGTCCCACGCTGGGGCTGTGCTCAGTTATATTGTTTCCTTTGTGGAGAAACAACTTTGAAAAACAGTTTCAAACTGTTTTTAAATTAAACTCCCTATGATCTGGGAGTTTAATTCCTAGATATATGCCAAGAGAAGATTTTGGTACATCCTCCTAGGATTTTTCTTTTTTCTTTCTTTCTTTTTTTTTTTTTTTGAGTCAGGCTCTTGCTGTGTTGCCCAGGCTGGAATGCAGTGGCGCGATCTCGGCTCACTGCAACCTCCGCCTCTTGGGTTCAAGTGATTCTCCTGCCTCAGCCTCCCAAGTAGCTGGGATTATGGGTGTCTGCCACCATGCCCGGCTAATTTTTGTATTTTTTAGTAGAGACAGAGTTTCACCATGTTGGTCAGGCTGGTCTCGAACTCCTGACCTCAGGTGATCCACCTGCCTCGGCCTCCCAAAGTGCTGGGATTACAGACGTGAGCCACCGTGCCTGGCCCCTCTTAGGATTTTTCATAGCAACACTATTTGTAGTAGCAAAAACTTGGAAATGACAATACTCACGTAAAGGTGAATGGGTGAGTTAGTTGTGATATATTCACATAATGGAATATAACATATAAAATAATGCATATGACATACTTATAAAAAGACAAAATATAAAATAACTATAGCTACAAATAATGGTAAGGATGAAGCTTAGCAGTATAATATTGAGTGCAAAAGAAGAGTCCTAGAAGACCACTTATAAGTTGACACTTTTTATAGAAAGGTAAAAATAATGGAAACTTAAGTGGTATGTTTTCTTTTTTTTGGCTAAGTTTGTGTTAGGCATAAACGGTATGTTTTAAAATTACGTATATGTGTGATAAAACCATATTTTACTTTATTTTGAGACAGGGTCTTTCTCTGTCACCCAGTCTGGAGTGTGGTGGCATGATCACAGCTCACTGCAGCCTCAACCTCCTGGGCTCTGTTGATCCTCCCACCTCAGCCTCCCAGGTAAATGGGACCACAGGTGTGCACCACCCTTGCCTGGCTAATTTAAAAATTTTTTTTCTAGAGATGAGGGTCTTCCTGTGTTGATGAGACTGGTCTCAAACTACTGGGCTCAAGCAGTCCTCCCACCTTGGCCTCTCAAAGTATTGGGATTACAGGCATGAGCCACCGTGCCAAGCCAAAACCACATTTTAAAAAGCAAGGGAATAGAATCAAGATTCCAGATAATGGTAACCTTGTATGGAAGAGAGACTGCAGGATAGGATAGAGACGAGCACATAGCTAGATATAAGTAATTTTAGATGTTTCACATCTTAGGTTCATTTGTGGGTTCAGTATTTATCATGTTATTAAATAATTAATGTAAAAAGTAAAGAAATTATGTCATGTGGTACAGGATGGATGAACCTTGAAGACATGTTAAGTGAAATAAGCCAGTCACAAAGAGACCAATATGATTCCACTTATATGAGATATCTAAAGTAGTCAAATTCATAGAAACAGAAAGTAGAATGATGGCTAGGGAGTAGGGGGAATTAGGGCCTATAGAGCTTCCATTTTACAAGACAAAAAAGTTCTGGAGATCTGTTACAAAATAGTAACAGATAGTAATACATAACAGTATTGAACTGTATACTCAAAGATGAATAAAATGGAAAATTTTTTGGGTTTTGAAACCACAAAAGTAGTTTTGGTTGACACAGTGGCTTACACCTCTAATCCCAGCACTTTGGAAGACTAAGGTGGAAGGATCACTTGATTCCAGGAGTTCCAGACAAGCTTGGGCAATGCAGGGAGACCCCATTTCTACTAAAAATTTTAAAAATTAGCTGACTGTGGTGGTGTGCACTTGTAATGCCAGCTACTTGGGAGGCTGAGGCGGGAAGATTGCTTGGGCCCAGGAGTTTAACGCTTCAGTAAACTATGATCACGTCACTGCACTCCAGCCTGGGTGACAGAGTGAGACTGTCATTTAAAAAAAGACAAAATAATAATAACTTTAAAAAATTAAAGGTGGTCCATGCATGGACTAATGATGAGAATGTTCATTAACCAAAGAATTTGAATAATTTATTTTTTTCTCTACCTAAAGTTCAAAAATAAAGCAAGAAAGAAAGCAACTACCAAGACAGGGACTTACCTTGCCTTAAGACACACTATAAGAATAGACAAACAGATCAGTGGGACAAAATGCAGATCTCAGAGATGGATGGGAATTTAATATATAATAAAGGTGTAACCACCAATCAATAAGAAGGTATTCATTGTTAAGTAGATTAGTTGAGAAAACTGACTCACCACAAGGAGAAAAATTAAAACTAGATTTGTACATAATACTGAATACAAAGGGGACTCAAGATAAAGACCTAATTATGAAAGGTAAAGTTATGAAACTAATTTTTAAAATATAAGCAGGCTGGGTGTGGTGACTCATGCCTGTAATCCCGGCACTTTGGGAGGCTGAGGGGGGCAGATCACTTGAGCCTAGAGGTTCAAGACCAGCTTGGGCAACATGGTCAAACCCTATCTCTACAAAAAATAAAAAAATTAGCCAGGTGTGATGGTGCATGCCTGTAGTCCCAGCTACTCAGGAGGCTGAGGTGGAAGGATCACTTGAGCCCAAGAGTTTGAGGTTGCAGTGAGCTGAGATCATGGCACTTGACTACATTGTGGGTAACAGATGAAACCCTGTCTCAAAATAAATAAGTAAATGAACTTTTTTAAAAATAAAAATATAAGCAAGTAAGAAAGATTCGATAAATTTGATTTTATAAATTAAGGATTTCTGTTCTGTTAAAGATATGATAGGCAGAGTTAACTGAAACTGAATGGAGAATAGATGAGTAATGATTAAAACTGACAGTAGATTAATATTTATCCAGAGAAACTCCTACAAATCAACAAAAGACAGCAACTCCAATAGAAAAACAGGCCAGAGATATGAACACATTTACAGGAAAGGAAACCCAAAAGGCCATTAAGCATGAAAAGAGATGCTCAGAGTCATTAGTAATTAGAGAAATGCACATAAAAATATGAGATATCACTTTACATCTATTAGGTTGGCAAAAGCTAGAAAGCTGAATAGTGCCAAGTGTTGGCAAGGATCAAAGGCTGTAGGAGCTTTCTTGTACTTTTTTGTGGGTATGGTACAGGCATTGTGGATAGCAGCATGGCATTGCTGAGTCAGCGAATATACACATACCCTGTGACACATCCTAAGGGGATATGTAAGAGGGTGTTCACTGAAGTGTTAATTATGGCTGAACATTGAGGAGTTGGAGGCAATCTGGATATCTATCTCTGAGGGAGTAAATAGGTAAAATGTGACGGATGCATATCATGAAATTGTTTTACAGTTAAAAGCAATACATTAAGTACCTGTAGGAACTTGGGAGGACCTTAAAAGCATAGTACTGAGTGGAAAAACTAAGAAACAGAAAGATGTGTAACACAATGCCAATTAATAAAAATACAAGCAGAGAAAGCAATAAACAGTTTGCATGAACAGGTACAAACAAAAATATACATGTGAAGCACATTAGAATGTCTGGGGTGAGGAATAGTAATAAAAGAGAATCAGGAAGACTCCCCGGAGAATGTTGTGTAAAGGAAAGGCACTGGGATTGTTGTTGAGTAGTAGAAACATGAACTGTTTGAGATTAGCCATTAGAGCTTTTAAAAAAATGCCTCTTATGGCATTCCAAGAAATGATGGAATTATTTGATAAGGCTCTGTTTCTTTCAAACTGAATGAAACTTTTTGTCCTTCACTAGTGCAGGTTGGTGGCGCAGCCTTTTAGTGGGCATCCAATGACCACTGAGTGGAAAAACACTAGCTCTGTTCTCCTAGACCAAGGTTTCTCAACAGAGGAACTGTTGGCATTTTGGGCCATATAATTCTTTTTTTCTCGGGGGCTGTCCTGTATATTATAGGATGTTTAATAGCATCCCTACCCTCTGTCCACTAGATGATACTGGCACCCTTCTGCACTTGTAACAACCAGATGTCTCCAGACTGCCAAATGTCCCCTGGGAAACAAAATCATCCCTGATGAGAAACACTGTCCTAGGCTCTAGGACCTAGAGCAACATGGATATTGCAAGCTATGAGACTGATGATGAGCAGTATGCCAGCCCACTGAGAAGTATCACATTACTGTCCATAACTTAGGAGCTCAAGCCCAACCTTCACATTAAGAGAAACATAGGCTGGGCGGCTGGGTGCGGTGGCTCATGCCTATAATCCCAGCACTTTGGGAGGCCGAGGCAGGCGGATCACGTGAGGTCAGGAGTTGGAGACCATCCTGACCAACATGGAGAAACCTTGTCTCTACTAAAAATACACTGTTAGCCGGACATGGTGGTGCATGCCTGTAATCCCAGCTACTCGGAAGGCTGAGGCAGGAGAATCGCTTGAATCCAAGAGGCGGAGGTTGTGGTGAGCCGAGACTGTGCCTTTGCACTCCAGCCTAGGCAACAAGAGTGAAACTCCATCTCAAAAAAAAAAAAGAGGGAAATGTAGGCTGGGCATAGTGGCTCATGCCTGTAATTCCAGCATTTTGGGAGACTGGAGTGGAAGGATAGCTTGAGCCCAGGAGTTTGAGACCAGCCTGGGCAACGTAGTAAGACCCAATCTCTTAAAAAAGAAAAAATTAGCTGGTTGTAGTAGCATAGGCCTGTAGTCCCAGCTACTTAGGAGGTTGAGATGGGAGGATCACTTGAGCCTGGGAGGTTGAGGCTGCAGTGGGCTGTGATTGTGCCACTGCACTCCAGCCTGGGCAACAGAGTGAGACCCTGTCTCAAAAACAAAAAACAGGCCGGGCGCGGTGGCTCATGCCTGTAATCCCAGCACTTTGGGAGGCCGAGGCGGGCAGATCACCTGAGGTTGGGAGTTCAAGACCAGCCTGACCAACATGGTAAAACCCCGTCTCTACTAATAATACAAAAATTAGCCGGATGTGGTGGCAGGTGCCTGTAATCCCAGCTACTGTGGAGGCTGAGGCAGGAGTATTGCCTGAACCCGGGCAGTGGAGGTTGCAGTGAGTCAAGATCCTGCCACTGCACTCTAGCCTGGGTGACAAGAGTGAAACTCTGTCTCAAAAAACAAAAAAACAAACCAAAAAAACCCCAAAAAACAAAAGCCCTACTGACAAGGAAGAGGCCAAAGAAATAAATTTAAAAGAAGAAATATAAAATTTAAAACAGAAAATTTTGAAAAATACAAAAAACAAAAGCCCTGTATTTTTTTGTTTGTTTGTTTGTTTGTTTTTGAGACGGAGTCTTGCTCTTTCACCCAGGCCAGACTGCAGTGGCGCTATCTCGGCTCACTGCAAGCTCCGCCTCCCGGGTTCACGCCATTCTCCTGCCTCAGCCTCCTGAGTAGCTGGGACTACAGGTGCCTGCCATCGTGTCTGGCTAATTTTTTGTATTTTTAGTAGAGACGGGGTTTCACCGTGTTAGCCAAGATGGTCTCAATCTCCTGACCTCGTGATCCACCCTCCTCGGCCTCCCAAAGTGCTGGGATTACAGGCGTGAGCCACCACGCCCAGCCAAGCCCTGTTGTTTTGAGTAAGGTCATACTGTATCTAAATTTTAGATACTGTTCTTTTCAATTCTAGCAATAATAATACTTTAGATTGCTTATAGTTTAGATTTGTTGATGATTTAAAAAATACTCCACCTACTCTGTTATAACACTTATAATGAATTGTGGTTGGTTCTTTCTCCTCAGTAGACTTGAGTTCTTCTCATTTATTCTCTCTTGGAACCTCCTAACAGCTCTGTAAGGTAGTCAGGGTAGGTATTTATCTTCAGTTTTCAGATTAGTAAACCAAGGTACAGAATCCTGAAGTGATTTGCTGGGAACACATGACCATTAAATTGGAGAGTTGGACCTAAAATGAAAATCTGATTCTTGGTTAAGTGTTCTTTCTGTAGGTTCCTCTCAAAGGCTTCAGGAAATTTTTGTCAATTTCTGCCATAGTCAGAAGTTTTTAATCCTCTTGAGTTTCCTTATTTAACGACTTTTGCCCAAGTCCTTTCCTTGGATCTCAGGTACTTTCTCAACCTCCTCTTAAGTCTCTTCATCATCTTGCCTCCCCAGCCTCTCCAGATTTCCCCACAAACTCAGTGAATGATGATTGGTAGGCAGCTTAAGAGACAGAAAATCTGGATTGGAAACCTAGCCCAAACCAGACTTGCCTTTTGGCTTCTGCGTAGCTCAGTTTTCATCATCTATTCAGAGTCTAACATTACTCTTTAGCTCCTTCAGGGATGTTAGGGGAAGGGATAAGTTTATGCCTGGAAAAGTATCCATCCTATTTTTGAAGTTCTCCAGGGAGAAGCTTTCATCATCTGTGTCTACTACCAAATATAGTATCTCTTCACATCTCTACCTCCTGAACTGCTTTCCCTCCTGGAACCGGTGAGTGGCAAAATCTCCTACCTGGAAATCTTTAAAGTACTGTAGATTTTTCTTAGACCAAGATATTAGGATTACTAGAATGTGGAATTAGAGAATTCTGACTAAGGTGGTAAGGGGTTGTAATTCACTTTCTATGAGAAGGAAAAACTTCTATCTTCAGAATATAACAAAAACTTGTAGCTGTGGTATCTTTATCAGCCTCCTTTGAGTCTCATCTACCTCTTTAGGCTCATTTCTCACACCTTCCTCAAATACTAGTTGTCTTTTCTCAAGTATACCATGTCCCCTCATCCTGGAACACCCATCATGATGCCTTTTTCTATCTGGACCTATTGGCCATCAAGACAGAGATCAAAGGATGCTTCCTTCAGGCAGCCTTCCTTGGAGGGGGGTGGGTTCTCCACTTTGAGTGGAGTGCCTCTCCTCTGTATTTTCTTGGTCACCAGCCCTTACTCCATTAAAGCACTTAATTGTGGTTATTTGTTTCTCCTCAGTAGACTTGTGTTCTTCAGGAGATTTTGGTTTTCATCTCTGAATTCCCCAGTCATTAGCATGGCATCCAGTAAGTGCTCAGTAAATGTTTATTAAATGACTGCTTGACTGACTCGTTTGCTTGAAGTGGAAAAGATGGGAAAGAAGACATAGTTCTAGGTATTAGAAGAGTAGTCATAAGAAACATGGAGTAAGTTTACTTTGTGCTCCTCTGAAAGATAAGAGTTGGACCCAGAGACAGAAGTGACACAAAGGCAGATTTTTCAGGTCAGCATCAGGAAAGAGCTGTCTAGCAAATATATTCGTATTGGAGTGGCCTGACTTATGTGGTAAGGATTACTATGTGTAGGTGTGATAGGAGGGAAACAACTCCAACCGTGTTTCTGCCTTGTAGAGTGTCCAGTAATGTGTAGTGTCTCACTAGGTCATAGAAACTACACTGAATATGTCTGTTTATTGGGCCTCTGGATGACTCTTCAGATATCATTTATCTGAAGCCTTCTTGTAGTCTTCTCCAGGCTTAATATCCTGGTGTCTTCAGTTGTTCCTTATGTGATTTGGTTTCCAGGCCTTTTATTATAATCCTAGCTGCTCTCTTATGGCCTGCTGTCTTATGGCCATGCTTATTTGTTAGTGTTCTTTGTATAGTGTGGCCCCAAGCCCTGATCCTAGGGTCCCAGAGATACTTTAACAGAGCAGAGAACAGTAGACCTGCTGCCCCCTCCATTCTGGGTATATTCTTTTTTTTTTTTTTTTTTTTTTTTTTTTGAGATGGAGTCTCGCTGTGTCGCCCGGGCTGGAGTGCAGTGGCACAATCTCGGCTCACGGCAACCTCCGCCTCCCGGGTTCAAGCGATTCTCCTGCCTCAGCTTCCCGAGTAGCTGGGACTGCAGGTGTGCGCCACTATGCCCAGCTAATTTTTGTATTTTTAGTAGAGACGGGGTTTTACCATGTTGGTTGGCCAGTATGGTCTCGATCTCTTGACCTCGTGATCTGCCTGCCTCGGCCTCCCAAAGTGCTGGGGTTACAGGCGTGAGCCACGGCACCTGGCCCATTCTGGGTATATTCTTAGTTAAGCAGGGTTGTCTTGGCTGTGTTGGCAGCAGCCCTGTTGGCATATATTCCCTGGCAATTTGTGGTCAACTGAAACCCCTAAGCCTGTTTCATGTGAGCTACTATTAAGCCATTCCTTCCCCATTCTATACTTTGGTAGTTAGGTTTCATTTTGTGGTTTTGATTCTTCATTTCAGCTTATTAGCTCATGGAATGTTAGGGCTAAAAGAACCCTAGAAATAAACTTTTTTCATTTTGATCTTATTTCTTCTATTTTCCATGTTCACTGCCTCCCTTTCCCTCCCCACAAGCTTTGTGCTGTCCACAGTTGGGAGGTTCTTTGTGTTTTCTTCCAAATCATTTATGAAAATATTGAGCAGAGCCATGGAGCATGTCCCAGAAACCTACCTCCAGTTGACTGCAGTCTATTTCTCAGCCTATTTTCAAGCTGATTGTTCTATTAGCTGTGGATCTCTACCTTTATTCTACTACTTGGGCTTATAGTTTCATTTCATCCACTATATTGCTTTTCAGCCAGGTATGGTGGGAGGGTGATCCCTAGCTTACAACATGAGGGGATGCAGAGGTGGTAAGATGAGAATCCTGAAAGTCAAAAGTGCCAAGCACCTGTGGACTGGAAAGGCACCTGATGCACAGGGAAAGATATGATCTATTTTCATGAATTCTAGTTTCTCTGAGATGAAAGGGATCTGGAGGTTGTCTTATTAGAAATAATTGTCAGGTAGTGTTGATTCCATCTCTACCAACACACCTTCTACTGATGGTTCCAGCTCTCAGTTAAGAGGCAATCCGTTTAAATGTGGACTAGCTCTTACTGTTAGCATCTAACATCGTCATCTCAACTGTTTTAGCCTTGTGGAGGGATAAGCGGGATATTGCTATTCTTGTCCCTCAGTAAATGTTTGCTGAACGAATCCATGAGTTAGTTTCAGGCTAGTCTTCAGCTTTGTATTTGCACATTCAGGGAGAGAAGGATGAATGGCTTTTGTGTTTCTCCTTCTACCTGGCCAAACCCATTCCTCCTTTAGAATCATCCAGAGCTCTGCCTCTTCCAGGAAGTTTTCCTGACAGCTCCTGCCTCATCTTTCCACTGAATTCCCATGTCCGTACTTGATGCTTTGTACTGGCCACCTAATTCATGTGTTTATATCGCATTAGCCAAGTCCTGGAGGGCCAAGGCTTTCATGCTTTCCACAGCATCAGGCACAAGTGTGCAAATTAGTGAACCAAATGTGTCTCCATAAATGTTGCCACGAGATGGCACTAGAGGCCCTGCAATTGTTCTGCATAACTTTTAGCCATTTATATGCCTTCCTTAATGAAGTTTAAACATATTTACCAAGCAAAATGCCAATAAATTCTAAAGTAGAAACTGAAAAAAATTTTTTGTATTTTTTTTTTTTAAGAGGTGGGGTTTCACCGTGTTGCCCAGGCTGGTCTCAAGCTCCTGGGCTCAAGCGATCCATCTGCCTCAGCCCCCCAATGTGCTCGAATTACAGGAGTGAGCCACCATGCCCGGCCTACAGTAGAAATTTTAAACCAAATAAAGAAACCAGGTAACTTCCCCTTTTATCACATGGTAGACTGTTCTGTTCACTCAGCTCCTCTGCCTTGCCCCTCCCCAGGAACTGGGTCCTTCCACCAGCAGCTGCTTTCTAGGCCCCAAGCAGAAGTTGGCTTTCACTCCCTAATGGAGATGGCCTGGGGACCTGAAAATGGCCTCAAATCCTTGGTTTGTGTCTTCTGATAATTTATTTTTCCTAGAAAGGACAATTAAACATTAATAAGAAATTGCTTATAACCTTATCACTTTTCATATGTCAGTTATTTTGGTTGCCTCATTCTGGTCTTTGCTCCTTTGTATGTGTGACTTAATGCATTTTTAATCATGCAAAAGCCATAATAAGAGCTCTCATTTACTGAGCGCTTATTATGAATTATGCATCACACTTGTTTTATACATATTACTTCCATTTAAATATAAGAACTATTATATCAAATGCTTGTATTTACTACACTGCTTATAACAAGTGCTGACATTATTAGGCACTGTTGTAAGTGCTTTCCATGCCTTAACTCATTTAACCCATACAACCTTCTGAGAATAGATACTGTTAACCCCATTTTACCATAGTTTAGAGAACTGAAGCTTTTCAGAGTTAAACGATCTGCCTAAGTTAACGCAGTAATTAGCTGTATTGGGATTCATATTTAGATAGCTTTAATTCTAAAATTTCTGATCATTTCAGTGTATCATTTCATTTTGTTCATTCTTTAATGATTCCTATTTGGACTTCTAGAAATGGTCTGAAGGCTAACAGAATCATTGAAATTAGGGTTTGATTTAGATCTTTTTCCTGCAGCTAGCCTGGTAACTCCTAGAGGACTAGAGGTCATGTTTATTTCTGTACTCCTTTTCCCATTAAATGCAAAATTAATACTTAATGGTTGAATGAGTGAGTGGGTGAACACTGCCTCTACTCTCCTAGGAAGTCTGGGATACAGAGCTAGTTGATAGAAACTTAGCCTGTTAGAACTTGAAGTGGTTTGAAAAATCAAGCCAATCCCTTCCTCCAAGAAAGGACGGAGGACCTCCTTAGGGTGACCTATTGAGTTGGAGGCAGAATGGAACTAGAACTCCGGTTTACTGGGCTTCTACTCCACCATCTGGTTTCAGAAAGCCTAATCCTGTCTCTAAATTCCCTTCTGTCTCCCCTTTTCTCCCTTTCTCTCTCTCCTCTTGTTCTCTCTTTTTTTCTCACACACAGTCTTTTTCTTTCTCTCGATGTGACTTGATATAGCTTTACGTACTTGATGTATATCTCTAGATGTAGTTTTTTCATCCTAAAATTTCAAGCCCAAAAACTACAAAACAAAGCAAGATTTTTCATTCCTCATGCCCCGACTTACTCCTAATTGTGTCTTTGTCCAACTCAGAATAGAATCCAGGATCTCTGCTTCTCTCCTCACCCAGAATGTACAGAGCTGCAGCTCATGTAGAGAAAATTACCTTGATTCACATTCCTCCTCAGAACATGCTATTGATGATTGGTGGAAAGTGGGAAAGAGGATCTTAGCGCAGGCTGGTTGTTTTAATGCAACAGCCAAGTTTTTGAAAAACTGGCAGGAGAACAGGAGTTTCTGTTTTTTTCTCAGAGAGAACAAATGTGACCAGACTATGTGATTTAATTATTCTCTGGGCCTACTGTTTTGTAAACAGCCCCATGAGCCTGTTAAAGCGAATAGCATGAAGACCAAAACCTTCCAGCCCTTCTTTCCATATGCCACCCTTTTAGTTTCATGAGTTGGGTTGCGTTTTCCCCAAATTTAAATAATCTGCAGTTGTTTGTTGTGATGTCTTTTCCTGGTGCTCCTAGTGTCTCCTAGAAAATGACACCTGGGGCATTATTTGGGTAGCCATTTGTTAGTACATCCTGGTGCTTCCACACTTTTTATGTAAGGTCAGACTGTTTTAGAATGCTTCATTCAGAGAGTCAGTTGTGGGTTCCTATGTAGTGAATTGTTATTGAGGCTTCAAGGCTCATGGACCAGCAGCCAGTACCCTCGGGTACACAGAATGGGAACCTCTAAAGCAAAGTGGTTCTGCTTACCCTTTTCTCTGTTCTGTTCTGTTCTCTTCTCACTGTTTCTTTTTTCCTGTAAAATGACACTTTTTTTTTTTTAAGATGGAGTCTAACACTCTGTCACCTAGGCTGGAGTGCGATGGCGCGATCTCAGCTTGCCGCAACCTCCACCTCCCGGATTCAAGCGATTCTCCTGCCTCAGCCTCCCAAGTAGCTGGGATTATGGGTGCCCGCCACCATGCCTGGCTAATTTTTGTATTTTTAGTAGAGACGGGGTTTCACCATGTTGGCCAGGCTGGTCTTAAACTCCTGACCTAAGGTGATCTACCTGCCTTGGCCTCCCAAAGTGCTGGGATTACAGGTGTGAGTCACCACGCCTGGCCATCTAAGGCTTTTTCTTGCCACAGAGAAATCTATAAGAGAATGGTAGCTACAGACAACTAAACACTAAAACTGCTCTAAGCTGCACTACCTATTATGGTAGCCATCAGTCCCATGTGGCTGCTGACTACTTGAAATGTAGCTAGTCTGTTGTAAATGTAAAATAGATATTTGATTTCAAAGCCTTAGTACCAAAAAAAGTAAGCCATTTCATAAATAATTTTAATCTTGAATACATATTGAGATATTTTGTATGTATTGGAATAAATAAAATATATCATTGAAATGAAAACCTGTTTCTTCTTACCTTTTTAAAAATGTAACTAGAAGATTTTAAACTATGTTTGTGACTTGCATGATATTTCGTTTGGATAGCACTGGTCTAGAAATCCCTAAGAGTAAATACTTTCTTTTTTTTTTTTGAGATGGAGTCTTGCTCTGTCACCCAGGCTGGAGTGCAGTGGTGTGATCTCGGCTCCCTGCAAGCTCCACCTCTTGGGTTCACACCATTCTCCTGCCTCAGCCTCCTGAGTAGCTGGGACTACAGGTGCCTGCCACCACACCCGGCTAATTTTTTTTGTATTTTTAGTAGAGACAGGGTTTCACTGTGTTAGCCAGGATGGTCTCAATCTCCTGACCTTGTGATCCACCCACCTCAGCCTCCCAAAGTGCTGGGATTACAAGTGTGAGCCACCACGGCCAGCCGAGTAAATACTTTCTTAGTTTGCTATAGAATGCCAGGAAACTAGCCGCTCTTTCCTCTCTATATCTCTCTTTTTGTTGTTGTTTTTTTTAAAAATATTCTTTGATTTTGTTGATGGCATCAGGAAGAAAACCTCCATTATGTATTATTTGCTATCTTTTTTTATACCTGCTACTCACTGGAGAAGGATGACATCTAGTGACAGAAGGGTGGTTGAGGAGGGAGTTAGGAGGCATTGGAGAGAAGACTAGCGATGACTTCAAATTTCTGTCTTAGAGTTAGAATTGTTTTATGCCTTTAAAAAACTTCAGCTAACAAGTCTGAGGGAAGGCTCTGAAGGAGGGAGAGTAAAACAGGCACTCTTTAAAACAGAAATGTGCCTCTCTCTGAGGGAGTCCTACTCTAGTTTTACTTTCCTCTTACTTATCGGAATTTATTGAGGACATATCATATGCCAACAGTTTTCTAGTTTAGAGGAAGTGGGAATATGGCCCAGTCACTACCCACAAGGAGCTTACATACAGGTAGAGAATGAATTCAAGCCCAGCCGCATACTCTAGATAAGCACTATAATAATGTTAGAAAAGAAAATGCGTTTGGAGCACTAGAAAGCACTTTCTGCCTGGAAAGGAGACTAGACGGAAGGCTTCGTGTGTCTTGGATGTGATATTGTCAGGCAGAAAGGCAGGCAGGTGGGAAGGACAACCTGATGGGGACAACCTGACTTAAAGGCCTGGGGAGTGGTAGATGGCCCTCGAAATAGTAGGTCGGGGCCATACCATGGGGGATTTGACAGCCTAGCTAAGAATGTTGGATCCTCTCTACTAAAAACACAAAAATTAGCCACACGTGGTGGCACGCGCCTGTAATCCCAGCTACTTGGGAGGCTGAGGCAAGAGAATCGCTTAAACCTGGGAGGCAGAGGCTACAGTGAGCCAGGATCACACCGTTACACTCCAACCTGGGCAACAGAGCAAGACTCCATCTCAAAAAAAAAAAAAAAAAAAGGAATGTTGGATCCTATCCTTTGACTGTTTAAGGGTTTTAAGCAGAGAAATGACATGGTGAAGATTTCGTGTTCGAGATACCATTCTGGCACTCCTCAAAAGGATGGACACTGAATGCAGGGAGACTAAGAAAGAGCTCATTGCAGTCAGCCAGCCAAGTGGTAGCAAGAGCTCAAATGGAAAGGAAAGAATATATCCAAGAGATAGTTGAGTGAGGGATGAAAGGGAGGAGGAGTCAAATATGGTCCTAAGTCTCTGACTTGGATCACTAGTGGAGTTAACTTTATCCAAAGTTGTAAATACAGGAGAGGATCAAGCTAAAATAGAAAACAAGCTGCATTTGGGACTGTGGACAGAGCTGCAGAGGGAGCTGGCCAGAGCTGAAGTGCTTGTGTTTGTGTTTCAGATGGTGACCCTCTTTCAGATGTGGGTTGTTCCCCTCTATTTCACAGTGAAGCTGCACTGGTGGAGGTTCCTAGTGATCTGGATCTTGTTCTCTGCTGTCACAGCCTTTGTTACCTTCCGAGCCACCCGAAAACCTCTAGTACAGACAACCCCAAGGTGAGAGTTTAAGTAGTGGGAAGAGCCCAGGTTTTCCGAAGCTAATGGGTTGGAATGCATGGGAGGAGCATAGGTTTAGACTGAAAAAATTCCTGGTTTTGTCTGCCAAAATTATTTGGCATGGGGCCTCTCTAAAACAAGCTGATTGGTAGAACCCCTCCCCTATTTATCGATTAAAAACCTCAAATATTTCTGTATAGCTTACTTTATGGTTTCAAGGTATTTTTATATTAAAGGCAAACAAAAATAAGCAAATTGTGGTGATCATTGTGGTCTCATTTTAAATGTTTTCTTCTATGAACCCTTCTCTGATCTCTAAATTAGATTTTCCATTATATTCTGTCATTGCACAGTAGTTTTCCTTCATATAACTTACCACAATTTATAACTAAATACCGTTTTGAGTATCTATCTCCCTCACTAAACTCTAACTCTGGGATCAGGAACCACATCCATTTTGTTTGTCACTGTATATTCAGGCCCTGCCATGGGGCCTGGCACATAGTAGCCTGCTCTGAATTTTTGTTGAATGAATGAATCTCAGCAAATTTATAATTTTCCAATAAACAATACTTCCTTCTTGAGTCACAAAGCAGCCACTGCCTGTATAATTCTTTTTATTTTATTCAAATTCGTTTCTCATTTGATCCTCCCCACCAGCTTGTGAGGTAATTTAATATCTGCACTCAACAGAAAAAGAGATTTTCTCATTCATTCAAATAAGCACCTACTGTGTGCCAGGCCCTGTGCTGAGTGCTGGGGATACAGAGCTGGATAAGACATGGTCCCTGCCCTCAAGGAGTACTCTGTTTAATGGAGGAGATGGACAAGAAAGCTCCTGTTGCAGTGCAGTTGGTAAGTGCTATGACAGAGGTTTGTGTAGGTCCAAGAGAGCTTGACTGGCCAGCCTCAAAGCTGTGACCACCTGATCCAAAGTCTTTCAAATTGTAGATTGCTCTTCTTCCTATTCTTCTTATGTTCTACTTTCCTGCAAGCCTTTCTCTGGCCTTCTGGAGTTTCATTGTATAAGGTAAAATAGGTGATCCATAAGTTCCTCTCTGGCTTTGGTAGTTTACTTTAAAGGCCACTGTGGAAGATACAGGATGTGGAGCCAGATGAATGTGGATTGGGACCCCTAGCCCTGCCACTTGTTCACTGTATGACCTTACCTTTCTGAGCCTTGAAGTCTTCATCCCTAAAAATGGGACAATAATTGCTACCTCACATAGGGTGATAAGATGATATGAAGAAAAAGTGCAATAGAACAATGTAAGAGTCACCAAGGACACCACAAACAGTGCCAACTTCTGGCTAAAATAATTGAAAATATGTCTGTAATACAGAGGATTTTTATAATAGTAACTACTAGCTTTTTTTTTGAGATGGAGTCTCGCTCTGTCGCCCAGGCTGGAGTGCAGTGGCACGATCTCGGCTCACTCGTGCAAGCTCCGCCTCCTGGGTTCACACCATTTTCCTGCCTCAGCCTCCCAAGTAGCTGGGACTACAGGCACCCGCCACCACACCTGGCTAATTTTTTGTACTTTTTTAGTAGAGACAGGGTTTCCCCGTGTTAGCCAGGATGTCTCGATCTCCTGACCTCATGATCTGCCTGCCTCAACCTCCCAAAGTGCTGGGATTACAGGCATGAGCCACCGTGCCTGGCCAGTAACTACTAGCTATTTATTTATTTATTTAGAGACAGGGTCTCACTCTGTCACCCAGGCTGGAGTGCAGTTCACTGCAACCTCTGCCTCCCAGGCTTAGGCGATTCTCCTGGCTTAGCCTCCCAAGTAGCTGGGACTACAGGTGTGTGCCGCCACACCCGGCTAATTTTTTTTTTTTTTTTTTTTTTTTTGTCTATTTTTAGTAGAGACAGGGTTTCACCATGTTGGCCAGGCTGACCTCAAGTGATCTGCCCGCCTCGGGCTCCCAAAGTGCTGGAATTACAAGTGTGAGCCACCACGCCCAGCCCTGTAACTAACATTTGATAGTGCTTTACAATTTCAAAGCACTTTTTAAAAATAGAGATGAGGTCGCACTCTGTCGCCCAGGCTAGAGTGCAGTGCCATGATCACAACTCACTGCAGCCTCATCCTCCTAGGCTCAACCAATTTTCCCATCTCAGTCTCTGTAGTAGCTGGGACTACAGGCATGCTCCACCTTGTCTGGCTATTTTTTAATTTTTATTTTTAGTAGAGACAAGGTCTTACTGAGTTTCCTAGGCTGGTCTCGAACTCCTGAGCTCAAAGAATCCTCCCACTTCAGCCTCCCAAAGTGTTGGGATTCCAGGTGTGAGCCATTGTGCCTGCCCTCAAAGCACTTTTGTGAACATCCTTATTTATACATGTAGCATTTCATGAACATGTATTATATACCAGGAAATGGGCTCTGTACAACCCAGTAAAAAAGGTAGCAGGGTTTTCCTGTTTTACAAAGAAAATCACCTCTCTTGTCTCAAAGAGGTGATTTGACTTATCTGAGGTTATCCAGCTACTAAAACATCACTTAATCCATATTGAGTTTTTTGACCTAAAATTTCACATCCTTTTCACCGTGTCTCTCTCTTTTGTGATCAGTGCAATCCCTGGAGAATAGAGCTGTGTGTGTTCTTTAAGACAACACTAGAAGGAAGATATTTGGGACCTTTCCCTAGCCTGAGAAACCATCACTGCTTGCCTGGCCACAGCAAGGAGGCATGGGCAGGGAAGGACCTTGACTTTCCTCCCTAGGGTTCAGCAGGGTTGGTAGTAACCTAGTCAGCTCTCAGGAACCACACAGGCTTGTGCTGGTTATTCAGACAGATTACTAAATTGTTCATTAGCTCCCATCACAGATAGAATAGTGGCTCCTGATGACAGGGACCTACTCTTGTAGCATTTAAAAGGCTCTGGTTTGGCCAAGCACCAGTGGCTTATGCCTGTAATCCCAGCACTTTGGGAGGCTGAGGTGGGAGGATCCCTTGAGCCTAGGAGTTCTAGACCAGTCTGGGCAACATTGCAAGACCCCATCTCTAGCCAAAAAAAAACAAAAAAAAAGGCCCTGGTTCCTTCAGGGAACCATCTTTCTTGCTGAGTCTAGTAGCTGGGATCCACCAATTAGGTTGTACACTGTCTTCATTGGCTCCTGGGGCACACTACTCCTCCTTCAGGAGCATGAACAACCCCATTCTACTTCACCACCACCACACACTTTCATCCAACTCAAAGGTACTTCTTAAGTGCCTCTCTCCCTTCTCCCTCAGAAGAAAATTCATTTCAGAAGCAAATTCATTACACATCATTTCTTTCATTTTTGGCCTGTGGATAGGAGCAAAGCTGTATTCAGACTAACCGGGCCCAGGTACAAACAACCTGTAGCTCATTCTACCTCTGATTCATCTCTTGAATTCTGTTTCTGAACAACTAGCCTTCCCTGCCTGTTAATCTTCTGAGCATAGTTGTGTTTAATACTTTTTACTTCCTCATTTGAGGTGACATAGCTGTCTAAGGTCAGCTGTGCTCCTTCTTTGAGGCAGAAACTGCCTTTTTAGGAATCTTTTCCTTGGTCTGAAACCATGAAAATACAAAGCATAGCTGGGTGTGGTGGCTCACGCCTATAATCCAAACACTTTGGGAGGCTGAGGCGAGTGGATCATGTGGTCAGGAATTCGAGACCAGCCTGGCCAATATGGTGAAACCCCGTCTCTACTAAAAAAAATATAAAAATTAGCCGGGTGTGGTGGTGGGCACCTGTGGTCCCAGCTACTCAGGAGGCTGAGGCAGAAGAATCGCTTGAACTCAGGAGGTGGAGGTTGCAGTGAGCTGAGATTGTGCCACTGCACTCCAGCTTGGGTGACAGAGCGAGACTCTCATCTCAAAAAAAAAAAAAAAAAAAAGAAAAAAAATACAAAGCCCTAGTTCTTGAGTATATGGAGGCATTTCTGCAGTTAAGGGAGTGAGCAGCTTTGGATAGTAACTGAAGTTGCTCAGTAAGTCCTGAGCAAAGACCCTGGTGTCCCCATTGATGTGAGAATAAAGGATTCTGGTGATCAGGACCATTAAGGCCAGAATCTCTGTGTCAGCTGCACTAACCTTCTCTCCTTTCCCCAGGTTGGTTTATAAGTGGTTCCTGCTAATCTATAAAATCAGCTATGCCACTGGCATTGTTGGCTACATGGCTGTCATGTTTACCCTCTTTGGTCTTAACTTATTATTCAAGTGAGTACCCTTTGTTTTTGTTTTTGCTGGAGTTTGGGGAGGAGTGACTGTTGAGATGTACCTCTTGTTGCAAGTCGTGGTTATTAACAGGAGGGACGTAATATCCAGGATAGGAGACTTGGGTGCTGTGGGGGGATGGGAGAAGACAGGCTCTCCATGATTTGTTCTGGCAGAAAGCAAGGAATGTCTGAATATATACAAAGTCAGAGTCCTAAATCATATTTTCCAAGGCTTTATATTTTAGTGGAAAAGTCTAGTAACCAAAGTAAGCATAATAATTATCATAACCTGCTATCCATAATTCTATCACCTTAACAGAGCTGTTTTTCTCGTCAGTGTGTACTGTTCATTTGCAGCATCCACTCTGCATGAATGGCCTTACGTTCAACTAGGCCAGGGGTTGGCAAACTGTGCCCTCTGTGCCAAATCAGCCCACAACCTGTTATTATAAAATGAAGTTTTACTGGAACATAGTCATGCCCATTCATTTATATATTGCCTGTGGCTGTTTTTCCACTAAAACAGCAGAGTTGAATAGTTGTGATAAAGACCATATGGGCTACAAAACCTAAAATATTTACCATCTGGCCCTTTATAGGAAAAGTTTGCTGACTCTTGGGCTAGACCGTCTACCTACATGACCGTGGTTGGCTACAGCTAGCAACAAATTGACTTAGAAGAATACAAAATAAATAATAGAGCAGAGTGGTGTCTGCAAGTCTTCACAGTAGACTCAGAGCTTAGGTGTGAGGGAATGAGATGACACAGATGGGTGTGGAAGCCACCTGGCCTAGGAGCCCCATTCCCCCAGGAACACATCCAGTTTCAAGAATGTCGCAGTCCAGATGTGTTGTACTAATCACAGGTCATAAGCAGTGTTGCCTGTAATATAGCTGACATTCGACAAGATTTCTAAGGAAACAGTTCTGGAAAGTTAACCTGTGGATGTTAAGTCCTGCTTCATTGTTGGGCACTTAGGTTGTTTTCAATTTAGTATTATCCCAGATAACGCTGCTCTGTTGCTTCCTAAGGGTGCATTCCTAGGGATGGAATTTTGGCTGTTGCTTCAGTTGTCATAAGCCTTCCAAAAGATCTTTATTAGCTTACAGGTCCTCCCACCCCGAATTGAGTCAGATGCCAAGAAATCCTGAGCTCAGAGACTGGAGCATGCAGTGAGTCAATGAGGCAGATGAGGGTGGAAATAATGCTTTCCTGGATGAAATACTGGTGGCTGTGGGCTGTGGATCAAGAGGAGCCCTAAGCCTACGACAGTGCACTGAAGCTAGAGATCTAGGATTCAAATTTAAGATAATGAATGGGATGATCACTGGCCTCTTCCCTGAGCCTAGTTATATTGTAGGCAGGAGTCTCTGAAAGGAGTTTATTTTAGGACAAGTAAAAATAAATCCTGGCCAGGTGTGGTGGCTCTCACTTGTAATCCCAGCTATTTGGAAGGCTGAGGCAGGAGGACTGCTTGAGGCCAGGAGTTCAAGACCAAGCTGGGCAACATAGTGAGACTCTCAACTCTTAAAAAAAAAAAAAAAGAAAGAAAGAAAGAAAATTAGCTGGGTGTAGCAGTGTGCACCTGTATCCCCAGCTACTCAGGAGGCTGAGGTGGGAGAATTGCTTGAGCCCAGAAGTTCAAGGCTGCAGTGAGCTATGATTGTGCCACTGCACTCCAGCTCAGGTGACAAAGGGAGACCCCCATCTCGAAAAAAATAAAAATAAATAAATCCTATTTTATATAGTGAGAGTGCACTCATGAAATTCTTTCTTCTAGGGGTAGTACAGGCTGAAGGAATAAACAGGCTCCTGAAGGGTTTAGAGGAATTCATCACTGTAGAGTCAAACACATCTTGTCAAAGAAAACAGATATCTCCTGGTAACTTTCTAACCTGTATGGTTAAAAAATAAAATAAAAATCAAGATTCTGCATTATGGGATTCTGCATTATGGTTTTTTGTTTGTTTGTTTGTTTGTTTGTTTGTTTTGAGATGGAGTCTTGCTTTGTCGCCTAGGCTAGAGTGCAGTGGCTCACTGCAACCTCCACCTCCCGAGTAGTGGGGTCAAATGATTCTCCTGCCTCAGCCTCCTGAATAGCTGGGACTACAGGCATGAGCCACCACACCCGGCTAATTTTTATATTTTTAGTAAGGATGGGGTTTCACCATGCTGGCGAGGCTGGTTTCGAACTCCTGACCTCAGGTGATCCACCTGCCTTGGCCTCCCATAAGTGTTAGGATTACAGGTGTGAGCCACCACGCCTGGCCTCTGCATTAAGTTTTAAAGATAATTCTTCTATAATTACAGTTTCTTTTTACTTGCCTGAACTCTACAATGAGGAAAACAGAATTGAGAATCTTGATCATTTTTGTGCTACTGATCAAATTAAGTGGTGTAAGATCAATGATTTCTAGTGAGTTAAATATTCAGGGTTCATAAGCAAATGCAGCTTTGTATATAAATATAATTTATAACTAAGCACATACATACGGTTCTTTGTACAAATATTTTAACAGATAATTTTCTATAACAAAGATTTATAGACTCAAGGTTGCAAATTATCGGTCCTTGGAATTATTAAAACAAACCTTCTGATGTTATAGGCAAGATCTTTATCCTTCTTGTTAAATAGACTTGGACCAAAATTTAACTTTGATGATATGATACAGATTATTTATATTTGTAGTTTATAATTTTATAGTAACTGCTATATATTAATAAATATTTACTAATTTTATCTTTTTTTCTTAAACCTGTGTTTGACAAGCTGTTTCTGTAAAGGTCCAAATAGTAAATATTTTAGGTCTTATGGGACAATAGGCCAAATCTAGGATATCATGTAGGTACTTATATAACAAGAGAAAAAACTCCTACCCTGTCCCACCCTCTTTGCCTGGGGAAGGGGCCAGGTCTCAGGTAGTGGGCATGCTTTGTGCTCTGTTGTCATAAGCTGAGACAATCTCAGAAAGAGGGGCATGTGGCCACCGGAGTAATTTTCAGTCTCTGCACCAGTGACACCCAGATTCTGGCATGCCCTTTCCTCCTTATGGATGGCTCAGCTGTTTCAACTTGAGTGGCTAGCTGGAAGAGAGACAGCTCAGCAAGGCAGCTCACTTAGTGTCCAGAAGTTACCAACAGTGGAGTCCCCACTATGTAGGTCCCGATGAGCATAGGTCCTGGGTAGCTGCAAGTCATTGTCACCAGTTAGGGGAGGCAAGGACTAAGAGCAGAGTGAGGAAAAGGGGTAGGAGGGGATACTGTAGCTTGGTCTTCACAGCCTACAGTGCTAGCTAGCCTCCTCAAGAGGTGTTCATGGGCCATATAAAAATAGACAGCAGACTGGATTTGGTCATAGTTTGCCCGCACTTGCTCTAGCCTTTGGGCCTTCTCGCTTTGGGCCCTGCCTTGTGTGTCCCAGAGTAGTAATCCATAGAAGATATGTCTCAGGGTGGGTCTTTCTAGCTCTAATGCTTCCCTTGCAGGATCAAACCAGAAGATGCCATGGACTTTGGCATCTCCCTTCTCTTCTATGGCCTCTACTATGGAGTTCTGGAACGGGACTTTGCAGAAATGTGTGCAGACTACATGGCATCTACCATAGGGGTAAGTTCATCCGGGTTCTTAAATACTGCTTCTTGACACCTCCAAATTGCTCAAGTTGATGTCACTTGTTTAATGGAAGAGAAAGGCACTAGGGTGAGATAAGCCACATAAAATCCTTCAAGATGTGCATATGCATGGACATTCCTTCCTTAAAGTTTGGAAAGCAACACAGCCATAAAAAAAGATAAAACCATGTGCGTTGCAGCAACATGCCAGCTGGAGGCCTTTATCATAAGCCAGTTAATGCAGGAACAGAAAACCAAATACTGCATGTTCTTACTTATAAGTGGGAACTAAACATTGGATATTCATGGACATAAAGATGGCAACAGTAGGCACTGGGGACTACAAGAGGAGGAGGGAGTGGGGACAACGGTTGAAAAACTATCTGTTAGGTAACTGTGCTCATTACATGGGCAACAGGATCATTCGCACCCCAGACCTCAGTATCACGCAGTATGCCCATGTAACAAACCTGCACATGTACCCTCTGAATCTAAAATAAAAGTTGAAATTATTAAAAAAAAAATTAGCCAGATCTCAGATGTACCCTATAATTTTTCTCTTTAGGGCCATTATAGGAAAGAGCCACTTTATCCAGCAGGAAGTTAACATTCATTCAGTAGATACTTTTTAATGCCTGCTATGTGTCTAGACACATAGCTATATGCCAGAATTACAAAAGTGTACAAAAATAAACATGGTTTTTGCCCAGATAAACTTTACTCTTAGGTGGGAGAGATGGCTATTACAGTAACAAACACAGATAAAAATAAAATTACAACTTTAATAAGCATTATGTAGGAAAGGTTCATGATGCTGTAAACACATGTAGTAGTGTCATTTGACCTAGTCTTGGGGCTCAAAGATGGCTTCCTTGAAGAAGTGACTATGGAGCTGACTTGAACAATGAATAGCAGTTAAGTGGATGAAGTGAGAACCAGGCAGAGGAAAGAGCATTCATAAGAGTCCTGTCACGGGAGAAAGTGTGGGTGTTTTTGAGGAACTAAGACCATTGCGGTTGTATGGCCAAGAAGTGCCTGGAGAAGTAGTGACTAGACTAGAAAAAAGCCTGTGGGCCAAATTAAAGATTTTGATTTTTATGCTAAAAATCCTGGGAGGGGCCGGGCACAGTGGCTCACTTTGGGAGGCTGAGGCAGGCAGATTGCTTGAGCCCAGGAGTTCAAGACCAGCCTGAGCACCATAGTGAGACCCCATCTCTACAAAAAAATGAGACAAAAAAAAAAAAAACCTAGCCGGGCGTGGTGGCACATGCCTGTAGTCCCAGCTACTTTGGAGACCAAGGTGGGAAGTCACTTGAGCCTTGCAGTGAGCTTGTTCATGCCACCAAACTCCAGCCTGGGCAACAGAGCAAGACGTTGTCTCTAAATAAGTAAAAATTCACAAAATGTATAATAATCATGCAAAGGCACAACAATAAATGATGGGGCACAAAAGTGCTTAGTCCATATTGGTAATTGTTTTTGAACTGCACAGTGGTAGGAGTTGCTCCTTACAATTTTTACTTTGTGAACTCTTATTCCTTGATTTAACCCACAGCCGCTACAACAACAGCCACTGTCACTTACTGCTTTACCAAAAATTGGGGAAGCTTTCATACTTGCTTTGTTAATCTTTAACTGTATGTGTAAAGCTACACATTTCATTTCAACATTTAATATTAAAAGTGTTTTGAGTCTTTACTTAAGAGACAATTTGGTGTCTCTTAAATAGAGGTTTAGTGATGTCTTTGTGACAGAAATATGACACAGGAACTGAACTCTTGTTTCTATCAATTAGCCTGTGGTAAAATTGGTTTTGTTATATGTCGTTTCATTTAAAGTCACAGTTTCCAAGAAACTGTCAGTGAAGTGAGGACATACTGTATTTGAGAAGTATTTTGGACTTAGATATAGTTTGGTTCTGAAGACTGAAGGGAAAAATACAAAGGAAATATAGGTTTCAAAGCTGAGATTTCTGATTCGGCAACTGCTTGGATGGTAGTACCTTTCACTGAGATAGGAAATGCTGCAAGAGCAGCAGGTGGACATCACGGAGAGATGCTTAAATATGGGTAAATTAACAGCCAATCTGAGAAACGCAAGTAAATATTTCTATTTTTTTTTTCAGAATGGAAATATATCTTTATTGTTTTGCTGTTTATAAAAGTAGTATGTTCTCTTTGTAATTATTTAAACAACACAGAAGTGCTCCCTGTCTCAGTGTCATCCCCCAAGACCCCACCCCAAGAAGGAATATTTCCATCACCTTGGGTAACTTTAATCTAGTACCGTTTAAGGCCAGGGACTTTGTCCCTCAGTATCATGGGAATATTCTAATTTTTTCTCTACTGGATCAAATTGAAAACAGTACATTGGATCACTTTATTGACAGTTTATTAGGTTCCTTTTTGAACAACTGTCTTGTGCTTTACCTTCATTTCCCTCTTACCTATTTGTGTAGACATTGGATCTTCCTTTAACCAGTTTACTCCCCAGAAGAGATTTCTAGACCATGTCACCATTTTGACCATTTTGAAGTATACAATTCATGCATTAATTACATTTGCAGTGTTCTGCAACATTTTCACTGTCTAATTCCAAAATTTTTCTTCATCCCAAACAGAAACTCTGCCCATTAAGCAGTAACTCATTACCCCTTCCCACAGCCCTGGTTTACCTCTAATATACTTTCCATCTCTGTGAACATGCCTATTGTAGATATTTCATGTAAATGGAATCATACAATATTTGTCCCTTTGGCTTTTTTCACTTAGCGTAGTGTTTTCAGAGTTCATCCATGTATAGAATGTATCATTCCTTTATATGGCTGAATAGTATTCCATTGTGTGTGACACCGCATTTGGTTTATTCATTCATCTGTGGATAGGCACTTGAGTTGTTTCCACTTTTTGGCTACTGTGAGTAACGCTGTGAGCACTGGCGTTTAAGTGTGTTTAGTCCCTAGTTTCATATCTTTTGGGTTTATACCGAGAATGGAATTGCTTGGTCATTTGGTAATTTTATGTTTAACTTTTTGAGGACATGCCAAACTCTTTGCTTTCTTAATTATGATAATGCTTAAGTGAATATCTGTATTCATGAAGCTTCTTTGACACTTCCTCTTTTTTTTTTTTTTTTTGAGATGGAGTCTCGGTCTGTTGCCCAGGCTGGAGTGCAGTGGTGCGATCTCGGCTCACTGCAAGCTCTGCCTCCCGGGTTCACGCCATTCTCCTGCCTCAGCCTCCTGAGTAGCTGGGACTACAGGCGCCCCCCACCATGCCTGGCTAATTTTTTGTATTTTTAGTAGAGACGGGGTTTCACTGTGTTAGTTAGGATGCTCTCGATCTCCTGACCTCGTGATCCGCCCTCCTTGGCCTCCCAAAGTGCTGGGGTTACAGGCGTCAGCCACCGCGCCCAGCCTCCTCTTATTTCTTTAAATTCCTTGAAGTGAAATTAATGGGTCAAAAGGTGCAACAATTTGAGATACCATGCTAAATCCTATCTGAAAGGCTTGAACCCCTTTTGCTGCTGCCACAAATGTCTGAGAATGCCCTTGTCACCAAACCAACATGGCACTTAATATTTCACTGTTTTAAATGTTGGAGAATATTGTTGTCCATTTCTGGTGGAACCATAGTCTGGCGACAGAATGGCTTGCCTGACACAGCTTTTGATCACCAGCCCCAAGTCCTTCTCCCTCCCCTTCCCCTTATCCTTTGGTGCTGATCCAGCCCAGTTTATAGGTTCTGTTACATCTAACTTCCCAACTGTCTCTAGTCTGGTCACTTCTCCCCATCTGCCCAGCAAAGATGAGGTCGATTTGACTTGTAAAAGATTACCTTTTCTAAACAGTTTAAAAAAAAAAAGATGTCCTCTAACTCTGGGCCTCCCGCTGCCACTGTGCCTCTTCTCTAGAAGGCCTGAGGTCTCTGTGGAGCTTCCTACTTTGGCTGCTTCTCACATCTTTTCCTATCTTTCCTTCCTGCTATTCTCCTTCAGTTCTACAGCGAGTCGGGCATGCCTACCAAACATCTTTCAGACAGTGTGTGTGCTGTGTGTGGGCAGCAGATCTTTGTGGACGTCAGTGAAGAGGGGATCATTGAGAACACGTATAGGCTGTCCTGCAATCATGTGTATCCTGCCTCGAGCTCCTGGGCCACATCTCTCCTGCAATCTGCACACTGTAGTGAGAGAGAGAAAGAGGGTGGTCATGACCCTAGGCATGCTGTCCAGACCCTTGAGTGTAGGAGAGCCACAAGAGGGCCACCTTCCCTACCCTTTCCCACAGATCAGAGCCACTCTTAGGTAAACAGTGGTTACAACCTGGCTGGGTCTGAGAGGAACCTGAGGCTGCAGCTAGTGAGGCTGTGCTAGCAGACCTGAGATCTGACCAGTCACAGGGGAAGAGGACCCTCTAATGGGATCCCTCAGTTTAGCATCATCCTCTGTTCTGAATAACACTTGTAATATTTATCATGTATTTACCCAGCTCCCATTCTCTGCCTATGTTGGGAAAGCCATGTATTGTCTCCATTTTGCCCCATAACAGTCTTGTGAGATAGGGATCATTATCCTTACTTCACATGTGAGGAAACAGGTTCAGACACAGGGACTTGCCCAACATTACAGAGCTGATAAAGAGCGAAGGCAGGATTTGAACCTTTCAAAGACTGTCTGGGGCTGGAGTGCCGCCCTGGCTCTCACCATTTCCCTTGACCAGCGGTGCTCAGCTTCCACGAGTTCTGCATCCGTGGCTGGTGCATCGTGGGAAAGAAGCAAACGTGTCCCTACTGCAAAGAGAAGGTAGACCTCAAGAGGATGTTCAGCAATCCGTATCCTTTATTGGGGTCGTTGTTGGGAGTGGGCTGTGGGAAGAAAGTACTGGCCAGTGTGACCTGCATTTGGGTCCTCCTGGGGCCCTCACTTCTGCCCCCAACCAGAACATGTCAAACCATGGTGGGAAGCTGAGCTGCTAGTCCTGCCCCCATGATACAACCCCAGTTTCCCTATTCTAGGATTATTGCCTATTCTCAGCCTCCTTGCAGCCATTGTCACGGATAGATAGACTTGTGTCAGCCTCAGGCTGTGTTATCTTACACTGGCAGTTCCTTCTTAGAGAAGGTGTTACAGGAGGCCCTCCCTGCATGTTAGTCATGGGGAACTAGGATTTATCTCTATACCTCTCTCAGGGCTGCCCTGCCTCCAGTACCAGTCCCCTCTATCTGCCTCCCACCTTCTCTGCATTCAGCTCTTTACCCCAACAGACAGGCTGTGAGGAGGAAGAGGAGGGGGAGGGCAAAGTTGGGAGGGCTGCCTGAGTAGGAAGTGAGGCTGGGCCCTTCCAGAAAGCAGCCTCCATTCCTCTAGGCTGTGGAGCAGCTGGAAAGTGGGGCAGACCCAGGGAGCCCCACCACCCATGCTAGATCACTCCTGGCAGCTCTTGCACAGAGTCTCTTTTCTTTAACACACTGACAGCTGGGAGAGGCCTCACGTCATGTATGGGCAACTGCTGGACTGGCTTCGATACTTGGTAGCCTGGCAGCCTGTCATCATTGGTGTAGTCCAAGGCATCAACTACATCCTGGGCCTGGAATAGTGATGAAGAGCATCAGTGGAAAACCCACCCCACACGCCATGGACCTCAGGGCACTCTCCTCCCTGCCCACAAAGACCTCCTGGGTGGGAAAGACTCAAAGGGGTGCTTGGGCCACTCAGGACCCCTCTGGCTGTGTCGGACTGGGGAGGGATATGATGGAGAGCCAGCCAGTGGGGCTGTCAGCAGTGGGGGGCTTTTTAAAAGAAAACTATTTTGATGAATATATTTAAAAAACCTTTTTTTATTGTGGAGCATAGGAATTGCCCCCCTCCAGGCTTCACCCTCCCTGCCTAAGCAGGGTGGGGGCAGAGCCATGACATTTTTGGTTTAAAGGAGCCTTCTCATCTCTGGCCGAGAACACTGCTGGGCTCCCAGGTAGCTGAAGGCCTCAGCCCACCCACTCCCTTCTTCCCTGTGTGGGGCTCAAGCCTGGTGCACTTAGTATAGAAGAGCTAACGTACTCAGGCTTGTGCCACGGGTGAGCACTGAGGCCCCAGGTGTCCTCCCTCCCCCACTGTCTGGGACACAGGACAGGTGTTGCGTCTGACTCTGTCTCCCCCTGTCCAAGAGCTATAGGCTGGTTGAGGCAAGTGGAACCTTATCAGTGACTTGGCCAACAAGGGAAGCCTTGGGGCCTCAGAATTCATTGAAGATTTGTTTTGGGACAACTGGAAGAATCAGCACCATGGATACTCGCCCGTGGGCAGGGCTGTGGTCAGCCAAGAATAGAGGTCATATAGTTGGGCCATGGGGCAATTGTTGGCAGCCATGACTGACGGCCCCTTGTGCAAGCTCATTCTTCAGTGGATCCTTCAGTGGAGTGGTGACACGTGCCAGCGGTCACTCTGCCACATCACTTCCTTCTTGAAAGCCTAAGAGTGCGTATGCGTGTGTGTGTGTGTGTGTGTGTGTACGTGAGGCAGAAGAATATGACAGATGTCAGCTTCTCCCTGTGTCAGATGATATGTCCTTGAAGCTGGCAGGGGATTCCCAGTCCAGGGAATATCCCTACATGATTTTTGTCATTCATGGGTCCTCCCTGGGCCTGACAACGGGAGTGGTGGGTGGGTGAGAACAGGTTCTGAGAGGGGGCTTCTAGGAAGGCCCCAGCCCTAGTCCTAGGCGACTTGAATAAAGTGGGAGGTCAAACATGGGCCTTCGGCATTGGGTTTCTAGGGAATATGGCTCAGTAGGGCCTGCCCCTTCAAGGGCAGCAAGAACGAAGCAGGATGTTGTCACTCCCGTCTGAATAAAGCTCCATGAGCTGGGTTGGAAAGCTGAACATTTATCTTGCTTTCTTCTTCCCACCTCTTTCCCTGGGGTCCCCAGGGGTGTCTTGCCTTTGTTAACCCCCATCGGAGACCTGAGGGTCTGGGGGTGGTTGGGCCTGCCTTTCTGCTGTTCCCAGCTGTTCCCCTGCTGACATCCCTAGGAGTGGTGGAATGCCAGGCTCCTGTCCTGTGGCCTGGGGGCCTGGGGCATCATTGGGCCTGCCTTCAGACTGAGGTTGCTCTATGTTCTCACTGCCTGAGGACAGTGTCCCGCCACCACCTGCCTTCCTGAGGACCACACTCAGGCTCGGCTTCTCTTCCCCAGCTGTGGCTTCCCATGGTACCCTGCTGCTTATGCCACCTGTGGGGCTGTTCCCCTCCTCAGAGAGGGGAATGGGGCTGGTCAGAGGACCTAGGGATCACCCTTCCTTTTACTTTTTCCCCCCACCCCCCTGTCAGGCTCAGGTGAGAAGCCGAGGCCAGGCTGTCCAAAGCTCTTTTCATGTGTAACAGTTCTGAGTCCCTTGACCTCCCCCCTTGGCCTGACTCTGGTCTCGGTTCCACTAAGACAGAGTCCTGTCATCTTTCCCTACCATCCCCCACTGGACTGTCTCTCTCAGAAACCCCAGGCAGCCTTGCCTCCTGACCTAACTCCTGGAGATGCTGGTGTTCTTGGGAGGAATTTCTCCTGCATCTTACATGCTAGAAGCCCCTGGGGCAGGAGGTAGGGGGAGGAATTGAGAGGAGGAAAAACATGAACTAGACACCTAGAGAAGAAGGATGTGACTTGTAGTATCCTATGTCTAAATTAGGAATATGAATCTGGTTTTTCTACAAGAAGTTTGAGATCACAGCTGACTGTGTTCCTGATGCATCCACCAAACCCAGTTCCATCTGTGGGCCTCCCTGGCTCTGTCACCAGCCGTTGCACCCTCCCAATCACAGGAGTCACAAACCTCAGACATGCAGCTCCTGTCCACACTTAATATATGCATGCATTGGATCACCCAGCCCTGGTCTTTCTGCCTCCATGGATAACTGCATGACCCTGAGAGAAAACCTCCTTAGATTTAGCATCCTAGGTTCCTCACACGCCTCACCCTGAATCCTGGCCCTCCCGCAGCCCCAGCGCCATTTGTCCCATCAGTGACAAGATTCATATTCTGATGTAGACTCTGTTGCCAGAGCCAGTGTTGAGCCAGTCCGCCTCTTCCCCGGGAAGTGCCTGCCCTTCCCTCCTGTTAGGGTTGGCTCTCGAGCTTGTGTGCCAGTTCCTGGGTTGGCCGTGAGAGTTCTACAGACAAGGAGGAAGTGCTCTCGGTGTATTTCCTGTGGTGGGTTCACACGCAGCTAGACACAGCTAACTTGAGTCTTGGAGCTCCTAGAGGGAAGCTTCTGGAAAGGAAGGCTCTTCAGGACCTCTTAGGAGCCAGGTAGGAGTCTGGGACTACTAGTGAACCTAGACCTGTGGCTCTGGCCAGAGGGGCTAGGATGAGAGACAGAGGGTGTGATGGTGGGTGCTGGGAGATGTAGCCGACCTTGGGGCTGGTGGCTGGGGGAGTGGGTAGCCTGGGAAAGGCCAGGATGTGGACGGACTGGTATGGCATTGAGCCTGAAGTGGTCCAACTTGGGGTTCCCCAGTGCCTAGGAAAGTTGTCCCCTTGAATGTCAGTGTGAAGGTGAAGGAGGAAGCAGATGCCTGTTCATATGGAAACAAAGACCTGGCTGTGAAGAGGGGAGGCGGACACCAAAGTCCTGACACTTGGGCGGGACAGAATTGATCTGTGAGAGACTCATCTAGTTCATACCCTAGGTGACCCTGGGGGTGGCATGGGGGTAGATTAGAGATCCCAGTCTGGTATCCTCTGGAGAGTAGGAGTCCCAGGAGCTGAAGGTTTCTGGCCACTGAACTTTGGCTAAAGCAGAGGTGTCACAGCTGCTCAAGATTCCCTGGTTAAAAAGTGAAAGTGAAATAGAGGGTCGGGGCAGTGCTTTCCCAGAAGGATTGCTCGGCATCCTGCCCTTCCCAGAAGCAGCTCTGGTGCTGAAGAGAGCACTGCCTCCCTGTGTGACTGGGTGAGTCCATATTCTCTCTTTGGGTCTCAATTTTGCCTTCCCTAATGAAGGGGTAAGATTGGACTAGGTAAGCATCTTACAACCATTTGTGGTCATGAGAGCTGGGGTGGGGAAGGATTGTCACTTGACCCCCCCAGCTCTGTTTCTAAGTGCTGAAAGAGCTCCAGGCTATGCTACGGGAGGAGAAGCCAGCTACTGAGGAAAAGCCAGCTACTGAGAAAAAGCGGGAGTGGTTTACCATTCTCCTCCCCCACCTTTCACCAGAGAAGAGGACGTTGTCACAGATAAAGAGCCAGGCTCACCAGCTCCTGACGCATGCATCATGACCATGAGACACAACTGGACACCAGGTAGGCCTTGGGGCTACGCATGGGCAGGCGGGGTAGGGTGAGGTCTATGAACAGAATGGAGCAATGGGCTAACCCGGAGCCTTCACTCCAAGGCAAACCACCCAGCGCACCTGGTGCTGTTGCTTTAAGAACCTGGGCAGATATTGTAGCTCTGGCTCCAGTCTAAAGCTTCTCTGTACTCTGTTCAATAAAGGGCTAAGGGGTGGGTGCTGAGGGGTCCCTCTTCCCGCTCTGATTCCCTGGCTAGAACCCAGACATCTCTGGGCTGGAGTTACATCCTTACCCGGGCAGCCCACTCTGTCTCCAGAGCCGCTGACCTGTAACTGTCCTTTCCTCAGACCTCAGCCCTTTGTGGGTCCTGCTCCTGTGTGCCCACGTCGTCACTCTCCTGGTCAGAGCCACACCTGTCTCGCAGACCACCACAGCTGCCACTGCCTCAGTTAGAAGCACAAAGGACCCCTGCCCCTCCCAGCCCCCAGTGTTCCCAGCAGCTAAGCAGTGTCCAGCATTGGAAGTGACCTGGCCAGAGGTGGAAGTGCCACTGAGTAAGAAGCACAGTGGTGGAGGGTGGGCTATGGGCACAGAGGTTCCCAGGGTCGGGTTGACTCCTGAGCGCCAGTCCCCTTCTGCCCATGTACCACCAGCTGAGCCAGCTGGGCTGAGCACGCACCATTCTCCCTCCCCAACCCAGTGTCATGGGTGCAGGCTTGGCGCAGCTCCCAAGATGCTCCCTATCAAATAGGACAGAGAACTCAAGACATAAGTAATGGTCACAGGACCTCCCAGAGCCTTGGTTGCAGTGGACCCCAAGGCCAGCCCCTCCACCCAGAGCCTGCTGGCCTCTGGCCATCTCAGAGGAGCAGCAGCCATCCAGCACTGCCTTTGTCACCTGGGCTCCCAAGTCACCGAGGCTGGGCACTAGAAAAGGTCATCCTGAGGAGACAGGTTCAGAAGAGGATTCATCACGTGAACCAAGGACCATTCCTCACATTCCCCGTGTTTAGGGCTAGGGCCTCTCGGAGACAACTGCACTTCTGTAACGGACGTTCCCACCTAGGTGGTGTGCAGAGCAGTTCTCTAGGTTCCAGATGCATGGGGACTGGGGGGAGCTGGCAGGGAGGGCACAGCAGAGCAGGGTAGGGGAAGGGCCTGCTCTTCTGAAGAGCTAACTGCTGCCTGTGTCCCTAGATGGAACGCTGAGCTTATCCTGTGTGGCCTGCAGCCGCTTCCCCAACTTCAGCATCCTCTACTGGCTGGGCAATGGTTCCTTCATTGAGCACCTCCCAGGCCGACTGTGGGAGGGGAGCACCAGGTGAGGGTCGCAGCAGCCAGGTGGGTGGGAAGGAGGCCTTCTGCGGCCTTCTCATGACCTTTCCTTCCCTTCCGCTCCAGCCGGGAACGTGGGAGCACAGGTACGCAGCTGTGCAAGGCCTTGGTGCTGGAGCAGCTGACCCCTGCCCTGCACAGCACCAACTTCTCCTGTGTGCTCGTGGACCCTGAACAGGTTGTCCAGCGTCACGTCGTCCTGGCCCAGCTCTGGGTGAGGAGCCCAAGGAGAGGCCTCCAGGAACAGGAGGAGCTCTGCTTCCATATGTGGGGAGGAAAGGGTGGGCTCTGCCAGAGCAGCCTGTGAACTAATGCCCAGCATTCCTCAAGGTCAGCCAGACAAAAAGGAACTTAGGTCTTGGGCAGAGGAGGTGTAGCCTGGGGCAAAGTGATGAGATGTCCCTCCTTTCCTTGGCCTGATCCTTGTCTGCCTTCACTTCCCTAGGCTGGGCTGAGGGCAACCTTGCCCCCCACCCAAGAAGCCCTGCCCTCCAGCCACAGCAGTCCACAGCAGCAGGGTTAAGACTCAGCACAGGGCCAGCAGCAGCACAACCTTGACCAGAGCTTGGGTCCTACCTGTCTACCTGGAGTGAACAGTCCCTGACTGCCTGTAGGCTGCGTGGATGCGCAACACACCCCCTCCTTCTCTGCTTTGGGTCCCTTCTCTCACCAAATTCAAACTCCATTCCCACCTACCTAGAAAATCACAGCCTCCTTATAATGCCTCCTCCTCCTGCCATTCTCTCTCCACCTATCCATTAGCCTTCCTAACGTCCTACTCCTCACACTGCTCTACTGCTCAGAAACCACCAAGACTGTTGATGCCTTAGCCTTGCACTCCAGGGCCCTACCTGCATTTCCCACATGACTTTCTGGAAGCCTCCCAACTATTCTTGCTTTTCCCAGACAGCTCCCACTCCCATGTCTCTGCTCATTTAGTCCCGTCTTCCTCACCGCCCCAGCAGGGGAACGCTCAAGCCTGGTTGAAATGCTGCCTCTTCAGTGAAGTCATCCTCTTTCAGCTCTGGCCGCATTCTGCAGACTTCCTATCTTCGTGCTGTATGTTTTTTTTTTCCCCCTTCACTCTAATGGACTGTTCCAGGGAAGGGATGGGGGCAGCAGCTGCTTCGGATCCACACTGTATCTGTGTCATCCCCACATGGGTCCTCATAAAGGATTATTCAATGGAGGCATCCTGACATCTGTTCATTTAGGCTTCAGTTCCACTCCCAGGAACTTTGCCTGTCCCACGAGGGAGTATGGGAGAGAGGGACTGCCACACAGAAGCTGAAGACAACACCTGCTTCAGGGGAACACAGGCGCTTGAAAAAGAAAAGAGAGAACAGCCCATAATGCTCCCCGGGAGCAGAGGCCACTAATGGAGAGTGGGAAGAGCCTGGAAAGATGTGGCCTCAGGAAAAGGGATGAGAGAAAGGAGGTGGTATGGAAGACTCAGCAGGAACAAGGTAGGCTTCAAAGAGCCTATATTCCTCTTTTTCCCACACCGATCAAGTCAACTCAGTACTCACGGGAGAAAAATAGACTTTATTTACAAGTAATAACATTTAGAAAAGATCCATCCCCGGCCCTTAAAAACCTTCCCATCACTCCAAATCCCACCCCAGTGCAAGTCTGGGGAAGGTAGGGTGTGAGCTGCTGCTGAAGGCTGTCCCCCAACCCCACTCCTGAGACATAGGGCCCATCCGTCCTGGGAAAGAGCATCCTCTGGCAGGTGCTCCCACCAGGTCAGACCCAGTCCTGGACTTCAAGAGTGAGGGCCCCTGCTGGGCCCAGCCACCAGGACAGCAGGAACCAGGGCCTACTCCTCTTATGGTCCCTTCTAGATCCAGAGGCTAAGAGGAAGACTGGCCAGGCCCAAGGACCCAGCCATCAAAACCAGCCTCAAATCTGGTTGTGATGGAGAAGTGACTTTGCTTTAAGAAAAAAGGAGGCAAGGTAGGGAGAGCGCCCACACTGTCCATGCTCCAGGCCCCCTGGGCCAGCTCCGAGAAGGCGCCAGTGAAGGACCAGGGACCAGGCCAGGGTGCGGGCAGGCATCACTGTCTCTAGGGGTTTGGCTACTGTTGGCCTGGGAGCTGAGAGAAGGCACTGAGAGGGACAGTAGGCGGAGGACCAGGTGAGGTCAGCATCGGGGACACAGGTGGGGCCACTCACTGGTACTGGCCCTTTAGTGCTTTGCCTGAAAGAGACACAGTCACATGGCCAGATGAGAACTTGCGATACTAGCCTGCACCCACTGGCTGGGAAGATCTCTTCCTGCTCCCACGCCCCTGTCTGGATCCCCTCCCTTGTGAGCCCCAGGGTTATCAGTTGCTGGCTGTGCCTGAGCAGCTCTGGGTGCTCTCCATGAGAATGGGGCCATCTGTCTTCTCTCCTTGGAGAGGAGCTACCAGGACAGGGACACCTCTTACCCCACACCCTCCAGCAGCCTGGCGTGGCCCCATCTTGGATGCTACTTGGTGGGGCGGTCTGGGGGGTGCCCATGCTCTCATCGGGTTTCCCTCCCCCATCCTGCCAGTGCCTCTACCTTGCCCTTGGCTCGAGGGGTGGCACCAATGGCGGCAGCAGTGGCGGCGCTGGCTGTGGTGGTGGCAATGCGCGGAGAACGGCGGGTTCCACTGCGAGTGTTGGGGGAAGCCTTGGACAGGGCCTTCTTTGAGGCTCCCCGCCGCAGAAGGCTGTTCCCTAGCTTCTTGGGTGTGTTGAGGATGCTGAAGGCCATCGACTGGCGCCGGTCAGCCTGCAAGGAAGGGCTGTCAGACCGGGAGACCCAATGCTGCCTTCCCAGGCCAGCGTGCTGTGCCACGCTCTATCAGCAAGGTCCCGCCAGGGCGTCGCTTCATCCCCCTTCAGCCCCAGCCTCACCTGTTTAGTAGAAGCTGGAGCTGCTTTCTTCTGGGCCTCAGTAGTGCTCTGTTTGCGCCCTTCATGTCGGTCTCGGGGAGTCATGGGGCGTGGGAAACAGCTGGTGGCCTTCTTAGACTATGGAGAAGAGGACAGTTAGGCAGACAGTAGCAAGAGGAGTCACATCTGAAGCCAGGTGTCTTGTCCTCTCAGAGCTGAGTGGACCTTGTAAGTCAACGTGCAACCTGCTCCCCTTCCCAACTCTGGGCCAGATCCTTCCCTTCCCAACAGTTCCCATCCATGGGTCAGGCCCTTGGAGAGAGGGAAAGAGAGGGGGAAGTGAGGGAAGGAGAGAGAAGGCTCCCTTTAGTCCTTGGTGAGCTGGGCCTGACCTGAGCACAGTGCTGGAGTAACACCCAGGAGCCACCGCGCCTACCTCAGGAGTTCCAGGGCCCTGGTGGGGCTCTAGGGAGACCCGTTTGCGCTGCTGCCGGGTGGTGATGCCAGTGCCCTCGGCTATCTGGATTGGCTGCATGCTGGCTCGGCGCAGGGTCTCTTGGGGGTCTCCAGTTTTCATCTCCTCATCTGTGATGGTGCCCAGGCTCAGGGAAGGCTGCATGGGTGGAAGAGGTGGTCAGTGGACCATAGCTGTATGGAGATGGAGGAGGACCTGGGGCTGTCCCAGAACTCTACACTCGCCCGACACTTATGGTCGGGACCCTTCCTGCCTCACGAGGTAGAAAGACACAAGGCCTCCTTTCCTGTTCTGCTTTCTACCTAAGCCCTGGGCAAATGGCCACAAGCAGTGCAGTCCTGACCAGATTCCTCTCTGAGCTCCTGCCTACCCCAAGGGACTTCACCCCTGAGTGCCCTCCCAGCTGTCTGTTCCACCTGGAAACATGAGAAGGTCACCCTCCCCCTCCTCGGCCAGTCAGTGATCCAGGGCCCTAGTGCTCAGGCTAGATCAGCAGGTGGGATTCCAAGGGAGGGCAGGGATGGGAGGCCCTGCACAGTGACCCCAGGCCTCACCCTGGACTCCAGGGGATAGCAGGTCTTCAGATGTGGGGGGCACACTCGATTGCGCTGCTGCAGCTCTGCAATGCGGTTCCAGTCATCCAGCTGCTCAGGCTCATCCTGGCAAGTGCCCATGTAGAAGCTGTTCCTTCCTGTGGAAGGCAGGGAAGTGGGAACAAATGAGCCTGGAGTCGGCAGGTCACCTCCTGGCCCTGGCATCTTGCCAGCCTTTGCTGCCACCTACCCCATAAACTTGAAGCCCAGCACACCAGTCTGATTCAGTGCCGCAGGTGCAGGAGTACGGCACACAGACTATTTCTATCCTAGGGGCTTGCTCACCACCTTCTCCCTGGAGAGGGCAGAAGAGGTCACACGCAGAGACTGCTACTACATCTTACTCACCTGCCAAGGCTTGGTGGCCAACACCCAGAGGAACAAATTAAGGACCGGGAATTAATTCCCAGGGGCTCCCTGGTGCCCAAAGGACAAGAGCTTCCAAGAAGAGTCTGGCCAGCCTGGCCTTTCCAGCAGCCCATCACCGCCTGAGAAGGGCATGGAGGACTCCCCACAGCTAAGTGTCACAATTGTGCTGGGAATCCCGGGCCCTTAACTCTGGCTAAGAGTGCCCCCAACACAGCCAGCCCCTAGATGGGCAGGTAAGGAAGGCCCTGAGGCTGCAGGAAGGAGGGGCAGGTGGAGCTGGATGGTAGCAAGGAGGCCAGCCTTGGATTTTTAAAAAGCTTTCCTCTTTTCCCTGTGCCACGATCCACCTTCCAGTCTAATTTTGGGGTATAGTAAGTCCCTGTAGTCCCCTCACCTGGAGGGGCCCCACTGGACACCCCGGCCTGGGAACGACGAGCAGAACTGCGAGTGGTGGGGCGGTAGCCAGGCAAGCTGAGCAGGGCTGAGTTGCCATAATCGGGAGAACCCAGGCGAGCTAGAGACTGAGTAGAGGAGGTGGCTCGCAGGCTAGCCTGGGAAGCAGGAGCAGACCGCGTGCTGTAGAACGATGAGTTGGCGCTGTCTGGCTCTTCCACATCTAGCTTCTGGAAGACAGAGTGAATCTGTTGCAGTGTACAGTCCCTGGCACTGTACAGAAGCTTCCCATTCCCTTCCGAAGCCCTCAGATCCCACGGCACATCCATGTATTCCCAACTGCTTTGCAAAGGTCCTTAAAGTGTGTGTCTGCAAGAAATGGGCCTTGTCGACAGAAGCCCTCACAAGGTGGTGCTGATGTTGTCAAGACTCTTCTACGCATTTTTTTCATGGAGTCTATTCATAATGCTTTGAGGTAGGGAATGCAGAGTGTTTATCGGCCCATTTTGGAGATGAAGTGCAAAGAAATAAAGTGACTAGCCCCAAATCACACTGCTAGGAAGTATCAGAGCTGGGGCTAGGCCCCATGTCTCCTGACTAGTCAGGCTCATCCCACAGCCTCTGCTGTCCCTCAGTCCAAACTTCCAGGGCCCTTACCATGTTCCAGAACTTCCCCAACTTCTTGGTAGCAGGGGGCACCCTAAACACACAGGTCCCCCCTGCTGTACCAGGGGCCCCTCTCCCCTCCTCCCAAACCTCCCCTTCAAGATGTGGAAACAAAGGCAAGGGCCTGTAGCCTGTCAGGCAGTCCACTGGGCAGCAACAATGCCTCTCAGCTGCATGGGGCATGCTGGGAGGCACAGGATGGGCTGCAGCTTCGCCACGTTCTCTCCCTTCACCCTGCACAGGCTCAGTGCTACGCATGGAGAGAATGCTAGCCTTAGTCAGGAGGCAGGGATCTAATCCTAGCCCTGCCTTTTTCTTCAGAAGTGCCCTTAACCAAGTCACTGCCCTTTTTAAGACCTCTCAGCTTTCCCACTGTAACATGGACTGGCTGCTCATCCCTCCCTGCTCCTGACTGAGTGCCCAGTGCAAAGATGCCCTTGAGAGGAAGTGGGAATTGCTGCCCTGCAGCCCCTGTCCCAGCAGCCTGACCTTGGTCATGGTGATGTTGATGATCTGCGTGGTGCGCCGACGAGCGGAGCGGGTCTTACGACCCGAGTCCAGGAAGACGTCTCCCAGGGAGTCCAGGCTGCTCTCCAGGGGGGCCTGACTCCGAGCAGGGATGGGAGTGAAGTAGAGACTCTCCAGGGATTCTACCTTGGGGGGCAGGCGCTGGGAGATAGGTGAGGCTGGTTCTCCAGGGACGCTGGTGCCGTCTGGCTGGGTACGAGGCAGCTTGCTATGGAAAGGAAACCTGCTGAGGTACAGTCCTTCACGCTAGAAGGCATTTTGTCCAGCCCTTTTTGAAAGTGACCATTTCCCATCCTTACTACAAGCAGATGAGGTCAAGCAGCCCATCTCTCTGATTTTTCAGAGGTACCAAGGAAAGCACTTGACCTGGGCCTTCCTTTCAGTCCACTCCCCTGGCTTCTCCTAATAGCTCCTCATAGTGGCAATGCCCAGACCCAGATGTCCCATCCCCACCAGATGCCCATGGCTGCTTCACAGCAAACACGTCCCAATCTAAGCCCACTTCTCTGTTCTTCCTCCTGCATCTCCCATTTCAGTGAATAGGAACGCCCCCCACTCAGGCCCCCAAGCCATGAACGTGGGCATAATCCAATGTCGTCCTGCTTGGCGAGCCCAATCACCAAGCTTCCTGAACAGCTCCTAACCACACCCCACTCCATGCTCATGTCCTTTCCCTGGTCTGCTTCATCTCCTCTCACCTAGACTCATCATGGCACTGACAGAGGAAGATGAGTGGTGACAAGCCAAGAACTCAGGCCAGGCTGCCCAGGGTCAAACCCCAGCTCTACCACTGGGGAACCTTGGGCAAGTGACTGCCCCTCTATGCCCCAGATTCATCTGTTAAAGGAGACAGAATAAACCTACCTCAGAGGGTTGTTGGGGGACAAATCAGGTATAATTGTCATGAGTGCTTTATGTCTAGCACAAAATAAGTAAATGTAAGTGTTTAATAAAAACATTTTTCCAGTCTTAACTTCTATACTAGCTATTAGAATAATCTTTTTAAGATGCAAATTAACCATGTACTCTTCAGTTTCAAATTCTTCCAAGGTTCCTTTTTTTTTCTCCTAAACCTTTCAATTACAGCCACCAAGGTTTCCTCAATGCCTTTAGGATCAAGTCTTAATAGTCGGTCTCCAATGGGCCTTCCTGGCCTCACATCTCAGCTTAGTCAGGCTCTTTCACAGCCTCTGTTCACACTGCTCTTCTCGTCAACCTGGCACACACACCTATGGATGCTTTCAAGACTCAGCAGGAGCGATAGCTTCCACGAAGCCTTTCTTGACCACTTGCTTTTTATTCCAACTGTGCCCTAAATAGATATCTGGTATAATACCCGTTTTTCGTTATTCTTCTCTAAGAATAAATTTAGATCACATCTTATTTATCTCACTAGGATACAGCCTGATAAACAGCAGGCACTCCATAAACAGACATAGGGAGGAAGGCTGCCTCCTGACCTGGTGATACTGAGTGGGGTCCCCTCCTCGCAGCTCAGATCCAGGCTGTCAATACTCAAGTCCAGCTGGGGCTTAGCCTGGGGCTCACGGCTCTTTAAAGCATCAGTTGCCACCTGGAATTTGCCCAGGTCTCGAAGCTGCTGGTCTGCATGGGCAACCTGAGAAGGAGAGGGCCAGGGGGAGAGTGAAGAAAAGCCTAAGGCAGCAGTGGCCTAGGAGGAGAGGGCACAGGGGTCCAGTGGAATAGGAGTGAGGTGAGTCTGCCAGCCAAATTCTTACCTGTGCCTCCAGGCTGCGCACCTGGGCAGTAAGGTGGCGGCAGGTCTGTTCAGCCTCCTTGGTCTTCAGCCCAGCCTGCTGTAGCTCATGGCCCAGCCGTTCAGCTTCAGCTCGCAGCTCTTTGTTTTCCTTCTGCAGCTGCTCCAGGCTCCGCAGCTGCTCCTGCAGCTCTTGGTTCTGCTGCTTCTTGGCATCATAATGTGTTTTGGCTTTCTCCATCTGTGGGCAGAGAGGGTGGGTGGGTGGGGTAGAGGTTGAAGGGCAGGAGGAAGGTGGCATGGGCTGGGGCTGGGCTCCTTACCTGCAGCTTATAGTGCTCAGCTGCCTGCTCCTTCTGGCTCAACTGGGCTTGCAGTTCATTCAGCTGGGCCTGGAGGCGCTGGGCCTCCTGCTGGCTCTCGCCTCCCTGAGCCTGGACAGCCTGAGAAGAAAGGCCACTCAGGAAAGCTGGTCTGGCCGCTCTACCCAAGTCCGCTTATCTGCACCAGCCACTGGGGCTCCACAGGTGCTTCAGACTCCTGCACTTTCTTAGGAAGCGGAAGAAAACCACACCACCCCAAATACTCTCTGCCCGACTACAGTCTACTAAACCTGAAGCCCACATGCCCTTCAGTCCACATCCGTAGTGGCCTTTCCCTGACCAGCTCCTGCCCTATCTTTGCCTTCTTTGAGACCAGACACAAAGTGTCACACCCTCTTTGCATGCACAATCTCCCGTAGGAGGAAGGGAACCAATCCTCAGGGAACACCCAGGTGCAGAGCCTTACTCTAAGGCACTTGGCATGTGAGCTCTCTTAGGACAGGGGAACTTGTTTCTCCTCAAAGCCACTCTGAGAAGTCACTTCACCCTCTTTTCAGAGGAGGAAACTGAGTTCAGAGATTTAAGCAAATTGACCAGAGTAACAGTGACTAAATGGCAGAGTAAGATTTGGTCCACCTAACTCCAAAAGCCCATGGGGGCTTATTTATGATGCCCACACTGCCTCCTGTCCAGACCATAACTCCTTAAGAGCAGGGCCTGATTCTCTGTCCATCTGCAAGGCCAACAAGTGCTTTGCTGTAGATAGAAGCATCCCCCCTTTGCCTCTCCTAACATAGGACAGGCCCCACAAGGAGTAGAATAAACATTTGTTTATTGCAATCAAGACATGCTGTGGCACCATGGTATGAAGGTGAGCAGGAGAAATGAAGCTCTGAGCTCCCAACAACTCCTAGGAGCCACCAGGGCTTTAGTGAGTCCCAATGCCACTGGTGCCCAATTCCTTTGCCCCTGACTGAAGGCTGTGAAGCCTAGAACTGCAAAAAGCAAGTATTAAACCAAAGAAGGTGACACAGTTGAAAGCATTAAGAATGTTATTAAACTGCACTGTAATATTCAACACTGGTGACACTCTCGTTCTTTCCCTGCCCAGACTATCTAGACTTACATTGTCCAAAAGAACTTTATGCAATGGTGGAATGTTCTGTATCTGCGCTGTCCAATACAGCAGCCACTAACCACATGTAGCTACTGAACAGGGGCACAGTGTAGCTAGTGTGATTGAAGAACTGGATTTACTTTAATAAATTTCAATAACCACACGTGACTAGTAGCTGCTGAAGTGGACAGTGACAGTTGAGAGATGGGAACCACCCTGGTTGTCTCTCGAGAGCTCCCAGAAGACACATGCAGGGGCTTCTAAGCCACAGGCTTCCTAGGAGGGCTACCTGGAATGCAGGGTGCCCCTCTTCTGCCCCGACACCCCCCACGGCCCCAGAGCTTAGAGAATAGCTTCCCTCCCTTGTCCAGAGGCCAGACCCATTCCCCCAGCTGCCCCACCTTCAGCTTCTGCTGCTGCACCTTGCTGGCTTGGTCAGAGTCAGCCAGTTTCTTACTCAGTTCTTCCACCTGGGGAGGGAAGAGGAGGACAGAAGACTCAGGAGGACTTCCCCTGGATGTTCATCCTGGATGTCCACCCATCATGGGGTTTCCCAGACCAGGATCCCCAGTGTTCCTAGAATAAACTCAGGCCCTTTCTCTGGCCTCCAATTACGGAACAGCCTGCTGCCCAGGCTGCTTGGCAGGGCCTGAATGAGGCAACCTAACACATAGATGTTGCCAGGGCCAACTGTTCTTGCGTCTACCCTGAGCCTGCAGAGACAGAGGCCTGCCCAACCCCCGTCACCTCCAAAATCAGGAGAATTGACTCTGGGGAGCCGACACCTCACCACCACCTTGCTGCCGCCACACTCTGCAGCCGCAACCTTCCCAGGACCTAGTCTGTAATTCTAGTAGACATACTCAATGAATTCCCATGCCTCCCTCCCAGAAACTGCCAAAGCCCAAGCCCACAGATGCTCAGACCTCTTCCCAACATCCACAGGCCGTTAGGGCTGGTGCTAGCAGCATGGCTGCTGTGGTTAGCATTGGGGAACAGATTGCTGGAAGACAAGAGCAGGGGCAGCACATGTACTCCAAAGCCCACCCCACTCCTACAAAGAGGAAGAGCACAGGGAGTAGGGGAAAAGAGAGAACATAACAGCCCCATGCACCCTTGGCTGCTCCAAGCATTCTGGGAGTTCAAGCATGACCAGGCAGCACAGGGGAGAGGCAAGGGCTCCATTGCTAACTGTTTGCTATTCACTTTGATTGTCCCCCACTATCACAGGCTCCTTAGAGGAGGGCCCAATTTTTCAGCAGCCCTGGGGTGGCTGGGTAGGAGAGTGATGGAGAAAGGGTGCTCTATAGCCTCGATGTCTCAGAAACACCAGCTCTATAGCCTCGATGTCTCAGGCAACACAGAGATGATTCCCATGAGAAAGAGGCAGCCAGACCATGTGACCCCCACTCCCCCGCCCCCATCTGGTATAGACCCCTCCTGCTCCTTCACCCTCGGTCTTCCTGCTACAGACATCTCTATGCTGTGCTCGGGGTTAGAGCCCCAGAAAGTGATGGGCAAGTGTCCTAAGCCCACAATCCTCCCTAACCTGTGGGGGCTGCCTCGCATATCACCTTCAAGGCTTCCATAAAGCTGTACTCTGGGAAAAAGGGACACCATGTTAAACAAGGCCGACACGGTAATTCTGCTGTTCCTCTTAGTCGGGTATCCTTAACTAGACACAGTACTTGGGAAGTTCTCGAATCCCAAGGATTGTGTCTGTCATTGGTTCAGGGTGGGAAAGATGAAGCCAGTGCTACCCCTTGTCCCTGATAGGCAAATGAGAGAAGGTGCAGAAGGGTGGAGAGGCCGACCTGGGATGGGTGGGATGAGGCCTGAGAGAGCCCAGCACACCACACTCCTGGGCAGCCTGGGCCTGGATTCCATGGCTTGACCCTGCCCCCTTCACAAACAGTTCACAACAGGAGCTGGCGGAGGCAAGCTGCAGCCGGGCTCATGCACCAAGACTGGTCACCGTTTAAGCAGCCAGCATTTAGCGAGGACCTCAGGCATTACCTGCTTAGTTTGCTCTCTCTGAAATACCTCTAGCTGCTCCACCTGTACATGGGGGAGGAGCAACAGAGACAGAGTGAGATGAGGCCAAAGAAGCACCAGCCCTGCTGCCAGGCTGACCTCACTGAGGCTCTGATACTTTCCCCTAAGGAGCTAGATTGACAGTAAGTTTAAAAATGCCAGTTAGGCTGATTCTAATCCCCAGTGGCTCCTGAGGCATCCAGTGCAGGTGTGCCTCTGAACAGGCTGGTGGTCATCACAACTTGACTCTCTAGTGACAGAGCCTTCAGGGGAGGGGAGGCCACTGACATTTTCTTTAGGATGACAGGGGCAACAGACTTGAACTCCACCAGCCACCTCTCCTTTTCTGCCACCCAGTGAATGAGGAAAGGCAAGACACTCCAGTGTAGGAGCTAGAGGCCCTGGACACAGAGGATCGATGTCCCCGCGCTCTCAGCTCCTGATCTTTGGGAGGGTGGTTGGGCTGAGTACCTTACCTGGGCAGTGAGTTTCTGCCTCTCTTCCTGGAACCGCTGCCTCTCCTCCAGGACCTTGACCTTGGCACCCTCATACTTGGCAGTCATCACCTCCAGCTCCCGGGCAGTGCTCTGTGCTTCTCGCTGCACCTCAGCCAGACGGGTCTCAGCATCAGCACGTACGGCTGCCAACTCTTGGACATACTTCTCCCGGGCCTGGTCCAACTCCACTTCCAGAAACTGCCGGCCAAGGTTGGCCCGCTCACCCAGCCCCCGGTTCTCCTCTGCCAGCAGGCCATGCGCCTTCTTCAGCATGCTCAGCTGCTCTGCATAGCTGGCCTTCTCTGCCCGCAGCTGCTGAGCTGTTCGCTCCTGCTCTGCCACCTTCTGCCGCAGAGGAATCAGCTCCCCAAGCTCCCGCTGGGCCCGCAGCAGCTCTGCCCGCAGTCCCCCAGCGGCCTGCTTGCTCTGCTCCAGCTCCTCACGGTGGCGTTTCTCGGCAGCGGCCTGCTCGGCCTGCAGCTGCTGGCAGAGGTGCTTAGCTGGCAGCAGCTCACTCACCAGGGCCTGTGTGCTGGTGTGCTCGAGCTGCAGGGTGGAGAGGGCCTGCTCTTTCTGGAAGAACTTCTCCTGCCACGCCTTCAATTCTTGGCCCAGCTCCTCCGCACGCTCAGCCTGTGAGGTCAGCTCCTGCCGCAGGTTCTCTGAAGCCACCCGCTGTTTCTCAGCCTCCTCCCGGAGGCTCTGCACCTCCTCCCGCAGAGCAGAGCTGCGTTCTGCAGCTCTGGCACTGTTGCTGGCTGTCTCTGCCTGCAGCAGGCGCAGCCTCTCCTCCAGCTTCTGGCTCTTCTCTGACTCGGCCATCACCAGCCGCTTCAACTCCTTGCTCTCCCCCTCCTTCTCCAGGACCTGGCGATTCAGGATGGACACCTCCTCCTCCAAGCTGCTGATGAGGCTATTTTTCCTCTCAGCCTCTTGCCGGCCCCGGGCCACCTGGGCCTTCCACTCATCTTCAGCCTTGCTGTGGTCTTGTACCTTGGTGCGGAAGGCAGCCAACTCCCGTTGGGCCGAGGCTAAGGCACTCTGACTGTGCCCTAGCTCCTGGGCCTTCTCCTCTAACTGGCCCTGCAGAGTCTCCAGAGCACTGTCCCGCTCAGCCCGGGAGGCCCGCTCAGCCTCGAGGCTGCGTTCCAGGCTGTCAGCCTGCTCCTGCTGCTTCTGGCATTGCTGTTCCAGCTTGCTCACCTCTGCCCGCAGTGCCTCCAGCTTGGGGCCTGTTGGCTCTGTCCTGCCAGCAGCCTCAGATTGGGCTCCTGAGCCAGATGCGTGCTCCTTTTCTTTCTTAGCCAGCTGTTCCTTCAGTTGCTTCACGGTTTGCCGAAGTTCCTCCAGCTCTTTTATCTGGGCTGCCTCCAGACCACGAAGCTTGGCCAACTCCTGGTCCTTGCCTTCCTTTTCCGTCAGGGCATGAGCCAGTGCCTCTTGCAGGGTAGCGAACTCCACACGCTGCTCGTTGAGGGCGTTCTGCAGCCGCATCTCAAGCTCTGCTCTGGCCGCCTTCTCCAGGGCAAGGTCAGCCTGGGCACGGCCCCGCTCCTGGGTCAGCCGCGCCACCTCCCTTTCCTGCTGCCCACGCTCCTCCTGCTGCTGCCCCTGGCTCTCCATCAGCGCGGCCCGCAGCCGTTCCAGCTCATTGCCCATCTGCTCTGCCTCCCGCTCCATAGCCTGCAGCGCTGCCTGTGTGCTGCAGAACTGGCGTCCCTGTTGCTCTTCCAGCCACTCGGGCTGTCTGTCTCCTGCCCTCGCAGGCTCCTTGACTAACTCCCGGGAGGCTGTTTCCTGCTGCTCACCTGCCTTGCGCACCAAGGTCTCCAAGCGGGCCACCTCTTTGCTGGTGGCAGCCATCTTTTCCTGCAGAGTGGAGAGGTCATCTGCAAGCTTCTGGGCCCTGACTTCCTTCTCTTGGACCTGCTGGAGTGCTCTGGCCAGGTTGGCATGGAGCTCAGCTAGTTCGTTCTGCTGCCGGCTTATCTGGAGCTCGCTGTGGGATTCTATGCCTGCCACCTTCTCCTTTGCCTCCTGCAGCTCCTGGCGGGCCTTCTCACATTCCTCCTTCAAAGTCATCAGCTGTTCCTGGAACATGGCGCCATACTGTGCCTCCTCTTGCTGGCTATCCTCATACCGCTCACGCCAGGCAGCTACTTCTTTGACGAGCTGCTCACACTCACTCTCAGCTGTGTGCTGGGCAGCCATGGCCTCTGCCAGCTCCCGCCGCAGGACTTCAGTCTCAGCCTGATGGGCCTCCCCAAGCTGCTGTAATCGAGCCTCCAGCCCCTTGCGCCCAGCCCTCTCTTCTTCCAGCTCCTTTCGTTCCCGCTTATGCTGCTCCACCAGGCTTCGGGTCTCTGCCTTCAGCTCAGAGATACAACGCTGCTGCTCTTCCAGGGCATCTGCAGCCCTGCGCTTCTCCTCTTCAAGGCTGCCCTTGGTGACCTTCAAGGACTCTTTGAGGGCCTGGAGCTGCTCCTGGAGCTGGTCCTTCTCCTGGGCCACCCTTTCTTTCTCAGTTGCTTTTTGCTGCTCAGACCGCAGCTGCAACTCTAGCTCTGCAACCTGGGCCTGGGCCTCATGCTGTTCCTGGCGGGCTGTCTCAACACAGGCCTGGAGTTCCTCCACCTTCCGGCTCAGCTCTGCCTTCTCCCGCTGGGCCTGTGTCACTGAGGTCTGGGCACTGTCCCGGGCTTCATTAGCCACCTGAAGTTGCTGCTGCAGAATCTCCAGCTTGGCAGCCTTCTCCTTCTCCAGTGCCTCCAGCTGCTTGAGAGCCGCATCCCGCTCCCTTAAGGAGGCCTCTCGCTCCTCTGCAGCAGTGGCCAGTTGCTGGGCATGGTCCTGCCTAGTTGCCTCCTGCTTCTCCGCTACCTCCTTCAACTGCTGCTCCTTCTGCTTCAGGCTACTGCTTAGCTGCTCCACCTGGTGGCGGAGGCCCTGGGAGGCCTGTTCTTGCTGTTGGAGGGTCTGTGCTAGCTGGGCCTGCTTCTCTTTGGCCTGCTGCTTCAGGCCAGCCAGTTCTTGATCCTGTTGCTGGATGGTGGCATTGAGTGTGGTGAGCTCAGAGGTCAGAGAGGCCACCTGGGCAGTCAACCGGGCCCCATGAGCCTGGGAGGCCTGCTCCAGCTCTTCCTTGGCCTGGCTGAGGTTGGAGATGGAGCTCTGCAGGTCAGTGATCAGGCTAGACAGCTGCTGCTTTTCTTCTTCGAAGTGGCCCCGCTCAGCAAGCAGCTTGGCTTCCTGCTGGCCTCGCTCAGTCTCCAGCATCTCTACCCTGGCTTGGAGCTGTGTGTTGTTTGCAGCAAGAGTGGCTGCCTCTTGCTTCAAGGTTTCCAGCTGGTGGTATAAAGAGACAAACTGGGATCAGCATGACTCCTCAGTCATCAAGACTCCTCTGGAAATGGAGGAACACCAGGAACCCAAATGTACTGAATGTGAGTCCACACCAACCAGCAGCACACAGGTCTTTCTGTGCATTCCTACCTGCAAGACATCACCCAGCACCTCGCCCTTCTCCTGGGGTGGGTTATCCTGCAGCTGGGACAAGTGTTCTTCCAGCTGTGAAAGTTTTCCCTGAAGGATTTCGTTCTTCTCTTCAAGGCATTTCTGGGAGTAAATGAGACCCATGTGAACAGAGAGGGGGAACAGGCACCAGATTACCACACAAGCCCTCATAAACATCAGCAAACATGGGGCCCATCATCTTGTTACCAAGATCTCCTTTTGCCCTGGCCTAGAAAAAAGCAGAAACCATGGAACTGGGAGCATGAGGGACCTGATTCTCTAGACCTAGTTCTAAGGCACAATAAAGTCATAATGTAACCTGCTTACTACTTCCCCAAGGCTGCTGAGTTTACTTCAAATTTCCTTACCGTATACCCTTCCTCAGATAAGTCTTGAGTCCTAGATTATCCAAATCACCACCAGCTGCCCACCATCCTCTGGGCAGCAATACCACTGGCAGCAGCTGCAGCAACCCCCAGTCCCAAACCCACTTCTTCACCACTGTTCACTAAGCACCTACAATAGGCTATGCTGGGTTCATCCCTAATTTTTTTTTTTTTTTTTTTTTTTTTGAGACAGAGTCTCGCTCTATCGCCTAGGCTGGAGTGCAGTGGCGAGATCTTGGCTTACTGCAACCTCCACCTCCCAGATTCGAGAGCTTCTTCTGTCTCAGCCTCCCGAGTAGCTGGGACTACAGGCATGCATCACCACACCCAGCTTATGTGGGAGGCAGCTACTACCATTCCTCTTACAGAGCAAGAACCTGAAGCAGATGCTAAGTGCCTTGATCAAGGGCTACATGGTTATTAGTAAGTGGCCAAATTGGGTTCTTACCAATAGTAACAATCACAACTGGTTCACTGAGAGCTTACTTTACACTACACGATGTGTGAAGTGCTTTACATACGTTTTCTCATAATAGGTGATGAGGCAGCTACTCGTTACTACTCCCATTTTAGGGAAAGGATGCTTAGAAAAACAGACTGATTAACTTGTCCAAGATCCACATCTTGTGAACAGCAGAGATAGGATTGAAAGGTGTACTATAAAGTGAGGGCATTGACTGGGGAAAAAAAAAATAAGTTAAAAAAAAAAGGTGTACTAGACTGAAGCCCACAATCTTTCAATTACAGCACACTATTGAACCTTGAAGAGAAAGCAACTTAATACCCAAAGGCCCAGAAGAGCACAGTGGTAAACTGGACTCAGCTTTGCACATGTGGTCAAGACTGTGGCTGTGACCCCAGCAGAGGGTTACCTTGTCCTGCAGGGCTGCGCTGAGCTCCTTCTCCAGCTGGGCCTGCTTCTCTAGCCACTCCTGAGTGGCCTTGCTGTGCTCCTCCGTCAGCTCATTGAGGGCATCCTGTAGCTGCTGCAGATGACTGGCAAACTCCCGCAGCTGAGACGGGCAAGTGAGAATCCCCATCACCCAGAGTCAACGCTGACCCCACCACTGCTGTCTGCTCCCAGAACCCCAGGGGCTGGATGCCTCCAATTATCCTGCCAACCCTCTACAAACCAATCACAGCCATCACACCTCTAATTCAGAACTACAAATCAACATTTAGGGTCACAGCCCAGTACCCGGGAAGCCGCCAATTATGGGATAAGGAAAGGGGCAAAATATGCAGGTCTCTGGAGAGACTGAAGCATAAGACAGGTGCTGGGACATTCTTCTCAACCCTCTCTTGGGGAGCCTTCCAGACCACCTCAGCCCTGAGGGGCCTCCATGCACACACCACCTTAACACCCACCTTAAAGGAAAGGTCTCCATTCTCCTCCGAAAGCTGGTTGATTTTGCGATCCATCTGGCTCTTCTCTGTCTTCAGGTCCTGGCACTGCTTCAGGGTTTCATGCAGCCGCATGGTAAGGCTGCGAGGGAGGGAAGCAGTGAGAAGAGAGTATGGGTTCCTGGCTGGGTGAGGGGAGGGGCTGGGGCCTGGGAAGGAATGCAGGGAGAGCTGTACCTCTCATTCTTGTCACGCAGCTCCTCAAGCTCCTTGGGCTCCAGTGGGCTGGCCGCCTGCTTCTCATTCAGCAGGGCTAGGCGGTCAATGCGCTGCTGCATCATGGCTATCTGTGCATCTGCCCAGAGTGGAGGGAGGAGGAGAGGAGAATCAGAACTATGTGCATGAGCGGAACTATGTGCACAGAACTATGTGCACAAGGGGAAGGGAGGAGACGGCATAGGGAAGAGGAGGAATATGGTATCCAATCTAAGGGAAAGAGAAGATGGGGACAAAGACAGAACCTAGCTTCCAGGAGGTCAGCCTGACCACAGGCCCAGGGCTGAGCTCTCAGCTCCAGGGGCCAGCAGAGGGGACAACATGGGAGGCCAGGGGACATCCTTCCGGCAAGTCTATTCACACATCTGCCAGTGTGCCAGCCACCTACCCTTCTCGGTGAGGAGCTTGCGGTTCTCAGCTAGCTCCAGCTCCAGCTCATCCCTATTACTTCTCTCATCAGCAAGCTGCTTCTTCAGCCGTCTCATCTGGAACTGTGGGGTCTGCAGGATATCACCCATGGGAGAAGCTGGAGAACCTGAGAGAAAGCTGAGGAGGGAGAAGGCCCATATGCATTGGTAAGCGCCTAAGATCTGAAGCAATCAGCAACAGGCAGCAGTAAGGGAGCGGGGTCTATGGAAGTGCGCACTAGCAGCTGGGAGGCCTGTGCACCTGGGTTGTTTGCAGTGCTACCTCAAGCCTCATGACATGATCTTGGGAAAACTTTTCTTCTCACTGCCTTAATTTCTTTGTCAGAAAAAAAAAAAGTGATATATTCTCCTTGGCTCTGCAGAGATGTGCTAAGAGAAGAGACTTCATTGTAGTCTCCGAGGAAGAAGGGTATTCCATAAACAGGGAACAGCTTTTGAGGGAGGCCTTCTGCACATGACAAATCCCAACCACTTCCCCCAGTTAATACTGGGTGAGGTGAGGAGATCCCAGATCTACCGGATACTCTAAGCACTCCCAGAGGCTGGTTAACATCTTAACTCTAGAAGTTAGGAATGTGAGGAATGGATGGATGCTGAGGCCCTATCCCAGGAGGAGAGGCCCAGAACATACTTGTTCCCACTGGAAGAGGAGGCAACCTTCTGTAGCTCTAGGAAGCGAATCTCCCTCTTGGCCTGGTGGCTAGGTGGGGAGAGCTCTTCAGGGAATGTGCTAGAACAGGTAGAAGGCACAGGAGCTGGGGGTAAGAAATAGACAAAATAAATCAACAAAGGTTAGTAAGAAGGTGTAAAGATTTGCACCTTTATGCAATTTGAGAACTCGCCTTAGTGGGAGTATATCCATGGATACTTATATGTAAACTACCAAGGAAGGCACTGGGCAGAACCTGAAACCTGGTGCCTGGGTTATCCAGAGTTCCGTGTCTCTAACCAAAATGAAGTGCAGGGCTTCCATTTCTACAGAGCATCATTACTCAGAGCACAGTGGAGTGACGGTGTCCTCTGGCTCAGAAACTGCACCAAGTGCTCAAGCTTTTTCCTCGAGTCCACACTGCAGAGACGGCTTGGGGAGCCCTGAGCAGGATCTCCTTGCAGCCCCCAACAACCTTTCCTATCAGAGCCATTGGCCACCATTTGGAATTCATCCCCCCTGAAGCCTTGCACCTCCAAAATGCCCTCCTCCTCAAAACCCTTCTCTTTCCGTGGTTTCCGTGACCCCTTTTGTAGGACTCTCCTACCTCTAATCACCCATTCTTAAGTCTCCTCATCTGCTCCTCCCTCCTCTACCCACCCTCTAAGCTCCCAGAGATCTGATGGGGCCTCTTGGCTCTGCCCATAGTGCCCACGGCTTCAGTGGCCATCCAATGCTGACTTGCAAACCTATCTTCTGGTCCAGAGCCTGCTCCTGAATTCTGGACTCACATTTCTAACATCTCCACCTGAAGGTCTCATGAGGAACCTGAATACAAGGAACATCAAACTCAACGGCTAGAACTCGCCTAGACCTCCTTCTTACATTCCTATCATCCACCAGCTGACCTCTTCATCAGAAGACCAGCAGAACGATCACTCTTTCTACTGTAGTACCAGCCGAGGCCATTGATATATTCCGTACTTAGATTCCTTATCATTATTTCCTGGTTTATGTATCTGCCTTTCCACCTAGAACATGCACTACATGACGGGAAAAACATTTTTTAAAAGACTGTGGGCCGGGCGCAGTGGCTCATGCCTGTATTCCTAACACTTTGGGAGGCCGAGGCAGGTGGATCACCTGATGTCAGGAGTTCGAGACCAGCCTAATCAACATGGTGAAACCCCGTCTCTACAAAAAATACAAAAATTAGCCAGGTGTGGTGGCATGCGCCTGTAATCCCAGCTACTCGGGAGGCTAAGCAGGAGAATTGCTTGAACACGGGAAGTGGAGATTGCAGTGAGCTGAGATCGCACCACTACACTCCAGCCTGGGCGACAGAGAGAGACTCTGTCTCAAAAAAAAATAAAAATAAAAATAAAAAGACTGTATTCTCAGCTTCTAAGCCTAGAGTAATGATTGTTTAAAAAATAAAAAACAAAAGTAGGTATGATCACTTGTAAATATCCTACATAACTGCTGCCAGGCAGCAAGGAGGAGCTCCATAGGAACTGAGATGATACAACATGGCCCAGAAATCGACCTACTCCATTACACACACTTTTCCTGAGCATCAACTCTGCCTTGTGTTGGGGACAGAAACAAACCCCCACCATACTTGACAACTCAGGATCCTAGTATTCCCCATTTCAGAGATGAGGGGATTCTCAGGAGTGTGTACCTACTTACCTTTCTGTAGGAAGTTCTCTAGGTCCTCATTAAGGTTTAGCCCGTCCTCATGGTCCAGCACAAATTTAAGAATGACAGCCAACTCAGCCTGGGCCACAGGGAGAAAAAGAGCATCACTTAGGTGTTAGGCCTCTGAAGGGATGGCTGCCAGGAGCTCCACCCTGGCAGTGCCAGTCCCCGGCTCCCTCATGCCCTAGGAGCCTGCTGGATCCCATTCTCCCTCTCAGAGCTGAGGTCCTATGACCCAGCCAACAACATTCAACTAGAGATATGTTCACCCCACTTGTCCCCTTCCCTCCCACCTCCCCTCAAGATGTACCGAAGTCAGAGTTCCTGACTGACTTAACTCCTGACCACAAGTGAAGTGACTGTTAAGGAAAGTAACACAATCAGAAAGTTGCTTTTATTGTTATTGTTGTTAAGAAACAAGATCTTGCTCTGTCACCCAGGCTGGAGTACAGTGGCACAATCATAGCTCACTATAACCTCCAACTCCTGGAGTCAACTCCTCCTCCTCAGCTCCCCAAGTAGCTAGAACTACAGACACACACTGCCACACCCAGCTCATTTTTTTTAAAAAAAATATTTTTTGTTGAGACAGGGTCTCGCTATGTTACCCAGGCTGATCTTGAACTCCTGGCCTCAAGCAATCCTCCTGTCTCGGCCTCCCAAAGTGCTGGGACTATAGGCGTGAGCCACCACGCCCGGCCAGGAAGCTTTTATATATAACTATGTTGGCCTCTTCCAGATGACCCTACCAGAGGAAAGGATGAGATAAATGAAGTGAAAGTTCTGTGGGGGAAAAAAAACACACACACACAGAAACACATATAGGAACAGAGAATAATTTCTACGTATTATCCTAAAACACATTACAGTTAAACATATGCACATAAAAAAGGACTTGAAAGTACATCCTTTAAAAAGTTAGCAAACTCTGGGAATGAGTTTATCGGCAACTGTTATTTCCTCCTGCATGCTTTTCAACGTTTCCCAGACTTTCTATGATGAATGGCAATAATTGCTATAACTGTATTTTTAAAAAGTCCAGTATCTGCTGTTCAAAGAAAAACAAGTCAGGTGAGGTGAAGCATGGGCTAGGCCTGCTAGGTGGCATGGAGGCACAAGGGCTTACCTGAATTTTATATTCAAACTGTTCCCAGTCCCTGGGACTTTTGGAGCTCATGGTAGAGTGGTATAAGAGCAGCATGGTCATCTAGAAGCCAAACAGGAGGCAGTCACTGAGTGGGGCTGTCTCTCTTCTCAGTGCCCCCATTCTGGGCTGTTCTGGGGACTCTGAGCTATTCCGGTGACTCTTCTAAAAGTCCTGGAATTCAGCAATCCCAGGCCACCATCCTTAACAGCTCCAGGAAACACTTTTTTTTTTTTTTTTTAATTAAGGATAGTGTACACTGTACAAAAAGCTGAGCGCCAAGATTCCTGCATGGCTCAATTCCTGGACTCATGGAACCCTGGGTGTGAAGCTTTAGGTACCCTCTATAGGCCAGCACCCAGAAAGAGCAGAGGGAATGACTTAAGACTGAGCTATAATAAAAATATGGTGATAGCCGAATGAGACCTGATTTCTGCCAGGTCTCCACCGAGGCCCACAGTAATGGTCTAGTAAACCATTGTTTGTTTCATAATCTCTGTCATAAGATCATGGGCTCCTAGAATCCTTGGGCTAAATTAGCCTCTGTCTCAAGACAGGTGGCTGCCTGGTTCTACCTCCAACGTACTAGAGCCCCAGAAATAAAGCACCCATCATCTCCCCTTGGGTTAAGAGAAGGCCCTGCAGGGTCCCTCAGGTACCATCACCCCAACCCTGCCCTGCCTCCCCAGTCTGGTATTCCATAGGTACCTTCGCCAGTTCCAGCTCTGATCCCTCTAGCACCTTCTGTGCAGATACCAGGCATTCTGGGGAAGAGGGATGTTTTCGATTTTCTGCAATGACAACAACGTAGAAAACAGGGTGAACTTCCTGGAAACCATACCTGAGATCCCAGAACACTGAAATCTGGGGAGCAGAATGGCTATCTCTGGTGGGGCTATGAGATGTAGGCCTCCTTACTCCTATGGCCTCTTTCCCCTGCCTTACAATTTTCCATCTGAAGTCAGTTCTATCCTGGGTCAATCCAAGGGCTACAGGGATAATGGAAGAAGAAAGCAGCCTCGGAATTCACAGCAACTCTGGGTCATGATGTTGCACTCTCCCACCCACTCACCAACTCTCAGCACCACAGAGGAAGAGCCCAGAGATGCCAGGTCACTTTAGAATCCTGTTCCAACTGAGGTCACAGAGTAAACCTATAGCTGAGTCAGAAAAGGACAACTAGGGATACGTGACTCTTATACTGCCCGAGGGTCTGGGCTCAAATTACTAACACCTTACTTTATCTAAATAAAGCCTCACCTTTCCTATAATTCTCTAGGGGTGGAGATGGCAGCTAGCTCCCCATGTCAAAGACGAGGACTCTGTGGTCTAAGGCTGGACAAGGGGAGGGGAACTGAAAAGCACTGTACTAGAAGCTTTGCATGTGTTCTTATTTAATCCACCCATCCACTTGAAGAGCAGTTATCTCCATATTATAGATAGGGAACCTATGTCCAGAAAGGTCACACAAGCAGTGAGGGGGGTCAAGATCAACCTTAATGTGCCTCTGCCCCTACACCTATCGCCTAAGCAATTAATTCAAAGTTATCTGGGAAAAACAGTTTTTCTTGCAAGGGAAAGAGACTCATTCTCTCTTCTGTCTCCTTGAAGTTCGGGGAAACAGAAACTTAAGGTGCTCAAAGAGTTAAAAGTGACAGGTCCCAAAAAGTAACCTTCTGGCTCCACCTAGATCTCCGAGAAGGGCTCTGGGACTGAAGGGACACTCTTCTTACACCAACTGATGAAGGCATCACAAGACCCAGGGGATCTGAACCAGCTGTTTTCATCTTTGTGTTAAAGAGTGGGGAGCCTTGAAATTTTTCTCCTCCAGACACCCATGAACTAGTTCCTCTGGACTCTCCAATCCCACGAGCTGAGGAAGCAGCTTCTTCATAGCTGGATAAGAAAGGTGCTTACTCTGCAGAAAACTGCACACAAAGTCCAGTCTCTCTGACACCGGCTGCTTCAAGATTTGCTGTCCCTCTTCAGTGCCATGGCTAGAAAAAGAGCAAGTATTAGGACCAGAGTATTCAGCAATCTTTGCCTCCTTGCTGCTGCATTTCATAGTACCTCCCCATTCCTTCCAGTCTTGATCTCTGCTGGATCTGGAAGAGATCCAGATCAGATCCTGGAGGCAGGTGACAGATACCAGGACACCATTTATCCAGATGGAACTGTGTGGTGGGTGGGAAGAGGGGACTTGAGGCATGGGGTTCTTCTGGAAAAGATGGCACTCTGCCACCCTATTTGCAAACATAAAAAAGCTCTGTGGAAAGGGGCCGAGAGGAGACGGAGGCAGCACAGATGAACGGGAAGCTATATTACACCATCTGGAATGGCTCAACTCTAAACTGTCAGGAAGCCTGGAGAACACACCTAGGTTAAGAGTGAGAGAAGACCATGGGGAGGGAAAAACATCCAAGAACTGAAAGAACAGGAGGAAACAAGGCTCTGAAGTGACAGGGTGAAGTTCCCCCACTAGGCTGAAGGCTGAGATGGCAAAAGCCTCCCAGAGGAGGATCCCAGGGACTAGAGTGTTGTTTGTTTGTTTGTTTGTTTGAGACAGAATCTCGCTCTGTTGCCCAGGCTGGAGTGCAGTGGCACGATCTCGGCTCACTATAACCTCTGACTCCTGGGTTCAAGCAATCCTCCTGCCTCAGCCTCCCAAGTAGCTGGGATTACAGGCATGGACCACCACGCCCGGCTAATTTTTGTATTTTTAGTAGAGATGGGGTTTCGCCATGTTGGCCAGGCTGGTCTCAAACTCCTGACCTCCACCCACCTCAGCCTCTCAAAGTGCTGGGATTACAGGCTGGAGCCACTGCGCCCAGCTAGGACTAGTATTCTTGATTAGTGGTTCTTGTCTGTACTTGCTTAACTGGAAGAGCGGGCAGTGTGAAGAGAGCCATGAGGAGAGGGAGACAGCAGGGGGAGCTCTCACACAGCCCAGGAGGCTGAGGCAGGAGAACTGCTTCAACCCAAGCGACAGAGATTACAGTGAGCTGAGATCATGCCACTGCACTCCAGCCTGGGCAACAGAGCGAGATTCTGTCTCCAAAAAAAAAAAAGAATACTAGTCCCTGGGATCCTGCTCTGGGAGGCTTTTGCCATCTCAGCCTTCAACCTAGTGGGGGAACTTCGCTGGATCCCCTAGCTAACTGCAGTTCCATTTTCAGAAGCAGCAGGTGAAATACCACTTCAAGTTAGAAAGCTGAATTCTCTAGGCTACAGTGGGAGATCCTGATTAGTGGGCCCCTTGCTTCTCAGAATCTACACTCCTAGTTCTTAGCCAACTTTCTGGAGGGCAGGGCAGGCCCAGAACCTTCCAATGCCAGAGACATCCTGCAAGCATAAGCATCATCCAAGCCAAGACTATGAGTGTACCTCCCCCCATACCCCATGTGATTACACAGGCTTCTTCCAAGTGAATCCCTCCCAGAAGCACTCTGTCTGGATAGTTGGTCTGAGATCAGAGACTCCTACAAAGTCTTGAGGAGATGCTAATCTCTTACAGACTCCCAAATGAGCCATTTTCCCTACCCACCCACAATCTGGAATGTTGTGACTCCTTGGCTCAGTGTAGAGCAATATTTACCTCAGAGTATTCCATTAACTAAAATAAAAAGAGGTTCTCAGGTGAAATGTTTAAAAAATGCTGGGTTAAACTGAACATTTTTTATAGAAGAAGATACAACATGCATTATTTCCTAAACCTATTTGACCACAAAACCCTTTTCCCCCACCCCCTACAAAGCCTGGTGTAAGTAAAGCTGCATGGAGCATACTTTGGACAACAGTAGTCCTAGAGAAATCCAGCCCATCCTTTAAGACTGTGTTGAAGTCTCATCTCTGTCAGGAAGCCATCCACAACTCCTGCCAGTCATGCCTCGGCTGTCCTCCAGGTCTTCCTGCAGCACTCATGAATGCAACTGCACCATTTACAACTGCCCACTCCAACTGCACTAGCTGAAAGCCAGGAATAAAGTAGGTGCTCAATACATATGGGCTGACTGACAACTGAGGGATGCTTTTTACTGAGAAGAGCAGAAATAAAAGTCAGCAAGACAAAAATGTCAGACCTCTAAGTTTTCTGGCAAAATGCCTCCACTATACTCTGTTATTCAAGCTTCACAGCTATCAAACAGACGGGACAGCCTTTTTTGCTTTAGACTATTCACGCACAGAAGAACCAAAAGGGAAACTTGTCAGAGGGGTTGATCCCAGTTAATTTTCCCAGAGAGAAGGCCAAGTGGCCAAGCAGTTAAACCCTCAACTCCCACAGCTTATTTTTTTTTTAATTTTTTAAAGAATTATTTTTCTCAGGGTGCCCCTTGTCCAGTGTGCAGACAGGAGCCACCCAACTCCCACAGCTTCTATCTACCCTCCAACCTTGCCATCCTCTGCTGCCTTCTGCTGAGAACTAGGCTGCTGATTTAGGTTGGCACCAGTAGCGGTATCAGAAATGTAAGAGCCAGAACATATTAACTAAGAACCTCCATTTCCCAAAAGGAAGCTGGTCTGCATTGTCCTGGATCTGAGATGGAGATTAGCATTAACCTGGGATTTCAATATCGCCTACCTCCAAGCCCCACTTCTACTGCAGCCTAGGTTCAGGCAACACCCTAGAAGACAACTTGCAAATGAGCATCTTGAATTTTTGGCCCTTCCTATGAAAATTTCCTAGCAGGTTATAAACCTACAGTGGCTAACCCAAGGACAACACACATCCTTACTCTTGGGCACATCTACTGCTCTTGTCACCAGGCCAAGGAAATTTCTCTCTTCAAAAGCAAAAGTTCCTTGATCTATTTTGAAGTCAAAAAAGCATGCTGCCCCATATTGTGTGTTACAATACAAGGCATATTATACCTGGCTGCTTCACTTTTAGTGAGGTTAAAATTAAACAGAGAGTTAGGTATTGCCAGACTAATGGTTTTACCACCCATTAATGTCAGGTGCCTGGATCTATCACTTCCTTAGGGTTTGCAAAATAATGATTTTCAACAGAAGTTGCAAAATGCTGACTTACAGGTGGTACACAACCCCAACTATGAAGTATCCTTGACAAAAAAAAAAAGTGAATCAAGCTTAGATCTAATTATCAGTATATAGGCAACAAGGGGAATAGTGGAACAAGTTAAGCCGTACCATAATAATGCAATTAACAAAATCCAGGATTTAAGGATTTCTATAAGATTAAAAAAAAATGAGGTGGTGTCGAGTGGGGAGAGAAAAAAGCAGGAAACAAAACTGGTGAGAGGAAATGACCCCCTGATGAAAGATCTTAAACACCAGGCTGAAGATTTTAGATTTCTACCTATTAGAAATGAATATTCACTGAGGTTTGATGAAGAGTCACTGAAGTGTCACAAAGAAAACAAGATTTGAGAAAGATTCTTGAGAACTCGTGCATAGGAATGAACTGCAATAAGGGCAGATTAGAGAAGAACTAGGCCATGAGGGCCTAGTATCCAGAATGAGGCAGAGGGAGGGACGCTGGATGTGAGCAGAGAGGATGATGACCAATTAGAGATCAGCGCCAAGGAGACAGAGAAGTCAAGATGATGTTGAAATGTCCTGCCTGGGTAACTGGGAGAGAAAATGGTACTGTCTGGACCAAAATAAGAATAGTGACTTCTTTCAGAGGTACTAAGGCAGGTCCTGGTTAGAGCCATATGGAATATTAAAAAATCCTGTAAGATAACCCACGATCAACACACACTTCAAATAAAAACCACTTTAGCAGCAGACCCATCTGTCCTGGGCCACTTGGCCCCGCTAGACCTTGCTGATAGAGAACACCAACTCATCTCTTCACTCAACAAACATTCACTAAAACCTAAACAATGTAGCATCCTAAGCTAGGTAGGGAGGACCCCAAGATGAATCAGACACAGTTCTAGCCTTTGATAAGCTTAATTCTACCTTCTTTCCCTATCAATGAGCTGTTACCTATGAACAGGTAGCTAAAGTGCTTGCTTCAGAGATATGAGTCCCTGATACCAGTTCCTAACTGCCACGTATGGCACATAAACACCTTCAACACTTCAGTCTATCCTTGGCCTGGGGCAAACAATCTAATGTGCTTTTTCTTAAAAAAAAAAAAAAAAAAAAAAAAAAAAGATGACAACTGACCTATGCTTGGTCCCAGAAAGGTAGGATACTGGGAGGAAGCCCCACTTTATTCATTTCCGAGATAACTGTGACGTTCAAAGGAAATGTGCTAAAGACACAGACCAAAAGGCCAAACTACAATCCTTGCTGCATGGTAACAACAAGCTTATTAAATGCTCATGGACCTCAGAAATCAAGTTAATTGAAGCAGTAAAAACCCCAGAAGTGTACTTATTTTATAATGGCTTAGAAAGAGGCATATCTGTACTGTGCTAACAAGTTAGAGATGAGATTTCTAGGTGTTTCTTCTTTCCTTCAGATGTGAGAGCTTCCCCTTTCTTCCCTCAGAAGGCTGCAAAGAGGGCTTGTGGCATAGGGTAGGGATGAGTCAAGAAAGGAGGGTTGTAGAAGCCTTCTGGTGAGACAAGAGATGGGGAACCCAAGAGTGAGCACTTGGAAGAATGTGAGGGCGTGGAGCCTTGGAGGTTCTCCTGTGCAAGAATGCAGAAGCCTCAGGATGGGACAAGCGTAAAACCTCTCCCATGGAGTGGTACAGCAACTGGAAGATGAGGTCAATGTATTCTTGCCTTTAGGCCCCACCCTGGCTTATGATGTCCCAATCCTTCCCCTGATTTCTGGTCATAGCCATCATCAAGTAAAGAGAACAAGTACAGCCCCCACCCCAGCAATCAGCTTTGCCTTAGAGGCTAGAAAGGGGTATGGTGCGTACTCACATTCTGTCAATGATCTTGATGAAGATGCTGCAGTCCTGGAGCTGCAGCACAGCCTCCACAGGGTCAGCCACGTGTAGACTGTTCACCTGTAAATCAAAGGGAACAGCCTAGTGAGACCGTTAGAAGCAACATGGTTTGCTCCTTTTCCCAGAGGCTTAATGTGAGTGCTTACAGTTGTAGACTATAGGAATACAAGAACTGATGATTCTCAGGTTTTTAATTTCAGGAAGGAGTGCCGTTGCACTCACTCATCCAGTTACAGCCACCTGAAATGCAACCATCAGAGAGCCCTTCCTTTGGCTTCAACTAAATAAAAGCTTAAACTTTCCTAAGATGTTCCAGCACTGGGAGTATTTTGGAAGGATACACCAATAAATTGGTACTACCACTGCTTCTAAAGAGAGGAACTTGACAGCAGGGAGTCTGAGGTGGGAAAAGAAAGGCTCTTACATTATAACTCTCTGTAGCTCTTGAATGTATTATAGCTCTTTGTATTTCTTGAACGTTTACATTATAAGTTTCTGTATCCCTTGGATTTTTATATTATAGTCCTTTGTGGCTCTTGAGTTTTGAAATATCTATTCAAAACTTAAATATTACATATATGCTATACACTCCCACAAACATATAAAATCTTATTAATACATTTTATATTATAGCCCTTTGTGGCTCTTGAGTTTTGAAATATCTATTCAAAACTTAAATATTACATATATGCTATACACTCCCACAAAGATATAAAATCTTATTAATACATTTTTATTCTTTCCACACATAAAGCTTTGGCTGAGGGGAGAAGGGAAAAACAATAGGGGAACAAGATGATTTTTTAAAAAGGGGGTGGAGGGAGCCAAGCGCGGTGGCTCACACCTGTAATCCTAGCACTTTGGGAGGCTGAGGCGGGAAGATCACTTGAGCTCAGGAGTTCAAGACCAACCTGGGCAACATGGTGAAACCCTGTCCTACAAAAAATACAAAAAATTAGCCAGGAGTGGTGGCACATACCTGTAGTCCCAGCTACTTAGAAGGCTGAGGTGGGAGGATCACCTTAGCCCAGGGAGGTCGAGGCTGCAGTGAGCTGGGATTGCATCACTGTACTCTAGCCTGAGTGACAGAGCAAGACCCTGTCTCCAAAGGAAAAAAAAAAAGAAAAGAAAAGAAAAAAAAAGGGGGCGGTGGGGGATGAAAGAATAGGAGCTGGGAATTTCAAAGAAAAACTTCTTAATTCTAATTTAGTTGCCTGTTCCCATTCTTTGGCTTCAGATAGGCATACATTTAAATCAGTTTTTACCACTAGAATATTCACCAGGGGTCACACACATCAGGTACACAGGTTATTCAATAAGTATACATGGTCAACCTCTACAGGAAAACCTCATGAATTCCACAGGCACTACAGTTCAGAAGTAGCCTGGGCTGAAGTTTACGTTTTTATTACTATAGGAAGAAAGGGTTTGCTAAGTTAATTATTCACATATTCAACACTAAGAGGGGAGAGAGACTGAGCCTGCTTTAAGAAACAAGGTATTTTAAAGAACTTCAGCATAGTGGTTATGTGCAGACAACTAGATTCTATTGCTTACAAATGTGTTCTCTATATTTGGGCTGGGAGCCAGTACATACACACTTTGGGCCCAGCTCCTCCACAAACTTGCCAGCAACCTTTGTTACAAACTTTATTTCTCTCTGCACTAGTTTCCTCCCTTGCCAAATGGATGGAATCCCTACTTTATCTACTTCAAAGGACCAGTGTGAGCTCAAATGGGATTATGGATGCAAGAACACATTAAAAAATATAAAGTAGGCCAGGTGCAGTGGCTCACACCTGTAATCCCAGCACTTTGGGAGGCTGAGGTAGGGGGACTGCTTGAGGCTGGGAGTTTAGGACCACCCTGGGCAACATAACAATACCTTGTCTCTACTAAATAAATAAATAAGCAAGCAAGCAAGCTGGACATGGTGACATGTGCCTGTAAGTCCTACCTACATAAGAGGCTGAGGTAGGTGGATCATTTGAGCCCAGGAGCTGGAGAAGTTACAATGAGCTATGATAGTGTCCCTGCACTGTGGCCTGGGCAACAGAGACATCTCAAAAAAAAAAAGAAAAAAGAAAAACTAATAAACATAAAGCACTATTATGGTTAATAAAATTAAAATAATGAAGTAGACATAACATTTGTATTTCTTAATAGTTAAGTTAGCTGCATGCACTATAGAATTAAGAGGATTTTTAAAAATCAATGATTTCTCTACAGACATGATAGTATTTATTTGAGTTAAACACTTTCACATTTAAAAACAACTTTTAGGCCAGGCGCAGTGGCCCATGCCTGTAATCCCAGCACTTGGGGAGGCTGAGGTGGAAGGACTGCTTGAGGCCAGGAGTTCAAGACCAGCCTGGGCAACATAAGGAGACCCTGGCTCTACAAAATAATAATTTAAAAAAATTTTTAGCTGGGTGAGGTGGCTTGCGCCTGTATGCTCGCGTAGTCCCTGCTACTCGGGAGGCTGACGTGGGAAGATCGCTTGAGCCTGGGAGGTCAAGGCTACAGCGAGCTATGATCACACCACTGCACTCTAGCCTGGCCAACGGATTGAGACCCTGTCTCAAAAAAATAAATAAATAAATAAATACAACATTTAGGCTAGGTGTGGTGGCTCATGCCTGTAATCCCAGTGCTTTGGGAGGACGAGGAGGGAGAATCGCTTGAGGCCAGGAGTTTGAGATCAGCCTAGGCAACATAGCAAGACCCTTTCCCCAAAAAATTAAAAAAAAAAAAAAAAAGAGAGAGAAAGGAAAAATAGCCCAGCATGGTGGTGCATGCCTGTGGTCCTAGCTACTCAGGAGGCTAAGGTGGGAGGCAGAGGATTGCTTGAGTGCAGGAGTTCCAGGCTGCTGTGAGCTATGAAGCTGCAACTGCATTCCAGCCTGGGTCACAGAGCAAGACCCTATCTCAAAAAGCGGAATCTTTTAGATGAATCCCAGTTAAAACAGATTAAAATTTTTTTTAACGTGAAATAAAATATGACTTATTGACGTCTTAAAGAGTTTGCTAATATATTTATAATATATTTTTACTGTCTTTTGAAAAAAGCTCAATCTAATTGGTCAGGACAGGTCATTGTAAGTTTTCTAGGAAGATTCTGAAAACTTCAGGCCAAGATTCCATTTTACCTGCAGAAAATGAAGAGACTGCCAAGGCTAAACCATCTCCTATCAATACCTGCAATCTAGGTAAAACATTCAAGGACTATGGATGCTTGTTCACTAACAAGACTAAAAAATCATACCAATTAGCTGATGTAAAGTCTCCTAAGGAATCTGGATTCATCACATATACCAATTAAGTAATAATCCAGCCACAGTTCCTTTCATGGATATAAAAATATTTTTTCTTCCTGTGAGTTATTTTTGCTCTCAAGTGAGAAATCATTTAAAAGTTGAGGAAGTAGAGAAGTTCCTTCATCTCTAGTCAGGGCATAAAACATGAGAGTGAGGACCAGGCTCACCACATAACTCAAGAGTTGCCTTTAAGGATTGCAAGGTTGCTTAAGGTTGTCAAATCTTAAAATACCCTGTAACAGTTTATTCATTATTAACTGCTGTTTACAGAATAGTTTCAAGCTATAATTTAAGTATTAATAAAATAAACCACTAATTTATTTTTATGTTATAAATTACTGAAAATTCAGAAGACAAAAAACAGAGCTCCCAATAATTCTAGTATTTTAATACAGGTACTTTTAGCATTTTGATGTATTTCTTTCGTTTTTTCTAGGTAATTTTTTTTAAACTGTAGTTGGAATTATCATGTGTGTGTATGTGTATGTTCTATGCCACTCTTCTCACTAACATAACAGATGCATTATTTCATGCTACTACAGTTTCATAAAATTTGCTTTAGCTCCACAACTTTTGTTTAAATTGAAAACATTCTCTATACTATATTTATATATATTTTTAAGAGACAGGCTCTTGCTATGTTATAGGTTGGAGTGCAGCAGCTATTTACAGATGCAATCATGGCTAACTGCAACCTCAAACTCCCGGGCTCAAGCAATTCTCCCATCTCAGCTTCCCAAGTAGCAGGGACTACAGGTGTGCACTACTGATCCCAGCACATATAACTATACTTTAACATTTTCATGCATGTTCTTTGTTTTTTTTTTTTTTTTTTTTTTTTTGACACAGGCTTTCACTCTATTGTCCAGGCCGGAGTGTAGTGGCACGATCACAGCTCACTGCAGCTTCAACCTCCACAGCCTCAGGTGATCCTCCCACCTCAGCCTCCTAAGTAGCTGGAACCACAGGAGCACACCACCACACCCAGCTAATTTTTGTATTTTTTGAAGAGACAGGGTCTCACCACGTTGCCCAGGGTGGTTGCAAACTTCTGAGCTCAAGTGATCCTCCACCTCAGCCTCCCAAAGTGCTGGCATTACAGGTGTGAGCCACTGCACCTGGCCTCATGCATATTTATTGTGACTTTTCAGAAAAGGATGTAAGTAGCTGCTATAAATAAAACTAGTCTTAGGCCAGGCGCAGTGGCTCATGCCTACAATCCTAACACTTTGGGAGGTCAAGGCGGGTGGATCACTGGAGCTCAGGAATTCAAGACCAGCCTGGGAAACATGGCAAAACCCAGTCTCTACCAAAAATATAAAACATTGTATTTTTTTTGAGGTCACATTAAAATTGAGGTCAGAAGTTTGAGACCAGCCTGGGCAACTTAGCAAGACCCCATCTCTACAAAAAGTTTTTTAAAATTAGCATGGCATGTACCCCTGTGGTCCTAGCTACTTGGGGGGCTGAGGTAGAAGGATGGCTTGAGCCCCAAAGTTTGAGGTTACAATGAACTATGATTACATCACTGTACTCCAGTCTAGGCAACAGAATGAGACTCTATGTCTATTTTTTAAAAAAAGAAAAATGGTTGGCTCTCCAATTGGCCCTGATTAATCAGTACTCAGGGTGAATACTAAAATATCCTGTGTCAACTAGCATGCCCAGGAAGTATTTTAAATGTCAAGAACTATGATTTATTGAGATAACATGCTAAATGACTGCATGTATGTGGGTACTTGTGCACACTATATGTATCTCATTATCCTTGTAATTACCCCATGAGATATTTTATTTTATTTTTTCATGGTGCCAAGAGAAATTAGAACTTTATGAGGTATTTTAATTTAAAATCATCCCCATTAAAAAAAATGATACTGGCCAGGCGTGGTGGCTCACACCTGTAATCCCAGCACTTTGGGAGGTCAAGGAGGGCGGACCACGAGGTCAGGAGATCGAGACCATCCTGGCCAACATGGTGAAACCCGTCTCTACTAAAAATACAAAAAAATTAGCTGGGCATGGTGGCGTGCACCTGTAATCCCAGCTACTCGGGAGGCTGAAGCAGGAGAATTGCTTGAACCCAGGAGGCAGAGGTTGCAGTGAGCCGAGATCACGCCACTGCACTCCAGCCTGGCGACAGAGCAAGACTCCATCTCAAAAAAAAAAAGATACTGAAGATACTGAGAGGCCAACTTGCCCTGGGTCAGAGAGACCAGTGCTGTGATTCTATGCTGGGCATGTGACTCTGAGACCCATATTTATCACCACACTCCATGGTCTCCTCTGTTTCTTTAGCTTTATTTATTATTTTTATATATATTTTTGAAACATGGTCTCACTCTGTCGCCCACGCTGGAATGCAGTGGTGCAATCATGGCTCACTGCAGCCTCAACCTTCAGGGCTCAAGGGATCCTCCCACCTTAGCCTGCCAAGTAGGTGAGACTACAGGTGCACGACACCATGCCCAGCTGATTTTTTAATTTTTTGTAGAGACAGGTTTTTGCCATGTTGCCCAGGCTGGTCTTGAACTCTTGGGCTCAAGCAATCCTCCTGCCTCAGCCTCCCAAAGTGCTGGGATTACAGGTGTGAGCCACCACATCCAGCCTCTCTAGCTTTAAATATCCAATGCACTCTATTATTTTTTCATTTGCCACTGTCTCTGGTAGAAAATGTATGAATGATCTAGCAAAAGAATTTTGATGAAGTAATCGGCAAGGCAACATTTGCTGATGGACAATGGCAACAGACAGAAAGGTGGTAAGAGAGTGATGAGAACCTTGTCCTAGATTAAAGGCCTTTGAAGACCAAAGTCCCTGCATATGTTGATCATTAAGGTCAGCATTTACCACCCCCCCTTTTTTTTTTTTAATTTTTTAGACCGAGTCTTGCTCTGTTGCCCAGGCTGGAGTGCAATGGTGTGATCTCGGCTCACAGCAACCTCCGCCTCCCGGGTTCAAGTGATTCTCCGGCCTCAGCCTCCCGAGTGACTGGGATTACAGGTGCCCGCCACCACAGCCAGCTAATTTTTGTATTTTTAGTAGAGACGGGGGGGTTTCACCAGCTTGGCCAGGCTGGTCTCGAACTCCTGACCTCAGGTGATCCACCTGCCTCGGCCTCCCAAAGTGCTGGGATTACAGGCATAAGCTCCGCACCCGGCCCACATTTACCCTTTTATTCAGAAAAATACACACAGAGCAGATGAAAATGCATTTCCATGCTGTCTAAAGGAAAACTATTTAGTCTAGAAATGAGAAGACTTTACATAGCCCTGGCTCCTACAAAACTCCTCTCCTAACTCTCTCAAGCTTCCTGGAGAAGTATAGCCAACAAAAGAGAGGAAGACTACTTACCCAAGAGAGGAGTGCAGCCCCCCGGGTGGCGTGGAGTGTCATCTTGGTGATGCCAGACAGTCACTCCAATGCGCCTGGAACCCAAGAGAGGAAGAAAAGCAGTTAATCATATCAGATATCCATGATCAAGAAATAAAGGCGAAATGGTTCAATTTGCCAATTCTCAACACTTAAATCACTCTTCACTGAATCCACCAAGACACCATGGGAATTTTTAGAAAGCTGAGTACACATGACAATTACTATAGAGCTTACATCAGAGACGACAGGAAAGAATTGTGCATTTAACTCAATGTCTACCCCATGTAATTTTTCAGTTCCACAGAAAATACAACATCCAAAGCTGGCCTTCAACCCTACTCTTTGGGACATGATGCCCTTAAATATGGAACAAACATGGTTTTCAGACAGACCTGGGTCTGGATGCTGATTTAATGTGACCAGGGTCATAGGACCTTAGACAAGCAACATAACCTCTTTCAGTCTTTTTCTTTATCTGCAAAATGGGATCCACATACACCTCTCTGGGTTATTGTGATGCTTAAAGATAAAGCAAATAGTACGGTGCCTGGCACATGGTAGGTTGTCAATAAATAATTACTGTTCTTAAGCAGAAATGTTGATTTCTAGCTCTTTCTACAGGTACCCAAATTGTACCTAACAATACCTAAGTCCTTGGGGAAACTGTTCTAGTTTCTGGATTTTTATATCCTCCACAGAAATGTCTCACAAACACAGTTCAAATGGGGGATTGAGAATATCCAAACTTAGGTCTCTGGATGAGGTCGAGCCCAATTCCGGAGGAGATCCCATGGGACATTTAATGAAAATTAGGCACCTGTCCTGGTGTTCTCATCCCCAATTTCCTTTCCCATTGAGATTCTGCCACCTGCCTGCCAACCCACCCAAGAGACCACAGACCAGATTAACTAAATATTCACCAACACCTCCTAGCAACCCTTGCAATTTTCACTAATCTCCAGGGGCACAATGAGCCCTGCCCCCATCTCCTGCCACACGTGCTCAGTCTGTAATTACTCTAGAAGGAGGAACAAGAGTGGTAAGAGCCACATCACTTGTAAGTCTCCCCATATATTAGCATCTCCAGAGTGTGGGCTCTGTGGAACCAGTCTCATGTATGCAAGTTGGGGATAAAGAAAGACACCATTCTTGCCCAGAAGGTGCTCACTGTCTAGTACGGGAAAGAGATACGAAAATCTGAAAATTCACTCCCCATTATCTCTTGGTCCTTCCTATCCAAGTATACTCTATTTATCAGCCAACCGAAAGGTATTTTCTTAGTTCCTAAATATGATCATCCTCGCTGGGAGCAGTGGCTCACGCCTGTAATCCCAGCACTTTGAGAGACCAAGGCGGGTGGATCGCAAGGTCAGGAGATCGAGACCATCCTGGCTAACATGGTGAAACCCCGTCTCTACTAAAAATACAAAAAAATTAGCTGGGCATGGTGGCGGGCGCCTGTAGTCCCAGCTACTCGGGAGGCTGAGGCAGGAGAATGGCGTGAACCCGGGAGGCGGAGCTTGCAGTGAGCCGAGATCGCACCACTGCACTCCAGTTTGGGTGACAGAGCGAGACTCCGTCTCAAAAAAAAATAATAAAAAAAAAGATCATCCTGTGCTAGAAGCCACATGGAAAATGGGAGACAATGACATGGTCCTTGCCTTTGAGGGGCTTATAGCAGGGTAGGGAGTAAAATTAAACATATGTGAAGCACTAACAGAAGAAAATAATTAAATGCTAAATATAACTAAATGCTAATTACAATTAAGTGCTTCCTGACCCTGCAACATCCAACATGATTCCACATGTCATACCAGCATCAGTCTTGGAATTGAGCCAATTCACCTGGGCTTTGGCAAGGGCAAATGAAATGGTTAAGAGAGCTCTCAGGAGGGCAGAAAAGCTAAGGGGCTTATGTTCCTCAGTCTTGGATAATTATCATCAAGTATACCCTATCCATGGGCAAGATTATGTAGCCCTTGAGGCCAGGCATGGATGGATGCAGATAGCCCCAACTACTGCACTGCAATAAGGCTTTTCTGTGGCTGACAAGACTAAAGCTCGAGGGACCACACTTGGCTCTGTGGTGGGGCGGCAACAGCCAGACACTCAACTGGGGTTTCTTTAAAAAAAAGGCCTCTGAGCTATTAAATCACAAGGAATGAGGCTGAGATCACCGCTCCCCCATCCTCACTGCTGCCTATAGACTTGCAGTCCTTTTGATGAGGCCCAACACTTCGAAATTTTATCTGCAACTGTAGGCAGATCTTGCCCCCTTTGAAAGACTCACAGCTGTGCTACTAAAAATGTCCTGAGGTTTAACCAACCTCTTCATCTCAGAGGCAAAACATACAACCCTGAGGTCCTCCCAGGAGAGCCTGTCTAAAACTAGTTCCACTGTTCAAGAAAATGAGTGTCAAGGCTAAATATTCTTTTCTGTGTTCCCCAGGCACAGAAATACGAGGAACCCAATATTCACCACTAGGAACTCCTGAAGGACCTTGTCTGCTCTTCAGTTCTAAGCCTGTAAAGAGGTACTTTCCTAGAGACAGAACATCAGGGTGAGAGAGGCTTCAGGAGAGCCCCAGCCATTCCCTCTTCTCTGGGTAAGGAATGACTGAAGCCAGGAGCACAGCTAAGTCTTCTACATTGGGACTATAGCTTTAAGCAGACTTTGGCTGGGAACCCAAGGGCTCCCAGCCAGAGTACCATCCTCCCCACCCTCCCCCTGAAATCTGAGGCAGGCCCCACCCAGTACACTGGGTGATGCTGATGGAAAAACAGATCCTTGCGATTGTAGCCTGGAACCATTTCACAGAAGGATCTGCTGAGATCCACCCCAGCTGGATCAGGCACCCCCCGTCCCCCCCACAACCCTCACTCAATAAACAAAGAAACAAAAGGCCAGGCCCTCTGAGGGCACCTTTGGAGTTCCCATCTACCTGATTCTCTGAGAAAGAAATTCCCCCAGAATCTAAAACAGAGGCCTCACCGAGCTGGTAAGGCACCCTCTCTTTTCCCTGGTCTCAAGAAGTAACCAAGGACACAGAAGCAGTTGCGTTATAAACTTAAGGCCCTGCATCCTTTTTACATTTCCCAAACTGACACAATGCAGCTCCCCCACATCAGGACAAATTCCCACATTTACAGTAACCCCTGTTTCCAGAAAATAAATATCAAGATAAGGAAAGTGACACTAAAGAGACACGCAGCCACTCTGCCTGTACCCTCTCTGGACCTTAAAGAGTTAAAGCCTAGCCATGATTTCCTACCAGGGCTGAGGCTAATGTAAACCACCTGCTCAGACACAAGAAGCAGGACCAGAGGGTCAAGTTGCTGAGCTCTGAAGTCTGTTCTGAAAAAGCTTCAGTTTTAAGTACAGAACAAGTGATAGGCCAAAGGCCAGAGGGTCTGAGCTGCAGCAGCACTGCTCTCCTTACCCCGCCCTTGGCCTGGGTGCCAGCTCCTTTGAGACTGCCTCTTAGCCACTTACTGCCCATCAAGGGAACACCAGACCTACCTCAAGATAACACCAAAGTGACCTTTGGTCCCAGAGAGTTGTTAAACTATACCGATCTCTCAGCTCATGGGCCCTTGCTTCTGCTGAACCCTCATTCTCTTAGTGCTAACTCCCACTCCCAGAATTTCAGGGCCCAAAGCCCACACAAGCTCCCACCTCAAAGGGTCCTTCCCAGAACCCCACCCCCTTCTCCACCTGATAGTTCCAAAGGCCTACAGCCTCACAGCTCACAAAGGAAATGGCTGCCCCATCTGTGCGCCAGTGCTCACTTGCAAAATTTACCACCACTTACCCTGAGACGCTGCCTGCCTGTAGCCTAAGAATTCCATGCTCTGTACCCCTTTCTTAGAAAGATACTCCCCATCTGAGAGACACTCACATCCAAAGAGTGAAAACCCTGATCTTGGGGCTCCTCCTCCTCCAACTCTAGGACGGATAGGCCAGGAGGCACATGCAAGCAAACACCGAGATCTCACCTGGCAGGTTACCCAGAGGGGCCAAGCCACCTTGCCCTAGGCTAATAAGCTATAAAAACAGCATAGGAAATACTTTGCTGGTACATCCCCTGCCTCTGAGAAGATAAAAGGCAAGAGGACCAGTGGCTCCAAGAGACGCCATACAGAGAAAAACAATCTTTCTCAATTCCTGGGGAGTCCTGGGTAGACCGTCTGGTCCAAGTCCAAAGAGTTTCCTGAGGTCGGGGCAAACCAGTTTGGTCCATCTAAAGGGACTAGCTTGGGCTGAAGCCTCCTCTTCACACAGACCACTCCATCTTTGTAGCCTAGAGTTTGGCACAGAACCCCAAAGCCCTGGAGAGGAACAAGGGAGGGATTACAGAGGAAACCAAGCTTCTCTGGTTTCTTCAAAAGTGGCTTACAGATGTCTGCCCCTTCTCCCCGTTCTCTGGAGGGTCCAGATCAGGATGATGGCAAAAGAGCTGCAATCAGGAACCAGACCTGCAACCAGGCCTGCAGCCATGTATTGTACTGGGGCGCGTACACATACACACACACACACACACACACACACACACACACACACACACACACACACACACACACACACACACTGACCTGGGCCCCCCACCACTATATTCACACACCCTGGTCCCTATCAGCTGACAAAATGAACCTTTTTTCACTGCCCACCACCGTGCACACACCCACGGCCTCACGCAGAAATGGTGAAGCCCTCTCCTGAGCTGTCTCTACAGCTCAACGTGCAGGCAAACACGCTTTCCTTCTCTGAACAAAAACATGCTGACATCTACGCAAGGGGGAAAGAAAGCAACCCTTTGCTCTGAAAGGCGCCAACTCCCGGATGTTGGCAAGCTCTGCTCCACAGCGCCTGTTTCTGAGTATGTTTACTTGCTCTCCCTCTTCTCTCCCTCCCCTTTAAGGATGGCGCAGGAAAGGGAGGTGAGGGGGGAGAATCCACCCCACCCCCTCGTCCATGTTTGAACAAAAACCCAGAGAAAGAGTGAGGGAGAAAAAGTCTCGGTGCGGGGGGGCCTTACCAGACTCCTAAAGCCAAACGTATCTACAGGTTTTAATCCGCCATTAGCATTTAAATCTTGAAAGGAGAGGAGGAAGGGGGGGCCAGTGGAAAGTAACCCCACACACAAAAGAAAAGTTGTTGGTTTTCTTCTCAGTCTGCCTGGCAGGAGCGATCTTCCTGGCTGACAGCCAGAAGTGCGTCACAGCCAGGAGTCTGCTTTCTTTAAAGGCACAGCAAGCTTCCCCGATCTGGGAGCGACAGCAAGCAGGGGACTCTCAGTGGGGGTGGGGCCCAGAGGGAGGGGGTGCACTGGAGAGGAGGGGCTGCAAAGGGGAAGGCTGGAGGCTTGGTCCACGAACAAGAAAAGCAGGACGAATGGGGGCGGCGGGTTGAGGGTGAAGGCACAAGCAGGCAGGCAAAATTACTGAACTCCAACAGCAGCAAGAGCCAAGGCAAACTGTGGCATAAACACACAAAACACATCTTACAGTGGCCTGCCTGACAAACTGGGATCAACCGGACACTCCCCCTTCGCTCTGTTTTCCACCCAGAGTTTAAGGCAGCAGTAATAATCTGTCCATCTCTCTGGACAGCAATGGAAGGGTAGGACAAGGGCTGTCCTGATAATTAGATCAGCCCCTGCCTGGCGGACCGCAGGGCAAGGAGGAAGACCCGGGAACAGAGGCTTTGAAGAACAAGCAACATGCAGGCCCTCTGATCGGGGGCACCTTCCTGCCGGCCCCAGGGCAGGCTGTGTCTTTAAGTACAACCATGCCACTCACACACAAAGCGCCCTGCCACCTTCCATGGGCACCGCCTGCCCTGCTCTGGGACACGGCCACCCACTAAATCCATTCCCCGAGGGAATCTCTCCAGCCCATACCTTCTGCGTGGCAAGGCCAGGATGCCGTGCTGTGCCCGCTCCTCCCCCTCCGCCACCCAAACAAGAAGCCCAGGCAGATTCTGGCCCTGGAGTACAGGCCTGCGCTGTCCTGTGCTGCGTGCTATTGTCGGCTGTGGAATGGCCGCCAAAATCCCAGCTGTGCTGCCAGAACCTAATCCCCTGTTCCGCTGAGCATTTATGGGGAGGGGCTGAGGGGCCAAGGCACGAGACCGAGTACGCCAGGCACTGGCTGCAGCCCTTAACAGACGCAGGCACGGGGACTTGTAGACTCTGCTTCTCCTACATGGCTGAAAACAAAAGATGTCTGACTCTTAGAAGACAAAATCACAGCATTTCCCCCCACTGAATAGCGAACTTCACCAAGGCTGAAAGGGAAGCCCACCAGATGGTCAACAGGCACCCCCTAATCTTATGCCACAAACATTTACTGAGCACCTACTATGTGTAAGGCACTCCTATAGGAAACTGTAGGAAGTATACAAAGATGAATTAAGCCCAGCATCCGCACTGAGGTAGGTTGTAATTCACAGGAGATAAGAAATATGACTTGAAGATTAATTTCAAACTGGTGTGCTAACTTCCATAAAAGCTGTAAAGAAAAATTCTAACCAGTTTAGAATAGGGAAGGATTACGAAAATGAAGTGCCATTTTAATTTGGACCTTGAAACACACAGGTAGCATTTCCCCAGATGGAAACAGAGAGGTGTGGGGAGGAAGAGAAAGCAGAGAGGAGGCATGGAAGCAGTGGGAGAAAGGGCTTGAAGAGTGAGGTGGGGTCAGAGAGCTAGGAGAATCTTGAACCTCAAACCAAGGAATCAAAGACTTGTAAGTTTGTTTGTTATTAACACAGAGCTGTGGTATGACAAAAACTGTGCCCCAAGTTTATTCTGATATATACCTGAATGAGACTAGCAGCAATGAGGTGAGTCAGGAAGCTGCACAGTCAGGAGACAGGTAATGAGGGCACACAAGAGGGTAAGGTAAGAAAGAATGGAAAGGGGCCTTGGCACGACGGCTCACACCTGTAATCCCAGCACTTTGGGTGGACCACTGAAGTCCGAGAGTTGGAGACCAGCCGGGGCAACATAGGGAGATCCCATCTCTACAAAAAATTTCATGAATAAAAAATTAGCCGGGTGTGGTGGCCCGCACCTACAGTTCCAGCTACTTGGGAGGCTGAGGTGGGAGGATCACTTGAACCCAGGTGGAAGCTGCAGTGAGAGACATTGTGGAGACAGGGTAAAGAACTGATAGGAGGCAGAGAGAGGAACTGTACAGGGGAGGAAAGTATGAGGGATGATATGCAGAATTAAACTGAGGAGATGACAGGATGTCAGAACAAGAGAGAAAACAGAGTATAATAAATAGTAGCTGGTGGGGCACGGTGGCTCACGCCTGTAATCCCAGCACTTTGAGAGGCCAGCCTGGGCAACATGGCGAAACCCTGTTTCTACCAAAAAATACAAAAAACCACACAAAAAAACAAAAACAAAAAATTAGCCAGGCGGAGTTCTTTTTTTTTTTTTTTTTTTTTTTAAAGCAGGGTCTCACTCTGTCACCCAGGCTGGAGGGCAGTGGCGAGATCATAGTTCACTGTAACCTCAAACTTCTGGGATCAAGTGATCCATCTGCCTCAGCCTCCCAAGCAGTGGGAGTACAGGTGTGTGCCACCATGCCTGGCTAATTTTTTTTTTTTTTTTTTTCTGTAGAGACAGGCTCTCACTATGTTGCCTAGGCACAGCATTATTTTAAATTCTTCTCTAAAAATTCTATGCTTCTCCCAAAGCCCTGGGATACAGGCATGAACCACCACACCTGGCCCACAGTTGTCTTTGTCTTTTTCTACTAGGAGCTATACTATAGAGGTCACAATCATTGGCTACAGTTTATAATATATAGGCTAAAATGTTTTACATATAAGATAACCAGTAAAACTTCATGATTTAGAAACAAATTAGTGTCTTTTTTAGTGTCAGAGTCCCAGCTACTCAGGAGGCTAGGGTGGGAGAATTCCTTGAACTCGGAATGAGCAGAGATCATGCCACTGCACTCCAGCCTGGGTGCCAGAGCAAGACTCTGTCTCAATAAATACATAAATAAATGGACAGATAGATAAACAGAGAGACAGAAAGACATATAGTAGCTAATGCTTACTGAGTGCATACTATGTACGCGACACTATTCTACTGACCTAATATGTACGAACTCATTAATCTTAAAAACTCCCTTAATGAAGTAGGTACCATTATCACCCAACTTTAGAGAGGAGGATATTGAGCCACAAGATTAAATAATTTGCCAAGATCACATAGCAAGTAAATGGCAGAAGTCTCTACCACATGCTGCTAACTATTTGACATTGGCAAGAAACTTCTGAACTTTAGTATCCCTATTTGTAAAACAAGAATAAAGACACCTGTTATAAAGCAATGAAAATTAATTCAATAACACCTATAAGGTGTCCAACACACTGGCTAGCATGTAAGGCATAGGATGGGTGTTTCCTGCAGACTAATTCCTACTTGGCATTTTGGTCCCTTGTCACCAAGGTGTCCAAGCAGAAGTTGGCTCACCAATTGTTTGGGAAGCCAGAGAGGGTATTCTGCCTGGAGCAGGAGACTGGATCCTCTGTCTGTCTGCCTTCTTCCCATCAGTCTGCCTCTCTAGATTTTACTTTAGGGTCCAGCTCAAATATTTAATATATTTGATTTAATATTCCTAACTCCTCAAATATTTAACAGTTAACAGGGGTTACTTTGGGGGGGGGGAGGAGTTAGATTGTAGGGAACATTCACTTGGGGACTTTCTATGCTGTATGTTTGCTTTTTTTTTTTTTTTTTTGAGATGGAGTCTTGCCCTGTCACCCAGGCTGGAGTACAATGGCATGATCTCAGCTCAATGCAACCTCTGTCTCCTGGGTTCAAATGATTCTCCTGCCACAGCCTACCAAGTAGCTGAGATTACAGGCACCTGCCACCATGCCCAGCTGATTTTTTTATTTTTAGTAGAGACAGGGTTTGACCATGTTGGCCAGGCTTGTCTCGAACTCCTGACCTCGTGATCCGCCTGCCTCAGGCTCCCAAGTGCTGGATTACAGGTGTGAGCCACTGTGCCTGGCCTTGCATTTATTTTTAATAATCTTGTATTACACTGGTGATAAGAAAAATGTAACTACCTCCTACTCTTGGCACTTATGTGTATATGCATGAAAATCTTGTCTTCACATCTAGAATGGAAATTCCTCAAGGGCATAACCAGTTCCACCTCTCTCTCTCTGTGATCCCCCATAACACCTAGCACACTAGGGCTCCTTAAATCTGCTTCTCCAAACTACATCTGGATGTCAGGTTTACAAATTCAACTTTCTGGCCACCAGAGAATGACTGTGGTGGGTGGTTGGGATGAGGTGGGGGTGGGGGTCAGACCAAGGCTCATTGCTGTAGGCTCCCCATCACCTGCTGCTTCTTCCAGGCCCTGTAAGCTATTCCCACTGTATCATTTGTAGTCTGTAGTTAGCAATCACTATTAGTAGAAATGGAAGTTCTTATCCAAAGGAGCACCATGAAAGCAAAGGCAAAGCAGATACCAAAACTTTTACAGAAAAGCAAAGTGGCAAACATAATTGTTTGGGTTTTTGTTGTTTTTGTTTTCTTGAGACAGTCTCACTCTGTCACCCAGGCTTGAGTGCAAGTGGCACAATCATGGCTCACTGCAGCCTCAGCCTCCTGGGCTCAAACAATCCTCCCACCTCAGCCTCCGGAGTAGTTGGGACCACAGGTGCATGCCACCACGCCTGACTAATTTTTGTATTTTTTTGTAGAGACAGAATTTCACCATGTTGCCCAGGCTGGTCTCGAACTCCTGGGCTCAAGCGATCTGCCTGCTTCAGCCTCCCAAAGTGCTAGGATTACAGGCATGAGCCATCACAGGCCTGGCCAAACTTAATTTAAAGACTGGCATTATCAATGCTCCAGAAAATGTATAAGGTGAAAATAGGAGGGAGGCCTGCTAAAACTGCCCTGGCCACATATGGCAATGCATCAGCCCTGAAGCTTCCTAGCCCAGATAGAATTGATATTGTCTCAAAAGCGTACAAGAGGTCTCCCCAGCCTGGCCCCTTGCTCTAAACTCAAGGCAACAGCTTCCAGCTGTGCAGCTTCCGAGAGGCTGAACCTTCCCCTAGAACCCCTCTGCAAAGCTGCCAAGTTTCTGGGCCAGCTCTTCAGGACAGCCCAAGGAGCCTGGCCAGTTTCGCCAGGCTTTCCCTCCTCTTCCTCCCTCCTGTGGCAGCAGCAGAATTTCCACAGCCCCTCTCACAGCCTAGACAGGCAGCAGGCGGCCACATGGCTCCTGCCTGATTCTTACTGTCCTCAGAAGAGCGGGAAAGGAGTGGTAAAACCTTTCTAGAAAAAGAGAAGGGCCGGGCACGGTGGCTCACGCCTGTAATCCCAGCACTTTGGGAGGCCGAGGCAGGCGGATCACCTGAGGTCAGGAGTTCGAGACCAGCCTGACCAACATGGAGAAACCCCATCTCTACTAAAAATACAAAATTAGCTGGGTGTGGTGGCGCATGCCTGTAATCCCAGCTATTCGGGAGGCTGAGGCAGGAGAATTGCTTGAATCCTGGAGGCGGAGGTTGTGGTGAGCCGAGATCGTGCCATTGCACTACACCCTGGGTAACAAGGGTGAAACTCCATCTCAAAAAAAGAAGAAAAAGAGAAGAAAGAAAGGGGTGGAGAGCGGGGAGAGGGAGAGAGAGAGAGAGAGAAAGGAACAAAGGAAGGAAAAGAGAGAAGAAAGGAAGGAAAGAAATTACTTTAAATTCAGTAGGGAGGGCTGGGCACAGTGGCTCATGCCTTAATCCCAGAACTTTGGGAGGTCGAGGTGGGCAGATTGTTTGAGCTCAAGAGTTCAAGACCAACCTATCCAACGTGACAAAATCCCATGTCTACTAAAAATACAAAAATTAGCTGAGTGTGGTGGCAGGAGCCTGTAATCTCAGCTACTTGGGAGGCTGAGGCAAGAGAATCACTTGAATCCGGGAGGCGGAGGTTGCAGTGAGCTGAGATTGCGCCATTGCACTCCAGTCTGGGTGACAGAGTGGGACTCCATTGCAAAAAAAGAGAAAAAAAAAGAATTTTAAATTAAAATAAATAAATAAATTTCAGTAGAGTTCAGATAGAGGTTGAAGCGGGGTGGTGACTGGTTAGGAGCACAAAGGTTATTTCAAAGGGTCAGGTGATCCTCCTGCCTCAGCCTCCTGAGTAGCTGGGACTACATGCACATGCCATCGCATCAGGATTTACATTATCATTTTTGAAAGTTTAAACAAAAAAAGACTGGAGCTGGGTGTGGTGGCTCATGCCCGTAATCCCAGAACTTTGGGAGGCCAAGGTGGGAGGATAATTTGAGCTCAGGAGTTCAAATTCCTCAGGAGTTCAAGACCAGCCTGGGTAACATAGCGAGATCCCCATCTCTACAAAAAATAAAAGAATTAGCCAGACATGGTGGTGTGTGCCTGTAGTCCTAGCTACTCAGGAGGCTGAGGTGGGAGGATTGCTTGAGTCCAGGAGTTTGAGGTTATAGTGAGCTATGATCATGCCACTGCACTCTAGCCTGGGCAACAGAGCAAGACACGTCTCAAAAAAAAACAAAAACAAAAACAAATAAGTACTAGGAGAGTTCAAGTCCCCAGTCATCCCCATGGGATGATTCTCACACAAATAATTAGCCTGGCACTCAAGGCCCTCCATGACCTGCAGCTTCTAGAGTTCTAGCTTCTAGAGTCGTTATTCCCTTACCCAAACCCTCCACTCTGCCAGGCAGGTCTATAAAGTTACAGTTTGTCCTGAGAATTAGACAAGATGACCGCAGGGGACAGGCTCTGGATTAGCTACGAATTACAACAGTAACAGCAACGATAATGATAGTCTTTACTATGCCAGGATGTAAGTGACAGAGAAAAGACTAGAAGGCATTGTATTGGGCAGTTTTGTTTATTTTACTTTATTTTTTTAATAAAATTAAAAAATATATGGAACTCTTCACAAATTTGCATGTCATCCTCGCACAGGGGCCATGCTAATCTCTGTATCGTTCCTATTTTATTTTGTTCCAATTTTAGTATACATGCTGCCGAACCAAGCACTGGGCAGTTTTAAAAATGAAGAAATCTGAGGCTCAGGAATTAGGTGACCTACGTGATCTAGTCATGTAAGTAGTAAGTTGTCTACCTTGTCCCTATATTATTCTTTTTTGTTTTTTTCTTTCAAGATGGAGTCTCGCTCTGTCGCCCAGGTTGGGGTGCAGTGCTGCGATCTCCGCTCACCGCAACCTCTGCCTCCCGGGTTCATGTGATTCTTGTACCTCAGCCTCCCGAGTAGCTGGGATAATAGGCATGAGCCACTGCACCCAGCCAGCCTATATTATTGTCTACAGCTGTTAAATAGGCAATCATTGAGTGAATGAATAAAAGCTAGCACATTCTCAGCAAATCAAAGAAGCCGTGTGCTTTTCCTCATGAAAATCAACTTTTTTTTATTTTTTGAGACAGAGTTTGCTTTGTCGCCCAGGCTGGAGTACAATGGCACGACCTCAGCTCACTGCAACCTCCACCTGCCAGGTTCAAGCGATTCTCCTGCCTCAGCCTCCCGAGTAGCTGGGATTACAGGCGCTCGCCAACATGCCGGTCTAATTTTTTTTATTTTTAGTAGAGATGGCGTTTCACCATGTTGGCCAGGCTGGGCTTGAACTCCTTACCTCAGGTGATCCACCTGCCTGGGCCTCCCAAAGTGCTGGGATTACAGGAGTGAGCCACCGTGCCAGGCCGAAAATCAGCTTCTTAATCAAAATAATCAAACAGCTCCAATTTCAAAATTAATCACTAAAGAATTTTTTTCTGAGGATCCGAGAGCTTTACAAACACTGAAGGGCCAAAACTCCTCTAAAAACAGCAAGCACCAAGAAAAGTCTTGTACTAGGAGGGATGTTGGCAGTGTCTCAAGGGTTAGAGGGGGAGGCTGGAAGGAAATGCTGGTGCTAAAGGGAAGGACTGCTGTTTCAGGAGCCTGACCTTGAGCTTATTTACCATGGCCTCATTGTCCCTCTCCAGAGGATAATGGCTGATTAATGAGGCAGTGTTGGTAAGTCTGAGGCTTCCTGGAGAGAAAAGCAGAGGGCAAATCAAAACCCAGAGAGGATTCATTATAACATCCAACAGGCCCACTCAGTTCTCTCTCAAGAAGGCCTTTCTACAAAACAGCTAAGAACCTCTCCACCCTGTTTCACTGTCACAGAGGAGTAAAATGGCTCTGTCCCTACAGGCAACATATCAACATATCTAGCACAATGTTTGCTCACAAACACAGAACTAATTATAAGAAATGTGAAAGAACCTGAAACGCAGGGGGAATACTCTTACTGGAGACAGCCTCCATAGTGGTAGAAAACATAGTAGATCTGGTGTTGAAAGCCCCTGGAGGGGTGATGGGTCACTTACTAGCTATGTGGCTTAATGCAAGTCACAGAGGCAAATTACTGAGAACCAAGCTAGGGTCGGATCAGCTCTAAAGTACCTTTTCAGGGCCAGGCACAGTTGCTCATGCTTGTAATCCCGGCACTTTTGGAGGCCAAGATGGGAGGATCACTTGAGCCAAGGAATTTGAGACCAGCGTGGGCAACATAGTGAGAACCTGTCTAAAAAAAAAAATAATAATAATATATATATATATATATATATAGTGTGTGTGTGTGTATATATATATATATATTTGCCTATTCATCTATCTATAGATAGATAAATAAATAGATATATATCAAAAAAAGAAAATTGGCTAGGCATGGCGGTTATGTGTCTGTAGTCCTGGCAACTTGGGAGGCTGAGGTGGGAGGATCACTTGAGCCCAGGAGTTTGGGGTTACAGTGAGCTATGATCATGCCACTGCACTCTAGCCTGGGCAACAGAGTGAGACCCTGTCTCTAAAAAAATAAAATAAAGTACCTTTCCACTTCCAAAAATTCCCATGATTCTTTCCACAGGATACCATTCTCAACAACAAATCTTGTAGTAGAACTTGTCTCCTCAGAATCTGGTCAAAACATCACTAGTTAGGGTGTTCTTTCAAAAAAAATAGCAAATCTCCTAGAAACAGGCACATTGTGTGTTACCCTATTAGGACCCATCCCCAAAGCGAGGCACATGTGGGTGCTTCATTAATACTCTGTTGAAAGGAGGAGGTCCTTGGAAACTGGTAGTACCAACTTAGCATGGCATACAATGAAAGGTGATTGGAGCCACACTCGAGGAACTACAAGGCAGCTTTTCATAAATAAAAGCCACAAAATGCAATTTATAACTACATCTGTCTAAACAGACTAAAGAAAAGTAGCTTTCTATACCTAGGTCTTCACCCCTTCTCCTCCCCACCTCTCTACTTTATCATCCCTGTCCTACACAGCACTGAGACCCGTCTTTCTGGTTCCAGGTCCACTTTTCCTTTTTCCACACCAGAATGCCTTTAATCACTGATAGAAATGAACAAACATGAATATGAGTTCTAAACAGGAAGACAGATAGCCTCAAGAACCAACTTGTCAATATGTTACTAATAAGTGAAATAAGTGGGAATGGTGTCTAACATGGGCATGATAAAATAAAACCCTAAAATACATACTGTGCTAGGGATTTGAACAAACTTCAGGATTTTTAAGGAAGGCTGTGTCTCACATCTCAATTAATCTTCCCAAAAGAACCCTAAGAGGCAAGGTTTATTCCAATTTTATAAATTAGGAACGTAAGGCTCAGTAAAAAGAAAATACCTGCCTCAAGGTCGACTGGTAAGGCTGCAGAGCCAGAACTCAAAGAGATGTCTTCTAAATCCAGTGCTCTCTCCAGCACATCTCAGCTACATCCTCTATCTTTCTCATCAGTATAGGTCTTCATGTATACAAAGCATTTCTGCATTCATTGTTCACACTGCTTCTGCCACAGCTCATGAAAAGGACAATGCAGATGTCTAAATGGCACCAGATCTATACCCACCTTTTTTTTTTTTTTTTTTTTGAGACAGGGTCTTGCTCTGTCACCCAGGCTGGAGTGCAGTGGCATAATCATAGCTCGCTGCAACCTCAAACTTCTGGGCTCAAGTGATCCTCCCGCCTCAGCCTTACAAGTAGCTGCTGCTACAACAGGCACGCGCCACCACGCCTGGCTATTTTTAATTTTTAGTAGCGATGAAGTCTCGCTATGTTGCCTAGGCTGGTCTCAAACACCTGGGCTCAAGCGATCTGCCTGCATTGACCTCCCAAAGTGTTGGAATTAAACGGTGTGAGCCACCGTGCTGTCCTATCCACACTTTTAAAGATGCTAATAAATAACGTGATCACCATCAGAGAAAATAAATCCTACGTATCTGGCATCACTGAGAAGTACAAAATTTCACACAAGCAATTTTCCTACTAACTGAAATTTATCCCTTTTAAGGCAAAGCTCTTTCTTTATATCAAAACATATTCTCCAAAATACATAAGATATGTTACTCTTTACTTAGAATTAATGAAATTTAATCAGGGATATTCGACTATAAACATGATATAAACATCCTACATACTGTGCTAGGAATTCAAAGATTTTTTTTTTTTTTTTTGAGACAAGGTCTCACTCTGCTGCCCAGGCTGGAGTGCAGTGGTGCAATCTCAGCTCACTGCAACCTCCACCTCCCAGGCTCAAGTGATCCTCCCTACCTCAGCCTCCCAAGTAGCTGGGGCTACCGGTGTGCAGGACCATGCCCAGCTAGTTTTGTACTTTTTGTAGAGATGGAGTTTTGCCATTTGCCCAAGCTGGTCTCAAACTCTTGAGCTCAAGCGATCAGCCCACCTTGGCCTCCCAAAGTGCTGGGATTACAAGTGTGAGCCACTGTGCCTGGCCCAAGGGTAAATCTTTAAACTTGAGTTTATAATCTTGTAGAGGAAGAGACACATCTGTAACCATAATATGAAGCCAAAGAACATGGGCTTGGGGTGTGCTGAAAGGAAGGTAAGATAACACAAGCAAGGCTAGTGGGGACCAACAACCCAGGGTGACTTACTGAAGAGAAGTGGGAGGCACTGAAAAGTCCTGGGCAGGAGAATGGTATACTACTTGTGCTTTTTGAAAAGATGACTCTAGCACAACAGTGAGGCCAGAGGCAGAAAATGGACTTAGGTGGCAGCGACAGAGGTAGAGAGAAAACTGCACTGCCAGGGCAGGGGCAGTAGGAACTAAAACAGGTGGCTCTGAAAGGCATTACAGACGTAGAGACAATGCTCTTAGCATATAGGGGCGTGGGAAAGGTGGGGAGCTAAAGAGAACACTAAGATTCTTGCTTTCATGGAAAGATTTCAGAACGAGAAAATAAGAGTAGGTACTGGTTTAAAGGAGCGTGAGGGACTAACTCAGGATGGGATGATGGGGAATGCTTTATAGAGGAAGTGACATTTAAGCTAGATATTAAAATATGAGCAGGATAAGTAGAGTTTCACCAAAAAGTAAAAAAGCATTCTAGGCAGAGAAAACAGCACATGCAAAGACAGACCATATTACAGTTGAACAATGGCATGCAGTTTTAGGGAGGTGCATCAGATGATAAGAAGGGTAATAAGTAAGGCCAGGGGCGGTGGCTCACGCCTGTAATCCCAGCACTTTGGGAGGCCAAGGCAGGTGGATCATGAGGTCAGGAGATTGAGACCATCCTGGCCAACATGGTGAAACCCCGTCTCTACTAAAAACACAAAAATTAGCTGGGTGTGGTCACATGCCTGTAATCCCAGCTACTCAGGAGGCTGAGGCAGGAGAATCATTTGAACCCAGGAGGTGGAGGTTGCAGTGAGCCGAGATCATGCCACTGCACTCCAGTCTGGTGTGCTCCAGTCAGAGCAAGACTCCATCTCAAAAAAAAAAACAAGGGTAAGTAATATTAAATTGTGAGGCACTTGCCTCATACTAAGAAATTGTAGGTGATGAGAAGACAATCAAGGTTTCTAAAGGAAGAGGGTAAAGGGGAGCAGCATGATCAGGGCTATGTTTCAGAAGGGAAACTGTATAAAGTACAGACTGGAATGGTAAGACACAGGAGGAAGGCAATAGAGCATAATGGCTAAGATTACAAGGTCTGAACTTAAGACAACCTAATACAAATTCTGGGTTTATAGCTTAATAGCTCTGCAACCTTGGGCAAGTTATTTACTCTCTCTGTGCCCTCATTTTCCCCAGCTGTAAAATGGGAATAATAATAGTACTTTATCAGGCACAAGCCACCACACCTGGCTATTTTATTTTTAATTTTTGTAGAGACAGGATCTTGCTATGTTGTCCAAGCTGGTCTCGAACTCCTCAACTAAAGTGAAGCTCCCACCTTGTCCTCCCAGAGCACTGGGATAACAGGTATGAGCCACTGTGCCCAGCCCATAGTTCCTAATTACGCCTTTTTGTATTTTATTAATTTATCTTTCTCTTACTGCCTTAAGTTCCATGAAATCACAAACTGTGTGCTCACCGCTGAATTCTTAGAAATCAGCACAATGGCTGGCACAGCATGAGTGCTTGATAAATACTTCTTGAATGAATGAAAGGTTCCAAACTATATATTTTAAATGAACTCTATTTAAATGTAACCTTTATATAGAACCCCAGGACACACAGAAGAAGACAGTTTGAAGTAAGGGATATTTGGAGACTTGTTCCCTCTGCTTCCCCCTGGTTCTTAAGTCAGTTCTATAGTTCTGTAAAGCTTTACAGAATGCAGTGCAAAAACCATTGTCTGTTACAAGCAAGAAGTAATGTATGTCTGAAGTAAGGCAATGACAATAAAGATGCAACAATAGCTTTGAGAACTATTTATGACAGGCCCTGACAACCAATTACAGTAGGCCCTCTGTATCCATGGGTTCCACATGTGTGGATTCAACCAACCTGAGATGAAAAACATTTTAGGGAAAAAAAAGCATCTGTACTGAAGATGTATAAACTTTTTTTTCTTGTCATTATTCTAAACAATACAATGTAACAACTATTTACATAGTATTTACATTGCATTATATAAGTAATCCAAGGATGATTTAAACTATACGAAGGACGTGTGAAGGTTATATGCTAATATTATACCATTTTATATAGAGACTTGAGCATCCAAGGATTTTGGTATCTGTGTGAAGTCCTGGAACCAATCCCCACAGATGCTGAGGGACAACTGTATAAATGAAGAATGAGAAAAGGAAAATTCTTGAAGCACCTCTAAATTTCCTAGCTTGAGTGAACAAATAAATGAACATGTGTGCCAAAAAGCAAGATAAGAATGTAAGAGTGGCTGGGCACGGTGGCTCACGTTTGTAATCCCAGCACTTTGGCAGGTCAAGGCAGGTGGATCGCTTGAGGCCAGGAGTTCGAGACCAGCCTGGCCAACATGGTGAAACCCTGTCTCCACTAAAAATACAAAAAAATTAGCCGGGCACGGTGGCAGGCACCTGTAATCCCAGCTACGAGGGAGGCTGAGGCAGGAGAATTGCTCAAACCCAGGAGGTGGAGGTTGCAGTTAGCCAAGATCACACAATTGCAATCCACCCTGGGAAACAAGAGCAAAACTCCATCTCAAAAAAAAAAAAAATGTAAGAGTAACAATAACAATTTCCATTCATTTGAACATAGTATCACCCCTATCAAGCAAATACTATTAATACCCTCAAGTTATAGAATAAATCTTTCACGATGTTAAGCAACTGTCATGATCTTCATTAGCAAAGATCATGAGGCTAATAAGTAGCAGAATTAAGTTTCAAATCCAAGACTGTCCCACTCCAAGCCCAAAATCTAAACCGTCTTGCTATATTGGCAAGCAGTTTGAGAGTTAGGTCTTAGACGTGAGATATCTACTGGATATACAGTTAGAAATAATCAGTAACTAATGAAAAATATGATTTGGGGTTAGAGATAAGGATCTGGGCTCCATTTGGAAGACTGAATAAATTCAGAAGAGTGTCTATGAGAAGATCATGCTTGCTTGTAAGGCCTGTAAATGGGTGATGTACGCATTTGCGATTGAAGTTTGTTGATTTACCAAGGTCTCTGCCTTGCATAGATCTAGTGGGCATCAGCATTAAGAGAGGAAGTAAAAAACTTTAGGAGAAATTCCAGATCTCTGGGGATTCCTGTTAGGACCTTTATATTATTTTTGTTTTGGGAGAATTTAACAGAAAGACAGTGACACCAATGTCAACAAAAAAAAATGAGACAGCAAAGGTGATAAAGAGAATAGATTTGGGGATCATCATTTTCTCTTCTGCTTGAGATTCCACAGCTCTCAACAAAAATGACTATTATTTGTGTATGGCTCTTTACAACTAACAAAGTGTTTCCCATTTACAAGGTATTTCCTGTTTACCAATAATGTCAGATGAACCTTACAACAGCTGTTTAAGGTGAGGGCATTATTATTTTCACTTTACCAAAGAGGAATGAAGTCCAGAAAAGTTAAGTTTACCTTGTCTAAGGTCATACAGCTAAAAAGCAACCGGGCCACGATGTAACCACGGTTTTCTGGCTCCTAATCTGGGGCTCTTTCCAGAAGACTCACCTGAGATAACATGAGCCACTCACTTATGAACCAAGAGTCATCATCCCTATGTATAGTTTCACTGTGTTTAAAAATAAAACAATAGGGGGATAGTGACTGGGAAGGGGCTAATGGTATGCTGGTAATGTTCTGTTTCTTGATGTAGGTGCTAGTAACACAGGTGTGTTCACCTTGTGGAAAGTCCTTGAGCTGTAAACTTTGTGTACTTTTCTGTATATATGTCATACTGTAATTATTAAATACCAGGCAAGCCAGGTCAGGAGGCTTGCACTTGTAATCCCAATGGCTCAGGAGGCTGAGATGGGAGGATCACTTGAGCCCAGGAATTCAAGACCAGCCTGGGTGACAAAGCAAGACCCCCATCTCTCAAAAAAAAAAAAAATTCAGCTGGGCGCGGAAGCTTACACCTGTAATCTTAGCACTTTGAGAGGCCGAGGCAGACAGATTACCTGAGGCCAGGAGTTCGAGATCAGCCTGACCAACATGGTAAAACCACATCTCTACTAAAAATACACATACACACACACACACACACACACACACACACACAATTAGCCAGGTGTGGTGGTGCACGCCTATAATCCCAGCTACTCAGAAGGCTGAGGCACAAGAATTGCTTGAACCTGGAAGGTGGAGGCTGCAGTGAGCTGAGATCATACCAGTTCACTCCAGCCTGGGTGACAGAGTGAGACTCTGTCTCAAGAGAAACAACAACAAATAAAAAAAAATTAGCCAGGTATGGTGGCATGCCTGAAGTCTCAGCTACTCAGGAGGCTAAGGCAGGAGGATCACTTGAGCTCAGGAGTTTGAGGCTTCAGTGAGCTACGATTGTGCCACTGTACCCCAGCCTGAGTGACGCAGCAAGATCCCATCTCTCTTTTTTTTTTTTTGAGTTGGAGTTTTACTCTTGTTGCCCAGGCTAGAGTGCAGTGGTGTGATCTTGGCTCATTGCAACCTCCGCCTTCCAGTTTCAAGCGATTCTCCTGCCTCAACCTGCCAAGTAGCTGGGATTCCAGGTGTCTACCACCACCCCCAGCTAATTTTTGTATTTTTAGTAGGGACAGGGTTTTACTATGTTGGCCAGGCTGGTCTTGAACTCCTCACCTTGTGATCCGCCTGCCTCAGCCTCCCAAAGTGCTGGGATTACTGGCATGAGCCATCGCGCCTGACCAAGATCCCATCTCTTTAAAAAAAAAAAAAAAAAAAAAAAAAGGCAAGCCAAACTGATAATCAAAACTCAGGAACACTAAGTTGGATGCGTCACATTTTTTACTCAATTTCTCAAACAGTAGCTACATATAGGACATCTACCAGTTATATAAGGATGTACAAAATTCTTGCACACTCAAATAACATATCCACCCAATTGTCCCAATCCAGACTGTCTTAGTGATGTGAAAGAATCTGACAGGACTGGAAGTAACAGAAGCCCAGGAAAGGGCGGAGATTTTTGTTAATGAAAACAAAAATGGCATTGAAAATGGAACTATCCTACATCATCATCAATGATGAGATATCTCAATTTCAGAGATAACAAAAATGTGAAAAAAAAATGGCCAGTGACAATTGGAAGATACTATCAATTGTAAAATACACCCCAATTTCAGTGTTAAAATATTAAAAAAGCAAAAAAAAAAAAAAGAAAGAAAGCATTTTAAAACAAAGGAAATATATTCTAATCTCAAAAGGTAGCTCAATTGTGGGATAACAGATTTGTGAAGCACATCTCCTTGTACAAGCTCTTTGTTTTAGAGATAAGGACACTAAAGCCTTCATTTAAGTTATTAAATAACCTTACTAAATTAAAGCTCACACATCAGAAAGTTGATAACTACAATTACAAAGCTGGTTCCTTCAATGCTCGTTCTCCTGCCACTACCCAGATGCCTCCTTTAAATCCAAAAGAAGATTTACATATTAATTCCATATTAAAACTCTATTTTGACTTTCATATTTCTTTACTTCATTAACTCACTAAAAAATAATAAAAGTTAACCTTTAAAAATCAATTAAAGCTGGGCGAGGTGGCTCATGCCTATAATCCCAGCACTTTGGAAGGCTGAGGCAGGTGGATCACTTGAGGTCAGGAGTTCCAGACCAGCCTGGCCAACATGGTGAAACCCCATCTCTACTAAAAATACAAAAATCAGTTGGGCATGGTGGCAGGCGCCTGTATTCCCAGCTACTTGGGAGGCTGAGGCATGAGAATTGCTTGAACCCGGGAGGTGGAGGTTGCAGTGAGCCAAGATTGCACCACTGTACTCCAGCCTAAGAAACAGAGCGAGACACCGTCTCAAAAAAAAACAAAAAAAAACAAAAAACAAAAAAACAAAAAACTAAGCTGGGTGCGGTGGCTCACGCCTGTAATCCCAGCACTTTGGGAGGCTGAGGCAGGTGGATCGCCTGAGGGCAGGAGTTTGAGAACAGCCTGGCCAACATAGTGAAACCCTGTCTCTATTAAAAAAAAAAAAAAATAGCTAGGCGTGGTAGCAGGCGCCTGTAATCCCAGCTACTAGGGAGGCTGAGGCAGAAGAATCACTTGAACCCAGGAGGTGGAGGTTGCAGTGAGCCAAGATTGTGCCACTGCATTACAGCCTGGGCAACAAGAGCAAAACTACATCTCAAAAAAAAACATAATAATAATTAATTAAGATGAAACGATGTTTAGGAAACTTCATTTCTTGCTTATACAAGTTTGTTTTCCTTGTTCTTCAAAACCAGTGAAGCAATACAAAGTTAGATAAAAGACAAAATTAGTAATCTCCCAGCCCCTTTCCATTCCTCTCCAAGGCCTCCTACAAGATGAGAAATGGTAACATATTTTTGTGTCCCCCAAAAACATAAATACAAATATATTGGAAAGGGTTTTGTTGTTCTCTGTTTTTAGAAAACTAGGTTTAAACTTTACACATTGCTCTGCAACTTATCTCATCTAACAATTTATCAACATCTCCCCAAGCATCAATAACTAAAATTCTAACTCATACTTTTAAAAAGCTACATAAAAGTCCATATAAGGGATATCCATAACGTGTTCACATATTTTTCTATTGAGGGAATGGCTATTTTCAGTGTTACCATTTCAAACAATGCTGTAATGAGTATCCTTGACGTATTTCAAGTTAAAGAAAAAAAACTATTTCTACACACATACTTTCCTTGTTGTCCCATGTTTTGATTACTCCTGGTCTCATCATCATCCCTACCTCCCTTGCTCAGAGAATCATCCTCAGGGTCCAGTGTGATGACAGAGAGCAAAGTAACTTGGAGAATGTCAAGACAAGACATGTGATAGTTACTGTTGGTAAATTGGAAATGGCCTGTCTTGGCTGCCTCTCTCAGTCACTTGCACATGCTATCCCCCTCCTCCCCTTACATGTGCTCCCTGTTCTGGTCTCAGCAGCTGCTTCCAACTCAACTGATGTGAGCACAGCTAGCTACCTTGTCACACTCCTAATCCTGGCAAGTGCAGACAGGCCCAGGAGCTCTCCAAACAATTGGAAAGGAGAAGGAATACATTATCACTGTGAAATAATATAATACGGAGGTATCTAGAGTAAAATGTAAAACTCCCTCTTCATTAAGCCTCAACCCACATTTGCCAGTGACACTCCCCAGCTCAGAAGTGACCACTGTTAGAAGTCTGTTGTACAACCTTTTGGATTTTTCCTAAGCATGTACACATACAGGTATATATTCACATACAGGTATGTGTGTTTGGTCTACATATCTGTAATCATACCATATAATATGTTCTGCAACTTGCCCTTTTCATGTAAAAATTTATTTGACATGTTTCCATACCAGCAAAAAACAGATTCCTCACATTTTTAATTAATTTTTTTTGAGACAAAGTCTCACTCTGTCACCCAGGCTGGAGTGCAGTGGCACCATCATGGCTCACTGCAACCTCAACCACCTGGGCTCAGGTGATCCTCCCACCTCAGCCTCCTGGTAGCTGGGACTAAAGGTGCGCACCACCATACCCAGCTAATTTATTTGTAGAGATGGGATTTCACCATGTTGCCCAAACTGTTCTCAAACTCCTAGGCTCAAACAATCCGCCCACCTTGTCCTCCCAAAGTGCTGGGATTACAGGTGTGAGCTATCATGGCTGGCAATTCCTTAAACTTTTAAAAGCTTGAAAAAATCCTATGTAAGAATGTGCCACAACTTTATTTTCCCATTTTGCTACATCTGGACATTTAGGTTGTTCACAGTGTTTTGCATGTCAAAGAATGCTGTATTGATAACACTGGCAGCACATCTCTAATTTTACACACAAGCTAATATTTCTCTAGGATATATACCAATAATTAGAATTAATGGGTTGAAAAGCTTGTGTATTTTAAATGTCAACAGATATTCCCAAATTACCATCTAAAACTGTGTACTAGTTTATAGTCTCACCAACAGAGGATAAAAATTCCCATCTACACCCTTCTACCAATATATTTTATCAATATATAAGATAGAATATATTATTGTTTTAATTTATATCTTATTTCCAGAAAAGTTAAACATCTCCTCACATATGCAACTGTTCATTCTTATTTCTTATGAAAGGTATTACCATTTTGATTTTAAACATGAGGGTTCAGAGATGCTAGAGTGACACAACCAGTAAGTCCAGACATCAAAGCTGTTTTTTTAACAATTTCCCATCAAAACTAGGCCTCTTTCTGTCAAGTGTAATTCCCCCTACCAGCAGCCAGCAAACTATGGCCTATAAGTTAGCAGCCCATATTTTGTAAATCAGGTTTTACTAAAACGTAGCCACGCCCATTCATTTAAGTATTGTCTATGGCTGCTTTTGTTCTCCAATGGCAGAGGTGAGTAGTTACAACCACATGGTCTGCAAAGCCTAAAATATTTACTACTGGGGTCTAAACAGAAACAATAACTTGCCTAAGCACAGTGACTCACACCTGTAATCCCAGTGCTTTGGGAGGCTGAAGGTGGTGGACTGCTTGCTGTTTGAGCCCAGGAGTTCGAGACCAACCTGGGCAACATGGCGAGATTCCATCTCTACAAAAATTAGAAAAATAGCCAGTTGTGGTGGCATGCACCTGTAATCCCAGATACTCAGGAGGCTGAGGTGGGAGGACTGCTTGAGCCTGGGAGGCCAAGGCCGTGGTGAACTGCCATTGTGCCACCACATTCCAGCCTGGAAGACAGAGTGAGACTCCATGTCGAAAAAACAAAACGCACACACACAAAAAAAACAAGAGTTAAAAACTAAAGAAAAGCTCAGGTCTGGGCACAGTGGCTCATGCCTGCAATCCCAGTACTTAGGAAGGCTTAGCGAGACCCCATCTCTACAAAAAATAAAAAAAATTAGGCTAGGCACGGTAGCCCACACCTGTAATCCCAGCATTTTGGGAGGCCGAGGCGGGCGGATCACGAGGTCAGGAGAATCGAGACTGTCCTGGCCAACATGGTGAAACCCCATCTCTACTAAAAATACAAAAATTAGCTGGCCGTGGTGGCGTGTGCCTGTAATCCCAGCTACTCAGGAGGCTGAGGCAGGAGATCACTTGAACCAAGGAGTTGGAGGCTGCAGTGAGCCGAGATCGTGCCACTGCACTCCAGCCTGGCGACAGAGCAAGACTGTCTAAAAAAATTTAAAAAATTAAAAATTAGCCAGGCACAGTGCTGTGTGCCTGTAGTTCCAGCTACTTGGGAGGCTGAGGCAGGAGGACCCCTTGAACCAAGGAGTTCGAGGTTGCAGTGAGCTATGATCACACCACGGCACTCCAAAATCTGGGTGATAGAGCAAGACCCTGTCTCAAAACAAAAAAAGAAAAGCTTCTCAGTGGGGATTAGTTATGGTCTAATTGGCCACAGCCAGAGCATGGCTATGTTACAGTGTGTGGCTCATTTTCAAATAACTTTATATGCAGTATAGGTCTGGTATATAATCCCAAAGGAAAGAGCCCAAAACACTCAAATGAAGTCAAAAGACTTATCTTTACTTATGGGTTGCAACACTAAAAGATTTTCTATGCACTACTCTTCGTCTTCCTTGTTTCTTTTCTTTTTTTTTTTTTTTTTTTTTTTGAGACAGAGCCTCATTCTGTTGCCCAGGCTGGAGTGCAGCGGTACAATCACAGTTTACCACAGCCTCAACCTCCCAGGCTCAAGCGATCCTCCTTCCTCAGACTCCTGAGTAGCTGGGACCACAGGCAGGTACCACCACACCTGGCTAATTTTTGTATTTTTTGTAGAGACAGGGCCTTGTCATGTTGCCTAAGCTCATCTCAAACTCCTGGGCTCAAGTAATCCTGCCTCTGCCTCCCAAAGTGCTGGGATTATAGGCATGAGCCACCATGCCTGGCCCCTTATTTAATTTCATCTGGTTCCTACTGTCCTTCAATGATTTTGACAATGTAGTTCCTACCCACACACCACAATAATACAAAACCAAAGCAAACTCCACTATGTCTGCTGCTAAACACCCCCAACAAACACACATACACATCACACCACACCACACAACACAACACAGGTGTCTCCTTCCCTTTTGCTAGCAGATTCGCTAGGAAGCAGCTGCACATTTCCAGCAAGTCGAACAAACTGCTGAGAGCTAGGGCCCCTGACCATTGTGGGAAAGGAAGGCCAATTCTCCCCTCTAGATTGTACCCTTCTGAAGATCCTGGCCATGAAAGAAGTCATTTCTCCAGAGAATTTTAAGCCATTCAGTTCCTATACGGCAGGCAGGAAAGGTGTCATCCTCCCCATATCATCAGTGGAGGAACTCAGTGTAACTTGTTTCATTTCCTCTTACTTCAAAAGGTCATTTTAAGTAATAGGGTCATTTAGGTAATATCAGTGATCTTTTTAATTTCTCCTCGCATTCTCTCCCAAATTTTGGTTTTACAAAATAATGGTTAAAAAAAAAAAGCTATCATACTCTCCACGAAATTTAACTTAATCTAGAATTTTGAATGAGAAATTAATAATCAAAGAACAGTGCATTTTAGGCCAGGCGCGGTGGCTCACTCCTGTAATCCCAGCACTTTGGGAGGCCAAGGCGAGCAGATCACCTGAGGTCAGGAGTTTGAGACCAGCCTGGCCAACATGGTGAAACCCCATCTCTACTTAAAATACAAAAAAGTAGCTGGGTGTGGTGGTACGCACCTGTAATCCCAGCTACTTGGGAGGCTGAGGCAGGAGAATCGCTTGAACCTGGGAGGTGGAGGTTGCAGTGAGCCGAGATCGTGCCATTGCACTCCAGACTGGGGGACAAGAGTGAGACTTCGTCTCAAAAAACAAACAAAGAACAGTGCATTTTCTTACACAAATAAGCAGGTATTAAGTGGTTCTCTGGATAGGAATTTGGCAATACAAATCAAAATTAATGCCTATAATCCTAGCACTTTGGGAGGCCAAGGTGGGCGGATCACCTGAGGTCAAGAGTTTGAAACCAGCCTGACCAACATGGAGAAACCCGTCTTAAAAAAATACAAAATTAGCTGGGCGTGGTGGCACATGCCTGTCATCCTAGCTACTCGGGAGGCTGAGGCAGGAGAATCACTTGAACCTGGAACAGGTGGAGGTTGCAGTGAGCTGAGATTGTGCCATTGCACTCCAGCCTGGGCAACAAGAGCGAAACTCCATCTCAAAAACAAAACAAAACCTTGATATTTGGGCCAGGTGTGGTGGTGGCACATGCCCAAAATCCCAGCACTTTGGGAGGCTGAGGTGAAAGGATTGCTTGAGCCCAGGAGTTCAAGACCAGCCTGGGCAACATAGTGAGACCTCATCTCTACAAAAAATAAAAAATTAGCCAGGCATGGTGGTGCACACCTGTGGTCCCAGTTACTCGGGAGGCTGATGTGAGAGGATCACTTGAACCCTGAAAGGTTGAGGCTGTGGTGAGCTGTGATCATACCACTGCACTCTAGCCTGGGTGACAGAGTGAGACCCTGTCTCAAAACAAAGAAACAAAGAAACAAAAATGTTCATATTTGGCTGGGTATGGTGGCTCACACCTGCACTTTGAGAGGCCGAGGCAGGATGATCTCTTGAAGTCAGGAGTTCAAGACCAGCAATCTTCTCGCCTCAGCCTCCCAAAGTGCTGGTGCTAGGATGATGGGTGTGAGCCACTGCACCCAGCCTAAGATAGTAAATTTTGTTACATACATCTTACCAAAACTCAAAAAAAAAAAAAAAAAAAAAAAGCTGGCTGGGTACAATGGTTGAAGCCTGTCATCCCAGCACTTTGGGAGGCCAAGGTAGGAGGATTGCTTGAGCCCAGGAGTTCAAGACCAGCCTGGGCAACACAGTGAGACCATGTCTCTACAAAAAATTTAAAAATTAGCCAGGTGTGGTGGCATACACCTATAGTCCCAGCTACTCAGGAGGCTAAGGTGGGAGGATCACTTGAGTCTGAGCCTGGGAGGCTGAAGCCATAATAAGCTGTGATCATACCACTGCACTCTAGCCTGGGCAACAGAGTGAGATCTTGTGTCAAAAAAAAAAAAAAAAGAAACAAAAAGAATTAAAAAAAAAAAAATCTCATGTTCTTTCATCAAATAATTCCAATCACAGAAATAAAAGTTTAGGAAATAATCTGAAATACAAAGATATATGGACATTAATAGAATTATTTATCATTCTGAAAAACTGAAGGAAAACTAAATATCTAACAATAACTTAAATTATGGCAAGAATATACATATGATGAAATCTTATGCAGTCACTTAAAATGTTTTAAATAAGTTTGGCTGGGTACAGTGGCTCACGTCTATAATTCCAGCACTTTGGAAGGCTGAGGTGGGATGATTGCTTAAGCCCAGGAGTTCAAGACCAGCCTGGGCAACATAGTAGACTCCACTTCTACAAAAAATAAAAATAAAAAAAATAGCTGGGCATGATGGCATGCGCCTGTAGTTCAGCTACTTGGGAAGCTAAAGCGGGAAGATCACTTGAGCCCAGGAGGTCAAGGCTGCAGTGAGCTAGGATTGCAACTGTACCACTGCACTCCAGCCTGAGTGACAGAGCAAGGCCCCGTCTCTGGGGAAAAAAAAAAAAGTTTTAAATAATTTTAATGACATGGGGAAATACTCAAGAAATGTTGAATTTTAAAAGCAGGATATAGGCTGGGTGCAGTGGCATATGCCTGTAATCCCAGCCCTTTGGGAGGCCAAGGCAGGTGAATCGCTTGGGCTCAGGAGTTCAAGACCAGCCTGGGCAACATGGTGAAACCCTGCCTCTACAAAAAATACAAAAATTAGCCGGGCATGGTGGCATGCACCTGTAGTCCTAGCTATTTGGGAGGCTGAGGTAGGAGGATTGCTTGAGCCCAGAAGGTTGAGGCTGCAGTGAGCTGTGATCGTACCACTGCACTGAAGCCTGGGTGAGAGAGTGAGACCCTGTCTCAAAACAAACAAACAAAAAAAAGGCAGGATAAAACTATTATGGTATGGCCCCATTTTTGAAACTATATATACAAATATTTATAGACAGATAGATATATCATATACATATTTATCCCTCTCCCCACATACTTGTGAGTTTGTATATGTGTATGTATACGTGTAAGGAAGTATACCAAATAATGTTCATTTCTGAGTTGTGGAATTATGGGTGCCTTTTACTTTCCCCCTTAACACATTATTTTTCATGTTTTCTAAATAGTACCATCATATACAATTAGGAAAAAATTACTTTCATATTGTTTAATCTAGTAATCTATTTGTAGATATGTATCATAAGAAAATAACCAAAAACGTAGACAAAAACTTATGCATAATAATGTTCATATAAAGATACACAGAAAACTATTAATAAATAATGGTTACTTCTGCAGGGCAGAATTAGGGTAAAGACTTATTTGGGGACTTATTTGTTATATCTATTACAAAAATGATTTGAAAAAAATTCCATTATTATTTGAAAAAACCTGAAAGCATATAAAAATCCTATATGATAGACTATTATGCAGCCACTACAAATATTTATGAAGAGTATATATAAATTTATATAATGAAAAAATGGTAAATGGGGAAAAAAGCAGAATATAAAATTTTAGGTAATATATGATCTGGAAATTGCAAAACCAGAAATATACAAGCACAAAATACTGAAAGAAAATAGGCTAAAATAAGAACAGTAGTTTTCTCCAGATAGTGGGATTACGGGTGATTTCAGTTTTCTTCCTTATACTTCTCTGCGTTTTTCACATATCCTAGAATGAATATATACTATTTTTCAATCAGGCTTAAAAAATGTTTTTGGTTTCTGCCCTATAATGAAAAGCCTGCTCCTTGTGTGAAATTTTATCCACAAAGGATTATCAGTAGTAAGCAACCCACTAGCAAGAAGACTGTTCATAATGTATATGCCTAAGAAAATCATCTTTGGTGGGTCAGTGAGCTCAGTTTAAAGGGACACAGCTCTGACCACTTCCTGCCTTCTTGCTTTTGGAGTTGTTTTAGTAAATATAACTGAGGAATCAAGTTCTCAAACATGAGATGCCTGACAAACTTAATACTGTACTGTAAGAACCAGGACCACCACCTTCTCTCAACCTAACCTCTAAGACTTTACACTTAAGAATAGACAAGACCGGGCCGGGCGTGGTGGCTCATGCCTGTAATCCCAGCACTTTGGGAGGCCGAGGTGGGCGGATTACCTGAGGTCAGGAGTTTGAGACCAGCCTGACCAACATGGAGAAACCCCATCTCTACTAAAAATACAAAAATTAGCCGGGCGTGGTGGCACATGCCTGTATTCCCAGCTACTCGGGAGGCTGAGGCAGGAGAATCGCTTGAACCCAGGAGGCGGGGGTTGCGGTGAGCCGAGATCACGCCTATAGCCTGGGCAACAAGAGCGAAACTCTGCTCAAGAAAAAAAAAAAAAAAGAATAGACAGGACCTAAATAACATAGATTGGGTCATGTTAGTCTGTAAATCAAAAACACTTAACAGCTAATTACATGAAGAATAAAATCCAAATTTCTTAGCATAACGCTTAAGGTTCTCTAAGATCCAACCCTCAAATTTCCTTCCCAGCCTCATCTTCAGTTCATTCCCTAAAATATCCTCTACCTCAGGCACATTTTCCCCATACATGCCAGGCATTTTCCAAGCTGTGTGCCTTTGCCCATGGTGTGACCTCCATTAAATGCCCTGTCTCCTAAACCTACTGAACTCCTATTCTTCCTTTACAACCTGGCTCAAATGCCTTCTCCCAAACTCTCCTTATCGCCCCCACCATCAGGAACAATTGTTCTTTCCTCTATGTGCTCCCATATTGCTTGTTCCTCTACAAACTTAATTACAATCCTCCCTGGGTGGATGCTAGCTGTAATACTTGTTTCATTTTACTAAACTCCTGGAGGGCAGAAACCATTTTAAAATCATTTCCACTCCAGCACACTGCTTGCACACAGTAGGTACTAAATATGCTGCCTGAGTAAATGACAGCCAATTGGCCCTTATCTGAATTCTTTCAGTGGTACAGCCAGGGATGGCAAATTGTCAAAGCTAGTCCCTCTAATTGCAAGTTATACATATAGCATGAGTGACCAGCAGAAAATGCCAAGGGCCTGCCACTTTAAGAGGACTGGCAAGATGACTATGTTTACACAATCCTAATTAAAACTAAAGGGCAATGAGGGAAAGAAGAGAAATAGGGAGATTAAGAGGTGTGGATTCTACAGGTCACCTCCTCTTCTTAGTGAGCTTGCTAGGCACTAGGCTGGAAGATCTGAGCTACAAAGTAGCCTATTTTATCTTTGGGGTAGCCTGTAGGATCTAAGTATTGAAAAGCAACTAATTAGGCCACTTTGTCCTCCAGCAACTGGCCCTGCTCTTGGGCATTAACTTCCAACTGGTACACAAGGCTTTTTCTCTAAATGAATCCCACTGTACCAATCACTAGGAGAATCCCTTTAAAAAAGGCTTGAAATTAATAACAGCAGGAAACAAAGTCTCTCAATCCTCTGAATCACAATATCCACACTGTCCATTTTGATGAAATTCACCCCCACCTCCTTCAAACAATAGGTCCTACCAAGGAATGACTTCTCTCAGGACCAACATGTCCTGTGATTGTTTTTCTGGAGCAAGCTTCCAGTGCCTGCTTCTCATTAAATAGCTACTTAATGTCTGATCACCCAGCTGTGACTATAAGTAGAGAGTAAAGTAACTATAATTTAGGAAGTAAAAAAGAAATTCCACTCCTACCCCAAGTCCAGTAGTCAAACAGCTTAGAATAGACATTTCCCTACCTCAAACCTTCTTAGGCTTATCCAATTTTCAGATCTAGAATTTTTAGCATCTCTTAACTCTTTCAATATAAAAATGAGGAAAACAATGTTTAGAGTAAGAAAGAGAATTGCAAATGATTATACAGTAACTTAGTCACAGAATCTTTTGACCAGGCTGTCTAACACCTCATTTAACTGATGAGTTTTCAAGACCACTGTTTCCAGGAACAGGTTACAGGGCACTACAATATAATCAGCTTAATTTGCATATATTCAAGATAACAGCCCCTAGGCTTGACCCCTTCACCATCTTCCTGCCTACCTTTTTTCAAACCCACAACTGCTAACAACAACAAAAAAATCAATGTAGTGATTTAATACATCATTTCTGCCTAAAAAAAGACTGGAGCTACCAAACCATCTGCTTCAGCCTCACCACCTGGGATTCATCTTGATTGATTTGGGTGTGTTGGTGGGCAGTGGCTGCCACAGCCTGAAGAACTCTTCCAACTCTTTCTGGGGGTCTTCTGGAGATGGGACTGCAATGGCTCCTCAGCTGCAGTTTCCTATAGAGCAACATGTTGAAACACACTTGTTCCCTCAACACACTTGTGTTTCAGCCCTCAACACACTTGTGATTTGGGAGGAGTACCAGGAGAAAGACCAGTTTTTGGCAGGGCGCGGTGGCTCACGCCTGTAATCCTAGCACTTTGGGCGGCCAAGGCGGGTGGATCGCTTGAGGTCAGGAGTTCAAGACCAGCCTGACCAACATGGTGAAACCCTGTCTCTACTAAAAATACAAAAAATTAGCTGGGCATGGTGGCACATGCCTGTAATCATAGCTACTAGGGAGGCTGAGGCAGGAGAATCGCTTGAACCCGAGAGGTGGAGGTTGCAGTGAGCTGAGATCCCGCCATTGCACTCCAGTCTGGGTGACAGAGAGAGACCCTGTCTGGAAAAAAAAAAGAAAAGAAAGGCCAGTTTTCTCCATTATCTAGTCACCCCAACCTATAAGCAAGCATATGCACAGTCACTATAAAGGAAAGTGACTTGTTTTCCAGCAGACATTTCTAATCTTATTAAATCAAATGAAAACTGCAATCAAAATACTCTCCTTAGGAAGTTATTTACTTATTCTAACAAAACACTTCTTTGGGAGCTGCCTTTAAAGTCTACTCCATGTGAGACAAACAGAAAAATTCGGTGTTACTGTTTTATAGTCACACCTCATCCTTCACCAAAAAAGGTATTGCCTTGCATGAATCTTTGGCTCACGGCATCTTCTGGCTGTTTCTAAAAATTGAATCCACCAAGCTAAGAGTAAAGATTTGCTACCTCTGAGGATATTCAAAAGATTGGCTCAGAGGCAGTCTGAGGCAATGACACCATCACCAAAGGAAATCTAAAGGCTGAGAACACAATTACTTTGAAGGGGTCAAACTTAAAAACATTCTAATTGCCCCATAATTACAATCAAGGGGGCAAGACATGTACAATATCTGTCACATTTGTTCAACTATTATATCACTTTATAATTACACATTATATAATGATAAATTTTGGCCCTGGAAGAAATCTTCAAGATCATATAATCCTAACTGTCCCTTTTTACATATGAGAAAAGTTCAGTCCATTGAGGTTAGGCAATTTGTCCCTGGTCACACATCTGGTTAGCAACAGTCAGGATGAGAAACCCAGACACCCAAACTCCCAGCATAATGCACCCACACATACTTATGTATACAGCTCCTCCTCCCCTGCTTCTCACTTCCTTCACTCCCCTGATCAAAAGGGACAGAAATAACTTGGGACACTAAAGCACACCAAGAATGGTTCTGAAACCCAGTAGCAGAGAAATGATGGCTTAAAAACCAGGACTTCTCTGCAGTGGCCTCAATGGCCAATGTTTAGTGTCTGGCTCACAAGAGTTCTGGGCAATCTACCTCAGAGCAAGGGCCAATGAAAACCTCTGGACACCACCCTCCCACAGTTAGAAAAATATCTTTATTAAACCTCTCTGCTCTCCTCCTACAGTAACCTGTTTGCCTCAAATAATTGAAAGACAAAGACAATCACTTTGAAGAATCTGGGTCAGGGAAAAAGTAAATGGTAGAGATCCTGCTCAGGACAAAGCTGACCTATGAAAAACTAGAGGGCAGAAACCATTTTGACTTACCTCCTGGTGGAAGCCTCCACACACTAGAACAGGGTGATCTCCAGCAGTCTGGCTTAGAATTAGTTTCCACCTAGGGAAGGGGCAAAGGGACAGGAATGATTATTCATTCCCCTAACCCACCCACTCTTAGTGAGCTCAGCCTCACATTATCCTGGGCAACCCCAGCGTTCTGTGGATCAGACAGCAAGCAGAAGGGAAGCCATGCAGGCCAGGTCAACGGGGTGAGTCAGTGGCAGAGCAGGAAGAGTCACTGGGGCAGAAATTCTGGCCTTCTGTGGCAAGACTGCCAAGCCACACCCACACTTGGTCAGCACTGTGAAGGCCCTGCCCTGTTAGGATTTCAGTCTTTAAGCCAGAAAACTTCTTCCTCAGGAGGCCCCACACCACTCTCATTTTCAAGTGTCTCTCCTCCTGCTCAAAAATCTTCCAGTTTTCTTCTCCCTAAAGCATCATATCTAAATTCTTTGGCTTAACTTTCCAAATCCTCCATTATATGGCCTCAAGTCATTTATTCAACCTTATTTCCCACTATTCTACAGAATATACTCTGAATTGATCAAGCCAGTCTTCCCACTTCTCTCTGCGTGAGCCAAGCCTTTTCTCATTTCCCTGCTTTCAATTATCCAGGAGTGGTAAATTCAAACATCTTCAGGGGTCAGGCAGGTAACAGAAACAAATTATCCAGGCAAGGCCCAGTGGCTCACAGCGGTAATCCCAGCACTTTGGGAAGCCAAGGTGGGCAGATCGCTTGAGCTCAGGAGTTCCAGACCAACCTGGGCAACATAGTAAAACTCCGTCTCTACAAAAATACAAAAAATTAGCTAGGTGTGGTGGAGTGTGCCTGGGTCCCACCCACTTGGGAGGCTGCAGTGAGCTGAGACCGTGCCACTGGACTCCAGCCTGGGCAACAGAGCGAAACCACGTATCCAAACAAAACAAAATGAATGATCCAGTGGGGCACATGGCAGATCTAGGAAACGCTGCACCCCCCTAAAGGCATTCAAATATTTTAATTCAAATATTTATGTAGTGTCTCACTGTGAGCATCACGATAACCTTTTAAATAGTTATTAATACTCTATCTTGCAAATGAGAAAACTTCCCCAAGGTTAGGTAACTGGCAAAATGCTGGGCACAGTCTCTAGACCTGTCTGATGCCAAAGCAAGAGCTCTACACCATTAGGCTTCTAGCAGTGCAAACACCATGGAAGATACAGAACCCTCAAAGTCACTTTTCATGATACACAACCTTAATAGTAGGATGGGAAGCCCAAATCACAGCTTATCTAACCATATCCCAACTGCCTCCAATTCTGTTCATTTTCCAAACCCCATCTTTCTGCCAAAGTATTTCATTCCTAGTTATCCAAGTCCTACTGAATTCCTTCTTCTGTAAATTCCTATAGGGTTTATAGATTAGACAACACAAATAAGTGCTAAATTATATACTGTCTTGCAAAATCAGATACTGCTTCTATGTATTTTAGTGTCAGCCTCATCAATCAAACTATTGTATTAATCTATATAGTTCTTCTACCAAAAATGCCTAACCTGAATCTAATCAAGAAGAATCAGACAAATGCTATGAAAGACAAAAAGGCATTCAGATTAAAAAAGAACTGTTCAAAGTTAAAGCAGACTAAAGACATGATAGTCATGACAACTAAGTGCATAAATACATGCATGATCCTTCAATGAATCCTGAATTTTAAAAAACTCAATAAAAGACATCACTGGGAAAAGATGAGAAATCTGAACAAGTATTATATACTGGATGTATTGAATCAATGTTAAGTTTCCTGAGTGTTAATAGTACTGTAGTTATATAGGAAGATACCTTTTTCTTAGGAAATACTTGCTGAAATAGGGATTAAATAACATGATATTTACATCTAACAGTCAAAAAGATTCAGAAAATGAAGGATAAATAGACAGCAAATTTGGCAAAATGTTAATAGTGACTCTAAATGAGAAGTATATAAGTATTTGTTACATTATTTTGCAAAATATCTATAGGTTTGAAAATTTTCAAAATAAAATAATTTAGTAAGGAGGGAAATCCTGTATTATATACTTTTTTATATACTCAGCTCTGTGACAGATATAATAGGCACTCATTACTTTAGGTATCTGCTCACTACCTAAGGAAACTGGGCATTTGGAGGTCAGCAATCAGACAGAGTCCACTTTGCTGCAGCTCATGAGGGGTATAGTAGGAAATTCTTAGGGAATAAGAGGTTTCTCCAAAACTCACATTGTCACACCACAGGAAATCTAGAAAAGCAGGCAATTACCTCACTCCTCATTGAGGCCATCACAGAAGTACAGGCACTGAACAAATGCCCACTCGCTAGGCAGAATGCAGCTGCTGCCCACACGTTAGTACCCAGTGGTAAGGTGGATACAATGTGACCTCAGAGGACCAAGAGTTGAGGTCACATTGCATCCACCTTGCCACCGGGTACCAAAAATTTGACAATCTGCAAAACAAGTGTCTCTGGCCAGTCACAGGAAGGCACTCAAGTATCAAATAAACATGCCTGAAATATATGCAGTCTTTCCTCCTCACCAGATAAACCAGTCCTCAGCTGCAATAAGGCAGAAGAAATCTGCAAGGCTGAATCACTGGTATTTCCTGTGCAGACTTCAAAGAAACTGGCCCTTCAATAGGACAGAAAGGGCAGGCGACACAGCTGCCAACAGAGGCCTCAACCCAGGAGCATGCTATGCAATAATGCCTTCTCTCCCTTCTACAGCCATCAGATACCTCATTTTTACTTCTGCCAAATGGCCCCTTATTACCGCGACTGATTACCTAATAGCCAACCCTTTACCTTGGTTCTCTCCTCCCCTCAATGAGACCCAAGATACTGGCCTTTCTAGACAGCTCCTCCTCCAATTTGCCAGAGGAATTGTCAAAACTATTCCCCTGGCCAGGCACGGTGGCTCACGCCTGTAATCCCAGCACTTTGGGAGGCCAAGGCGGGCGGATCACACTGTCAGGAGATAGAGACCACGGTGAAACCCCGTCTCTACTAAAGATACAAAAAATTAGCTGGGCGCGGTGGCGGGTGCCTGTAGTCCCAGCTACTCGGGAGGGGAGGCTGAGGCAGGAGAATGGCGTGAACCTGGGAGGCGGAGCTTGCAGTGAGCCGAGATCGCGCCACTGCACTCAAGCCTGGGTGACACAGAGCGAGACTCCGTCTCAAAAAAAAAAAAAAAAAAAAGCTGCCTAGGCCAGGCACAATGGCTTACACCCATAAACCTAGCACTTTGCGAGGCCGAGGCAGGAGGATTGCTTGAGCTCAGGTGTTCAAGACTAGCCTGAGCAACACAGCAAGACCTTGTCTCTACTAAAAATCAAAAAAATTAGCCGGGTGTAGTCCCAGCTACACTACTTAGGAGGCTGAGGTGGGAAGACAGCCACTGCACTCCAGCCTGGGTGACAGAGCGAGACCCTGTCTCAAAAAAAAAAAAAAAAAAGTTGCCCACAGTAGGAGGTAGAGGAGAGGCCATTATTAAGCACACTCTCAGTAAACCATGAATCTGACAGAGCTACCCAAAACATCAATGCAGTCTTAAGCTGCATTAGTAGAAGATGACTCTATGCCCCACCTTTGAAGAGCAAAGTTAGAGGACTTGCAGAGGAAGAACACCAATGACCATGGCAAAGGGTCTAGAAGTATATCATTTCAAATATGGAGGAAGAACTACACACTTTTAGCCAGGGGAGAACAAGAAAACTTTTTTCAAATATACGCATAGCTTTCACATAGATGAGGAGAAAGACTTATGAGTCCACTATAAGAATACAAAACCAGAACTAATGAGTGGAAGTTACAGGAAGACTGATTTTGGTTTGCCACAGGGAAGAAATTTCAGCATGTTGTAGAAGTTCAGAATGTGGGATGTAGAACCCAGAATGCTTGGATTAGGATGTCAACTCCACCACTTATAAACTGTGTGGCTTTGGGGAGATTAATCTACCTGTGCCTCAGTTGCCTTCCCTGTAAAAGAGAATAGTAATAATAGAACTTAGCTCACAGAGCTTTAAGAAGTAGCTTCCGAGGCTGGCTGCGGTGGATCAGGCCTGTAATCCCAGCACTTTGGGAGGCTGAGGCAGGTGGATCACCTGAGGTCAGGAGTTCAAGACCAGACTGGCCAACATGGGGAAACCCGTCTCTACTAAAAATACAAAAAAAATTAGCTAGGCTTGGTGGCGCATGCCTGTAATCCCAGCTACTCAGGAGGATAAGGCAGGAGAATCGCTTGAACCCAGGAGGCAGAGGTTGCAGTGAGCCAAGATCACGCCATTGCACTCCAGCCTGGGCACCAGGAGCGAAACTCCATCTCAAAAAAAATTAACCAGACGGTAGTGGTGTGCGCCTGTAATCCCAGTTACTCGGGAGGCTGAGGCAGGAGAATCATTTGAACCTGGGAGGTGGAAGTTGCAGTGAGCAGAAATCACACCACTGTACTCCAGTCTGGGTGATAGAGAGAGGCTCCATCTCAAAAAAAATAAAAAGAAGTAGTTTCTGTAAAGTACTTAGAACAGTGCCTAGTTCACAATATACGCTGGAAAAAAAATGTTACCTATTGCTATTACTAAATGTTGATACAACAGACCAGGCTGGGTGTGGTGGTTTGTGCTTGTAATCCCAGCACTTTGAGAGAACTGCTTGAGCTCAAGAGTTTGAGACCAGCCTGGGCAACATAGTGAGACCTCGTCTCTACTAAAAATAAAAAGAGTTGCCAGGCACAGTGGCGTGCACTTGTAGTTCCAGCTACTCAGCAGGCTGAGGTGGGAGGATAGCTTGAGTCCAGGAGATCGAGGCTGCAGTGAGCTATGATGACGCCACTGCACTCCAGCCAGAGTGACAGAGCAAGACTCTGTCTCAAAATAACAAACAGGCTGGGTGCAATGGCTCACGCCTGTAATCCCAGCACTTTGGGAGGCTGAGGCGGGTGGATCACCTGAGGTCAGGAGTTCGAGACCAGCCTGGGCAACATGGTCAAACCCTGTCTCTACTAAAAATACAAAAATTAGCTGGTTGCAGTGGCACGTGCCTGTAATCCCAGCTACTTGGGAGGCTGAGACAGGAGAATCACTTGAGCCCGAGAGGCGGAGGTTGCAGTGAGCCAAGACTGTGCAATTGCACTCCAGCCTGGGCGACAGAGTGAGACTCCATCTCAAAATAAATAAATAAATAAATAAATAAATAAAATAAAAATAATATACAATACAAAAAACAGACCAGATAACCTGAAGCCCTTCCTACTAAATATGCCTAGAAGTGCTCAGAAAAATATAATAAACATCCTTCTAGACTGTGCCAGCTATTAAGGTATTGTCTCTCAGCTCCAAATCTACCCTGTTATGCTCCGCTTTGTGATGCTGGGGCCTGGACTCCACTAAACCCCATTTCACATTTGCCAGCTGGATCCCTGTCAACAGGGGGTGCTAAGGGGAAAACAGAAGACAAGAGAAGGCTACAAGGGACTTCCTCCTTCTTGTAGCCTGGTGTTTCTTGACAACAGAAGTTGGTTCTTCCCAGTTGCCTTCTAAACTCCCAAAACCAGCCTCCTGCCCCTCAAAGGCACCAGCATCAGCTAAGTAAGGCTCAACAGAAGCCAGCTCCTCCAGGTTCCTCCTATAAGGGCCTGAGAAACCAGCAGCACCAGGTAACACCCTCTCCAGAGAATCTGGGTACAGCTATTCCAGATCCCTCTAGACTTCTAGGTTCTGGTAGCCCCAACCTTCCTCCCTTTGTTTTTCAGTCCTGGATGAGAAAAATTCTTTATGCAGTTATTATATTGAAGTTACTTTAATATTCCCTTTCTGCTTTTTCAGCCCTCCACCAAGGGTTTAAATCAATCTCCTTTATGGAGTTCACTCTATTGTGTGGTTTCTGTTTTGCTGATTGGATCTGAACTGACATATAGATAAACTGAGCTCTCAAGAAAGTAAGAAAAATCCCCAGGAACCAGAAACAAATTAGTGAGGAGGATTAGCGAGCTGATGACATAGCTGTCCTAGCCGTGTATGGAATTTGTAACACCCTCATAGGTTCAGAAGACAGATCTTGAGTCCACAAAAGGCACTGAGATCCCTGTGCAGAGGCTGAGATTCTTAAGTTTATACTCAGTAAGATAATAGACTAGGAAAAAAAATCTGTCCAGAGAGAAATAAAAAACTTGCCTTGCTCACCTAGTGAGAAAGGAGGGAAAAACCGTCTAGGAATTCAAAACAGGCTGGGTGAAGTGGCTCACGCCAGTAATCCCAGCACATTGGGAGGCTGAGGTGGGTGGATTGCTTGAGCCCAGGAGTTCGAGACCAGCCCGGGCAACATGGCAAAACCCTGTCTCTACAGAAAATATAAAAATTTGCCGGGTATGGTGGTGTGCACCTGTAGTCCCAGCTACTTGGGAGGCTGAGGTGGGCGGACTGCTTGAGCCCAGGAGGCAGAGGTTGCAGTGAGCCAAGATCCTGCAACTGCACTCCAACCTGGGCAACAAAGCCAGACAGATCCTATCTCAAAAAATAAAATAAAATAAAATAAAATTCTAGGAAGCAGACATTAATATGTAGTGAAAAACAAACAAACGATCAGTGGTTCCTGGTATCAGGGTGAAAGGAAAAACGGACTGTAAAGAAGTATGAGAGCCGGGCACGGTGGCTCACGCCTGTAATCCCAGCACTTTGGGAGGCCGAGGAGGGCAGATTACCTGAGGTTGGCAGTTCAAGATCAGCCTGACCAACATGGTGAAACCCCATTTCTATTAAAAATACAAAATTAGCTGGGCATGGTGGTGCATGCCTGTAATCCCAGCTACTCAGGAGGCTGAGGCAGGAGAATCGCTTGAACCCAGGAGGCAGAGGTTGCAGGGAGCCGAGATTGCACCACTGGACTCCAGCCTGGAGAATAAGAGTAAAATCCATCTTAAAAAAAAAAAAGCATGAGAAATCTTTTGGGGGTGAGAGAAATCCTCTGTATCTTGATTATGGCTGCTGTTTACAGGTGTAGACATCTGCCAAAACTCAACTTTCTTGAAAATTATTACAGACACAAAATTGAAAACATGAGACAAAAACAAGATCACGAAAAACAAGCAGATTTGAAAATGAACCAAAGAGCACTTCTAATAAATGAAAAAGTTAGCTAATAAAAATAAGAATTCAAAAAACAAATTAGACCTAGCTGAAGAGTAAACTAGTATACTAGAAGATAGATATAAGGAAATTATCCAGAAGTTAACACAGAAAGATAGAAATGGAAATTATGAAAGAAAGAATAAGATGTAGACGACAGAATGAGGAAGTTCAACATAAGTTACGCATGAGATCTGAGAGAGGTAAAGAGGTAATGATTGGGAATTTTTACACAATTAGTGAAAAGATATGAAATTTCAGATTAAGGAATTACTATATGCCCCCAGTATATAGTGATTTAAGAAAATTAAATTCACACCATGTAATGGAAGTACAGAACACAAATGACAGCAAAGAAGATCTTAAAAACAAACAGAAAGAAAGACAGGTTACCCACAATAAAATAAGTTAATTTGCAAGCATAGTTCTCAAGAGTAACAACAAAAAGCCAGAATTTCAATGAAAAAACACTTTCAAAGTGCTAAGAGACAATAATTGGAAGCCTAGTACCCAGCTAAACTACCAATCAAGACTGAAAGTGAGCTGGGCACAGTGGCTCATGCCTATAATCCCAGCACTCTGAGAGGCCGAGGCGGGAGGATCACAAGGTCAGGGGATCGAGACCATCATGGCTAACACAATGAAACCCTGTCTCTACTAAAAATACAAAAAATTAGCCAGGCGTGGTTGCGGGCGCCTGTAGTCCCAGCTACTCGGGAGGCTGAGGCAGGAGAATGGTGTGAACCTGGGAGGCGGAGCTTGCAGTGAGCCGAGACTGTGCCACTGCACTCCAGCCTGGGCAACAGAGTGAGACTCCATCTCAAAAAAAAAAAAAAAACAAAAAACTGAAAGTGAAATAAAGATTTTTTAAATGAAGACAGTGTTTACCACTAACAGATTCCCACTGGACAAACATCTGAAGGATGTATGTATCTATGCAATAAAAAAGGAAGGAATAAAATGCAAGGAAAAATAGTGAAAAAGCAAACAGTAGACATACATGGGTAAAATGAAATAATCACTAACAATACAAAACAATAAACATATTTTAATTGTGTTGGGGTCTCACTCTGTTGCCCAGGCTAGCTAAGAACTCCTGGGCTCAAGCCATTCTCCCGCCTGCTCCTCCTGCCTCAGCCTCCAGAGTAGTTGGGATGACAGGGCAAGCCACCATGCCCAGCTACAAAATAATAATTATCAATTAGAATTGTTCAGCTTAGAGATGGATTGACTTTGGGAATGATCTCATTCTAGAAAGTACTCATTTTGAGTCTGGACAACACCTTTTGGTATGTTTAGTGTACACTGGGTAAGAGGCTAAATTAAATGACCACACCATATATTAGGTTAATGCAAAAGTAACTGTGGTTTTTGCCATTACTTTCAATGGCAATAACTGCAATTACTTTTGCACAAACCTAATATCTTCTGATCATAGTTTTATCAATTAGACACAGCTGTCCAAACAGCCCCTGATCAGCTCTGTTCAGCCACCTGAGCAGGGCTTTGCCCTCATCCTAAAAGTTCTAGAATTCAAGTCTTATTTCAAGGCATTCTTCCCACTTCCATGTTCCACATGTAAAAAAGAATTCTACGTTTCTTAACGAGCTTTCAGGTAAGATCTTTAAGCTTTTGGAATGTACCGCTTTTCGCTGTGAACTAAGAGCTTAGACATTACAATTAGTCATCCCTTGCTAGAACTTAGGCTACGAAAAGAATACTTTGGAAGCTTTCACAAAAAAGTATGTGGTTCTTCCTCTAAAGAAGAAAATACCACACAGAAAGAGGGACTGAGGAAACATAAACCCATCTGTGCTGACAGAAAGCTACCTTACATGATCCTCATGTTCGCCCCAGGTTCCCATATATTCACAGCAGTAAAGATCTCCACAAAGCAGAGAGGCCCAACTCCCTTACCATTAAAGCTTTAACGACCAGACAACCCAGAAGTTTGGAAACATAGAACCAGGCAACAGATACTAGAGAGAGGGAATTATGTATTAAAGCAAGAAAATATCATCACGTTTTCAAGAGGGAGTGCCATTCCAGTAAAGAGGACAGCTTAATACTGAGGTTCAAATGCCACTAAATGAAAACGGGAAAGCGAAATTCCTGTGCCCTTTCAGCCCAAGAAATTATTCCAAAGCATACATTTATTCCCATTACATGTCGCAAATCCTGCCTAGCCATTAGGATACAGTGACGAAAAAGTCTCTCGTTATCTAGAAGGGCAGACAAACACGCAGACTTTTAAAATACCAGATGGCAGGCCGGGCGTGATGGCTCACGCCTGTAATCCCAAGCACTTTGGGAAGCCGAGGCGGGCGGATCACGAGGTCAAGAGTTCAAGACCGGCCTGGCCAAGATGGTGAAACCCTGTGTCTACTAAAAATACAAAAGTTAGCCGGGTGTGGTAGCGGGCGCCTGTAATCCCAGCTACTCGGGAGGCTGAGGCAGGGAACTGTTTGAACCCGGGTGGCAGAGGTTGCAGTGAGCCGAGATCGCGCCACTGCACTCCGGCCTGGGCGATAGGGCGAGACTCCGTCTCAAAAAAAAAAAAAAATGACAAGTGCTAACTCAGAGGTAAGCAAAAGAGAGTACCCAGAGGCGGCAGCATCAACCCAGTGGGCTCCCGCCCACCCACAATCTTCACACAGTCACACCACTTATAGTCATAAATTTGTACTCTCCGAGGTGCGTGTATGAAACATGTTATCTGTGAGAGTCCATGGATGAAAAACAAAAACAAACAAAAATTAAAAAAAAAAAAAAAAAAGACTTAACCTGTTTTGACCAGGACAACCACCCCAGGAAGTAGGTAAGGCAGGTAAGGTCATTGTTTACATATATGAAAAGTGAGGCTCAAAATACACTGACCAGTCCAAGACAACGCGCGCCCCCACAAAGCACCTTCCCCGTCCCCATTTATGCCCAACCCATAAACCCAAAGTAGAGCCAACCTCGCACTGGCTACGTAACCCGGGCCAAGCTAAACATTATAAACCTCAGGCTCCCCATCTTTAAAGTATAACAGGTGGTTAGAAGATTAAAAAGATAAACATTTGGCAGGTCATTGTGGACGGTGTAGCTCAGAAAATGCTGACTACTGCACTACCATAACTACTGCTATTGTTAACGATAAAAGGCAAAGACTTTCCAGGACCCGACCCCTCGCTTACAAGCCTTTCGGGAACTTGCCCTATACCCCCGACCCCAGTCACCTTCAGATTTAATTCCACAGACACGCCCCCAAACAGACCCTCCCCTTTAAGGCACCCCCCCCCCCCCCGGCTCCTCCCTCTCAGGCGCCTCTCCTCACAAACCTTACCCCCATAGATTCTGCCCTTTCGGACTCGGTTATGGAGGAGGCCTTCCGCTCGCAGCGGCCTCTCCAGCACCCCTTTTAGGCCTGAGCACCCGCAGGGGTGCCCAGGCCGCACGCCAAACGCGGGCCCGCGCCGGTTACCTGGCTGCGCGCTCCCGCTCTGCCTCGCGATTCTCCGGAATCGTACCTCTTCGTGGGCTCGCGCCAGCGCTGTGAGCGCACAATTAGTTTAAACTATGGCCCCGCCCCCTCGCGCTGCCCTCTGATTGGCCTCTGTCGGCGGGGCCCGCTTAAGGACCCGGGAAAAGGAAGTTTGAGGGCCACTGGGAAAGAGAAGGGGTATCACCGCTTCCGGACCCCGGCCTGTACTTGAAGGCAAAGAGAACTACAAATCCCAGCGTCACCCGCGGCCTTGAAGCCCCGCCCCTGACAAACTGAAGGTCCCGGTAAGCATCGCGTCAGTACTTATGGCGCCTGCCGGGTTGTGGTGACGAAAGCAGTTGCCATGGAGTTGCTCTGAGTAACCCTGAGGCAGTGGGACGCCAAGACTGGAGAGGAAGCGACTGCGGGTGAGTCGGGCGGGAAAACAGGAAACCCGTTCTAGGGGACAAGAGATCTATGGAGAAGGGAGGGGCACTCACAGAACGACTAAGAACCTTCCTGCTCGGGGATCTGAGATTTCCCCCACCGACCCTCATCACCTTTCACAGCGAACAAGATACAACACTCACATGGGACAGACTGGGCGAGGGGGAGCAGAGGGAGGGATAGGCGTTGAGATATATATCCATACAGATTTGGGGATGCTTAAGAACCACCCCCAGGGCCGGGAGCGGTGGCTCACGCCTGTAATCCCAACACTGGGAGACCAAGGCGGGCGGACCACTTAAGGCCAGGAGTTCGAGACCAGCCTGAGAAACATGGCGAACCCTGTCTCTACCAAAAACATAAAAAAATTAGCCGGGCTTGGTGGCGCGCTCCAGTGGCCCCAGCTACTAGGGAGGCTGAGGTAGAAGGATCGCTTGAGCCCGGAGATTGAAGCTGCAGTGAGCCGTGATCACGCAACTACACTCCAGCCTGGGCTATAGAGCGATACCTCCATCTCAAAACAAAACAAAACGAAACAAAACAAAAACAAAACAAAACAACGAACCCCGCCCCCAACGCAAACATAAAGCTCCCAAAATCGGATGCTTCAAGTTCCAGGCATAACCTGGGAGATCAGAAACGCCCTCAGAAATGGGGTTGGTTTTCCTCTGAGGAACTGAGACCCTCTTCCAAGACATGCGGTTAGCATTAGATTGAGTAAATCGCAGTCGCTACCCTAATTCTAGAGATGTAGGAAACTTCCTGGGGCGTGAAGTGCCTCATTCCTTCTTCTTCCAAGGAGTAAAACCCCTTCTCAATCTGTCCCCAGATTCCCTTTTCTCCCCACACCTTCTCCGTGGTCCGCTACTCAAAGCTCTACAGTTAGAGCTTCATTTTTTTTAGTACTCACGACAGATCTATTACATTTAGTAACCTACCCAGTGCTTTCACAGTCTCTCTTTTGATACTCTTAACAGCTCTGTGAGTCAAGGATATTTATCTTCATTTCACAGATTGGAAAACTGAAACCCAGAGAAAAGGGACTTGCCCAAGGCCACACACCAAATTAGTGACAGAGCTAGAACTAGACTCCAGTTCTCCGACTTCCAGCTAAGTCTCTTTAGCTTCAGCCTACTGCCTCTATAGCGGAAGGACTTGTTCCAAGGAACAAGTTAAACTGCCCCAGGGAAAAGGAACCTGTGTGGCCTACTTTGTATTATTTACACTTCAGCTGGAATGAATTTCAGATCCTCCCCTGAAACTTTTAATGGGGAAAAGGAACTAGAGAGACTAAGACAATGAGACTTGAACATTTTTAACTAAACAGGAAACAGAAGGGCTAACACAGCACCCATGTCTGAAGTGACCATGATTAGCTGGTTTCTAGCTGGTGACTAGCTGGCCCTGACTGGTCCACTTACTACCTTAAAGTTCTCCCAGGTTTGGTCCTACGCCCTCTTGCCACTGCACTCTATATTCTCTTCTTGGGTACCCCTCCACACCCACAACTTCATTTTCCACCTGTATGCAAATGTACACAAGTGTGTATCTCAAGCCCAGCCCTCATCTCTAAGCTCCAGATCTATATAGCCAATTGCCTCAACATCTCCTTTAGGATACCTCAAAGGCAACCCAAACTCTACATTTCTGAAATTGAAACAATCTCTGTGTATCCCAACCTTTTCCTCCAAGCCTGGATCTCTTCCAGTGCTCCTACCTTTATCCACAATATACCCAAGCCCAAAACCCAAGTTAGTACCTCTTCCATTTACTTAATACCTCTTCCATTTCCCATCTATCACTAAGTCTTATCAGCTTTACTTCCTGAATATCTTTTATATAGGTCCTAGCTACCATCACATCCTTCCTGCCTTCCCTCCCAGCCATATTTGCGCACTGCAACCAGAGTGATCCTTCAAAATGCAAAGCTGATACTGTTCACTCTCTACCCCACCCCCAATTTTTTTTTTTTCTTTTTGAGACAGAGTTTCGCTCTTGCTGCCCAGGCTGGAGTGCAATGGCGCAATCTCGGCTCACAGCAACCTCCACCTCCCGGTTTCAAGCAATTCTCCTGTCTCAGCCTCCCAGGTAACTGGGATTACAGGCATGCGCCACCACACCCGGCTAATTTTATATTTTTAGTAGAGACGGGGTTTCTCCATGTTGGTCAGGCTGGTCTCGAACTCCCGACCTCAGGTGATCTGCCCACCTTGGCCTCCCAAAGTGCTGAGATTACAGGCGTGAGCCGCCACGCCCAGCCAGCCCCCATTTAATATTAATACTATGTGGTTTCCTATTGCTCCCATCTCTCCAGCCTCCAGTCTAACCATACATATTCATCCTTCTCTCCCCTTCAGTTATATAACCTTTAAGGTCTTCAAAATTTCCAAGTACCCTTCCACCATAGAACCTTTGCATATAGCAGTCACATCTGCCTGGAATGCTCATTCCACACCACCCCCTACCCCATAAGTTAATTTGTACTTATCCTTTAGATTTCTCTCAGTCACTTCTTCAGGAATGTCTTCCTGTAGACTGTTCAGACCAGGTCAGATCCCTCAATTACAGCAACCTCATGGCCCTCTCCTTTGTAGTATTATTTAGTTGCAATTTTTAATGTGTTTGTTAAGCACCTACTACTTGCCGGCACTATGAGATACAACTGTAAGAAAAAATATGGTTTCTGCCCTGCTGGTGTTTATGGACATACAGATAGTAAGCAGATAATTACAGTGTTACGAGTGCTACCATGGCAATCATAGCACTACAATTACAGATTTGAGGATAAAGGTAGACTTCTCAGAAAAGTTGAAACCTGATCTGAGCCCTGAAATAAGAATTAGCAAAGCAAAAGGAGGAGAGAAAAACTATATTCCAAGCAGACAGAGCTGGAAGGAGACACTGTTCCACTTAGAGGCCCAGTGGCAGGTGCAGGGAACTTATGGTGAGTGGTTGCATTTGGCTAGACTGCAGAATTGGAGTTGAGGATGAGATGGTAGTAGAGGGGGGTGGACAGGAGCCAGGTTGAATCTTGGTCCTCCTTTTGGCACCTGGGAATATAACCTCCCAGAATATATTAGATTATGTGGCAGATTTTTCTTCTTTTTCTTTTGACAGGGTCTCGCTCTGTTGCCCAGACTGGAGTGCAGTGGCACAGTCATAGCTCACTGCAGCCTCGAACTCCTGGGCTTGAGCCATACTCCTACCTCAGCTTCCCAAGTAGCTGGGACTATAGGCGTGAGCTGCCATGCCTGGCTAAATATGTGGCAGATTTTTCATAGCAGCCTTTGATTTTTTTTCCACCATCAGTCCATCATCAGAAACTCTCGGGCCAGGCTGTTGAATCTCCTATCAGATTTATGTGATTATTCCTCAAAGCTTCCTGTGTTATCATGTTGCAACTTGCCTGAGAGAGGGCAGGAATAGGCTAGCAACAAATCAAATTCCAAATGTTAGTAATTTCCCAAAACTGAAAACAGTTTTCTGTCAACTTGGGATTGGTTAAATAAATTAAGTGAATAACATTAAAGTACGATACATAGTATAAAATACTTTGCAACTATTAAAAAGGGTAATAGTCTACAACAATTTGAAAATTAAAAAATAGGTTTACAAAGGAATATTGTTTATTTAAAAATATACATAATCTAGGCTGGGCACAGTGGCTTACACCTGTAATCCCAGCACTTTGGGAGGCCAAGGTGAGTGAATAGCTTGAGCCCAGGAGTTTGAGACCAGCCTAAGCAACATGGCAAAACTGTGTCTCTACAAAAAATACAAAAATTAGCAGGGTGTGGTGACGTGTGCCTGTAGTCCCAGCTACTCAGGAAGCTAAGGTGGTGGGATTGCCTCAGCCCAGGAGGCAGAGGTTGCAGTGAGCTGAGGTAGCACCATTGCACTCCAGCCTGCACAACAGAGCGAGACCTTGTCTCAAAAAAAAAAAAAAAAAAGAAAACCGTGTGTGTGTGTGTGTGTGTGTGTGTGTGTGTGTGTGTGTGTGTAAAACCTTATTAGCTATACATTCTAGGTTATATTCCCAAACTGTTAATGGAGATTCAAACTTTGAGTTTCTATTTGATGTACTTCTTGTCATTTCACTTTATTCATCTATCATATTAGCTTTTACAGTTAAAAAACAAAACAGTTAAAGATACTGTCAATTTGGAAATGAGAAATTCCAGTTCCGAAACAAGGCAGGTATGCCCCTAACCCTGTCATTCATCAAGTTAGTCAGTCTGGACAGATGAAGGTGCTGGCATCTGATTACCTCCTGGTCATAAGCCAGAATAGCAGATGGGAAAGACTGACTCCAAAAACACAGCCACAGGAGTAAGCATGGCAGCATCAACACTTTGTCAGTTCTCCCCAGCAGTCAAGCTCTCTATGTGACACCTTGAAGACTCCATTAATTCCTTCATTTCTTCTTTCATTTTTCCATTGTCCATCCATTTTCATTTGTCCATCAAACCTTTAGTGAATATGGATTTTTTTTTTTTTTTTGGCCAGGCTCAATGCAGGGTAATGATGAGAAGGGAGAAAGAAGTCTGAGTCTTGTCCCTGTCCTCAAGCTTATAGGGAGTAAACAAAGTTGGTTATAATGAAATTAACAGAGAATACAACTGCTTCCATTTATTGAGCACCTGATGCCAGATGTACAATAGTTCTCAAGGTAGGGTTTGTCTCCATTTCACAGATGAGTAAACAAGCTGTAATAAAATTTTGTTTGAAGTACAGTGGGGGCATGCAGAAGTTAGCTATTGCCGTGTAATAAACCATCCCAAAACACAGTGGCTTAAGATAATAAACATTTATTATTGCTTCTAAGTCTTAGAGTCAGCTGGAGGGTTCTTCTGCTTTGGCTGGGCTTACTCATGTGTCGGCAGTCATCTGTGGGTTGGGTGACTCTCCTGATCTTGACTGGGGGTAGGCTGACTGTGGGCTAGTCTAGGATGGCTTCAGCTGGTATCTCTGGCTCTTTTGCATGTCTCTCACCTACACATCTCATAACCCTCCAGCTGATCAGCCATGTTCTCATGGCACTGGCAAAGAGCAAGAGGGCAGGCCTCCTTTAAAGCTTCTGTTTGCTTCATGTTTATCGACATCTCATTGGCTAAAACAAGTCACATGTCTGGTCCCAGCATCAGAGTGAGATGGGACTACAATGTTATAGGCAAAAAGAGATGGATACAGGGGAGACCATGAATAGGGATCATCAAAACAATCAGCCTAACACAGGACACATTAACCAATTTTATCTGGAAAAGAAAGGCTTTATAGAAGAGGCTACACTAGAACTGAGTGTTGAAACATGAGAGAGTATTCACTAAGTGGGCAGCTGTTACTTGGAACTGGATGCAGGCTGGTTTACCACAATCAATAGAAACTCAGCAGGTCTTTCTGTGCTCATGACAGGGTTCTATTATTTGTATCTTGGCTTCATTTCTTCTGGTCAGGCACAGAGCAGCAAGCACTCAACAAATGTTTGCTGAATTGAATTGAATATCTTACTGTGAACAAGGTGTGGACTGAAACAGCTGAACCTGGGAACCAATTGTTAGAAAGAACAGCTTAGCATCAACTCTTCTGAAACAGAAATCCTCAGAATTGGCAGTTTCTCATTCATTCATCCCACAAACATTTTGAGTGCCTGTTGTAAACCTGGTTCTATGTTGGATAATGAATAAGATGCGATACTAGCTCACAGCCTGGGCTACAGCTTAAATGCAGAAGGCTAAAAATTTAACCAGCTTCTTGGGGCTCCATTTTTAATACTAATCCATTCAGAAAATGCAACAGGAGCTGGTGCTACACAAAATCAGAAGTCTTTAGGAACTGCACTGGGTTGCTCTGTCAAGAAAACTAACAGTAAAAATCTGCCCTTAAGTATTTTAAGTTAAAATCCATGTTCAGTGGTGCATAACTCTGGGGTACCAACCCAGTATTTACTTTGAGAAAAGTATCCAATCTTGCTCAAAGGTATCAAATCTGCTGTAGGTGCTGAAGTGGGATGAGCTTCTATCTAAGCTAGGTTCCTCTAGTTCTGTAGTAGACAGCCAGGTTCCTCTATTTTTACAAAAGAATAATGTGTTCTTTGTTGTCTGCCTGTAGATTTAATATCTAAAAGATTCAAGTCTCCCTAATTGACAATCCATGCCCATGGGACCAGTTCATAACAGAATTAAGCTGTGAAGTGACTCAATCTGTCACCTCCCCAAAGCTCAGCTGGTACTGCTATTTTTTCAGAACAAGACATTCATTTTCCTCTAAACCTACTAAACTTGATCCATGTATATGTTAAATTGCCAAAAAAGGAATTTACATGAACTGTATTAGGCTTAAACTGAATTATAAGATATCAGGTCCTTGGTTTTTAACAGAAATTCTTTTTTTTTTTTTTTTTTTTTTTTTTTTCCTGAGACAGGGTCTACAGGGTCTTGCTCTGTCGCCCAGGCTGGAGTGCAGTGGCACAATTATAGCTCACTGCAACCTCCAACTTCTAGGCTCAAGCAATCCAACTGCCTCAGCCTCCCGAGTAATAAATTCCATTTTAAAGTTGTTTGCCAATTTCATTGTCTCTGCAAACTAATTTATCCTTTGAATCCAATGATGAGAACTGCAATCCCAAGGTTTCTCTTTTTGCTTTGGCTGCCAGGAATTTCAGAGCTAAATGTAGGCTTAGATTCTTAAAGTGCCTGGCACATCTCTCTCTTCCTGTAATCTAGTTTCTGATCTTTCTCTTCCATTTTTAACTTTCTAATCTGCACTGTCCAGTATGGTAGCCACTAGTCACGTACATTTGACAGGTAGGCTAGTCCAAATTGGGATGTGCTGTAAGTGTAAAATATCTCAGTAAGTTTTAATATTGATTACATATTGAATGATTTTTTGATATATTGGGTAAAATTAAGTTATTAAAATTAATTTCACCACTTCATTTTACTTATTTTGGCTACTAGAAAATTTTAAATTATATATATGGCTTGCATTTGTGACATTATATTTCTAGTGGATGGCACTATTCTGCAAATCATCTGTTTTATGACTGTGTTATTATTGTAAACCTGAAATCCTTTTGGAAAGCAGGTGAAGTAATACAAATAATAATACAAAGGTGGCAGCAGTGGATGGAATGAGAAAGGGGAGGTCGACTGGGGCAAGTTCTTGTCCTTATCCTTGTCAATTTGTCTTTTGCTTGTGTGATTCACATACAAACCCCTTGGTAAAGTGTGTTGTCAGCTCTCTTCATCCCAGGTGAGTAGTATTCTCATGGCTCTCCCTTGTCTCCAGAAAAACCTCAGCTTTACTTTAGCTAACAAATTGGAAACGATCTGATAAGACAATTCACACCACATTGCAAGTGACTGATAACAACATTGTGTTCATCCCTGTCAGGGAGTATTTCCATTTTAACCGGAAACAATCCCTGAACCCACAGGAATGAATGCCTAATGGTGGAGTTTCAGCCATCAGTGACAGGTGAGTGAGAGGTAGACTCTGGTTTTGTGTGTGTGTATGTTTATATGTGTATGGCTACATTCAGGATAGGGCTGAAAGTAGGGTATTTGGATGGAAAGGTAATGGGGCTGGCAGAGAAGCCAAGCGGAGAAGGTGGCAAATCCCCAGCTGGGCCAGACTGAGAGGGGTGGTGAGACACCAACCAGATGCGGTGCAGGCCCTCAAGGATTTGTTAAGCAATAGAATAGCCCAGTTGATGTCAACAGAGGGTGGGTATCAAGACAGTCTCCACAGTAACTACTGTAGAGTAACAGAAAAGGTCTCAGAGTAGGATTCAGGAGATTATGACTGCAGTCTACAACTGACTCACTGGCTTAACTCTGGGCAAGTCCTTTTACCCCTTGGGTTTCAGTTTCTTCATCTGGCATTTTCCAGACAAAGAAATGGGTGTTCGATTCTCAAATGAGTTCTAAGAGATGTGAAGGTGCTCTGAGAAGTAGAAAGTGCTCTATACATGCAAGGATGCAAGGAAGAGTGATTTCATATCTTAAAATGGAAATACAGCCAGGCAGGCCTAGAGTAGTAGAGGACAGAAAGCAGGGATGGAGGACTATGGGGAAACCTGAAAGCCGGTGTACTTGAAACACTGGTCTTTCTCTGTCCTCCCAGGCTGAACCCAGACTCCCAGGGCACCTGCTTGCACCTTTGAATGATGGCCTGAACTATGAACAAACGGGACTATATGAACACTTCGGTACAGGAGCCCCCTCTTGACTACTCCTTCAGAAGCATCCACGTCATTCAAGGTCAGCCCCCAGAGCACAGTACTCCACTCACTAAGGCAGCAGGCCCAGTGTGGTCCCTAGGAAGAAACCATAATCTACTTAAAAGCCTAAAGAGATTCTTCCCATATGCTTGCAGATGTGTTGTTACTGTCTTTTGGAGGGTAGGGGAGAGTGAGAGGTTTTTTTCTGTCTTTTTGTTTGTTTTGATTTTGCCCCGATACAGCCCCAGGAGATCCTAAGAACATGTGCCCCTGTTTGTTTTTTTTAAGCAGCAAATCTGAAAGGAAACAGGGGGCTATCACAGTAGTTGATCATCTTTAAAAGAAGCCAGGCTACAGCAGGAAAGTCAAGTGGAAGAAAACTGGGAAGCCAGTCTATCAGCCAATAGTTTTATTCTCCTGTTTTTACCTGAAGAGAGGAGGAAAACACAGGCTCCTGTGGAGTCCCAGCAAGTAGGCAAAACCTTTCTCCTCTGTCTGCAGACACAAGCCTAATCTGACTGGCCAAACATGAGGGGTCTTATCTACAAACTGGCATATTTCCAGTTTAAATACTTACTGACAAATTTCTTACACTCATTCCAGCCAAATCCAAGTTTATTCCATCATCACCTACACTTATTGCAGGTTCCAACACTGTCCACACTCGCTCCCATTTTGCCATTCAATGTCTTTGTAAATGGGTAGCTAGTCCCTTCAGGAGGGAACATAGGGAGGCTGTCAGCCATGTCATATTCCCAATGAGTCATCCGTTCTTCCTAGGGAAGTTCTGCCATCCCTGGCTTTTGTTATCTGGTCTTTCATTAAAGCATCAGTCCATCTGTCCTCACAGAATACACGTTAACATCCACTATCTCAGAACTATTATTTGGCTTTAGTCTTCTCTCAGGCAACTGGTAGCCACTGCCTTTAAGCTCGGGAAGCTGGCAAATAGCACCAGTCTTAGATTGGGTTTAGGGTCTACTTGGGTTATCATCAGCCACAGTGGTAACTCACGTTTGTTCTCTCACGAGCACACAGCCACCTGCTGTGATCTTTATTGTGCACTGCATCACTTCTGATGTAATCCATGTTTCACAAGGGGTTTTAGCTGCAATAGTAACTATCTCTAAGACAGGTGCAATGACAGAGGTGGGAAGGAAGTATACCTCCTACCTATCATGGGAATTTCTAACTCTGATGGAGGAGGTGTAGCTCTGCCCTCTATGGAGTCCTCAGAATTGGGAGAGAGACAAGCAGTACCAAGGGTAACTCTACATCACAAAACGTAAATGGTACAGATGGCCCATCCTTCATTCAACCGTTCAATATTTACTGAGCACTTACTAAAAGCATTTATATATGTGTGTGTGTGTGTGCGTCATATGTATATGCCAGGTATTGTGCTCCTTGCTAGGTATGTGAGGCACATCAAAGGCCCAAAAGGTCAGAGTCCCTTCAGATTCCCCAGAGCTTCTGAAACACTTATTTACAGCTGGGGTTAAGGGATACAATAGAGTTTGGGGGTACCTGGCACACTATTTGGTGAATGAATAAATATTACAGAATCTGAAACGGCAGTGCCTTTGGAAGGCATCTAATCTGTGCTACCATCAACCCAGTTCCTCTAACTTTTCACAAACCTAGAGTGTTAAGGAAGTCCCCCACCATATACACCTACCAACACCTTCCAGTTGGTGGTTGAGGGATGACACAGGGAAGTTCAATCAAACTAACTTGTATTCTGACACATGGCAAGAGCTACATGGCAGCCTTTCAGAGAGAGGAAAACAGGAACATAGTTTCCCAGATCTTCCTGGAGCTAAATGCTCCCCAGTTCCCAAAGCATTGATATTTGTGGTCCAGCTTCCAGACCTGCTTTGGCCTACTCTGAACAAGGAACTTTACAGATTCTTAGGCAGTGTAGTGCATTGGTGGAATCTGAGAGGAGCAGCAACCTGTGGCAGCCTGGATATACCACTCCATCCTTGGTAAGAGCAGCTCCAGCCAGCATCAAGTTTTAGGCAACTCTGTCCCACCAGTGATTCCCTCTGAGCTTGGCCTCCACCCCATGCTTGGTGGCATTCCCCAAGCTGCTACCTTATCACATGGGGCACTAGTTCATGTGGGGTTATTTTGACCTTAATTTTGATTCATCTGTGTCATTCTGTTTCAGGGTTCTAAGGAGGTATGGGGAGGGAAGCAGGATTAGGAATTCATGAGCTGGGGTACGCCGTTCCAGTACCCTCCTGCAACCCCAGGCCCCAATTGTGGGTCCTGCTCACTCTAGGATTAAGGCAGAGAGCCATCTGGTGGATGTTGCCTGACCTGCATCTGAGGAGGAGGAGAGGTGGGGGTGGAAGGGCAAAGGGTGTCCTTCCAGTAGAGAGCAGAAGAGAGTGAAGAAAGCTGGCTAGCTTCCGCAAATACTAAATACTTCCTTCCCCAGGGGTGAACTAGGGAACCAAAGGCTTAGCAGCAATGGGAACTGGACCTCATTTTGAAAAAGTGGGAGTGAGGCTTTGGGGTGTTCCATACACCGGGGTTCTAACATAATCCTATTCCCTATTCTCTCTCCTCCTCAGCCAAACTTTCTGAGGATGTTGTTTATGCTAACTGCTTATATCCATTCACTCTTTTTTTGGTAGAGACGGGGTTTCATGATGTTGCCCAGGCTGGTCTCAAACGCCTAGGCTCAAGCAATCCTCCTGTCTTGGCCTCCCAAAGTGCTGGGATTACAGGCATGAAACCAGCCTCCATTCACTCTTGAACTCACTCACTTCAATCTGGCTTCTGCCTCCAGGCCCTTGCCATTCCACTGAAGCAGCCCTTACCAAGGTTACCAGGGACTTCTAAGTTGCCAAAATTACTTTTCAGTCCTTACCTCCCTGGAACTTACTACTATAAACTATTTACTCCCTGAACATCTTTAAACTGTCCTCTCCTGATTTTCCCTGATCATTTAACTTCTCTAATGGATTCTTCTTCCTCCCTGACCTTCCTCCCTACCCTCACTCTCCCTGAGGAATCTCATCTCTTTCCCTAACTTGTATGCCTTCTATGCTAATGATTCTCAAGTCTGTGTCTCCTGAGCTTCCGACCTTCATCTCCAACTGCCTACTTGACTTCTCCACCTTTTTGTACAGGAACCTCAAATACACCAAAGCTAAGCCTGAACTCATCACATTCCCAATGCTATTTCTTCTTCTGTAATTCCTTACCAGTTAATACAACTGGCAACCACCCTTTAATATTCTTCTACCTTTACATCCAGTCAACCAAATTATGTTGATTGTAGGGCCCTCTCATGTCTTGCTTGGATGACTCAAACAGCCAAATTGGTCATTTGGTCCAACTCACTCCCTAAAATCCATATTCCACACTGACACTTAAGAGTGATCTTTCTGAAATAAAAGATTTGAATCATTTGCTTTAAACACTCCAGTGCCTTCCCATTACACACAGGGTAAAGCCCAAGATCCTTAGCCTGACATTTGAGACTTTTGACTGGATTCCTGCCTCCTTTTCCTCTCTGTCCCCCTTGTGCAGTGCGTGCAAGCACTTGTGCAGGCACACAAACCCGCCCCAGACTCCCTGGCTGTTCTGTACCTCTATACCTTTCTTCATGCTGTTCCCTGCCTGTTTACCCTTCTTTGCCTGATAAACATCCCCTAATCCATGGAGATTCAGCTCAGGCTTCACCTTCCCTGGGAAACTTCCCTGAGCTCCCATACTGGGTCAATAGCCTCTCTTCTGTGCTGCTACAACTATTATATAGCACTTATCACACCATGTTGCCAGCTTGCTCCCATCTTGCCCATATAAGCTCCTCCAAGGCACAAATGTCTGCTCTCTGCCCTATTATTCATACAAAGTCTGGAACAGACTGTCTCTCATTTTGTTTATCACTGTATATCCAGTACCTGGCATACTGTAGGTACTCAACATTCATGGAAAGAGAGACAGGATATCAAAGTGTATTCCACTGAAGTGAATTCTATAGGCTTTACCAGTAGTTAATTCAGGATTTTGTGCTATCATCTACTCAGCTCAAGCCCAACAATTCTGGTTCTTAGTTTTCCTCAACCCCACACTGGTTTGGTATAAAAAAGACCCAGTGGTACAGTGGACATGAGAAGTCCATGTGACCTGGAAAGCCAAGAGCTTGAGATAGAAGTCTCTGGCCCTTAGTCTAAACTTACTGATTGCTGGAAGCTGTGGGACAGGGTTGCACTAGACTCAGGCACAGGGCTATGGCCCTTCCAGACCCTCCAGCTACAGCCTGGATGGCTAATCTTTCCAGCTCTGTCCCTTCCCACCCCCTAAAGCCAAAAAAGCAAAGATGATACCCAAGTCTCACTTTGTCCCCACAGATCTGGTAAATGAGGAGCCAAGGACAGGACTACGACCACTGAAGCGTTCAAAGTCGGGGAAATCACTGACCCAGTCCCTGTGGCTGAATAACAATGTTCTCAATGATCTGAGAGACTTCAACCAGGTGGCTTCACAGCTGTTGGAGCACCCAGAGAACCTGGCCTGGATCGACCTGTCCTTTAATGACCTGACTTCCATTGACCCTGTGAGTTCCTAACAGTAGGAATCCAGTCAGGGGAGCCTGAAGCCACTTTGTTCAGCCCCCAACCTCTCCACTCCTACATGTTATCAAGGAAGTAATGAGGCAGCATGGTACAGTCCAAAGCACAAGGCTAGGGGGCCAGACAGATAGATGTAGGTTCAAATCCTGGGTTTGCCTCTTACTGACTGTGACTTTGAGCAAGCTACCTAACCTCTCAAAACTGCAGCCTCCCTGTCGGAAAAATGGGGATAATATGCCAGTATCATAAAGGTTTTGTGAGGATTGAATGAAAATACATGAAAACCACCGGGCACAGCGGCTCACGCCTGTAATCCCAGCACTTTGGGAGGCCGAGGTGGGTGGATCACAAGGTCAAGAGAGATCAAGACCATCCTGGCCAACATGGTGAAACCCCGCCTCTACTAAAAATACAAAAAATTAGCTGGGCGTGGTGGCGGGCGCCTGTAGTCCCAGCTACTCGGGAGGCTGAGGCAGGAGAATCACTTGAACCCAGGAGGCAGAGGTTGCAGTGAGCCGAGATTGCGCCACTGTACTCCAGCCTGGCAACAGAGTGAGACTCCGTCTCAAAAAAAAAAAAAAAGAAAAGAAAATACATGAAAACCAACAAACAACTGGTACATCAGAGGCTGAAGTAAAATTCTAACTGTCACTGCGCACCCACTGTGACCTGTGCTGGGTTCTCCTGTGGAAGAGGTAGTCAATAAAGTACAGCACTTACTTTCTGTGAACTCAGATTCAAGTTTTAAGAAATAAAGTTTGGCCTTTTCTAGTCCAAGATCCCTAAGAGGGGAAAGGAGCTGGAGCATGACTTGGACACTATTCCCCTGGTGTGGTGATCTCAATTTAACCAGTATTTTAAAAGCTTCTTATGTGCCTAGCATGATGCTCTGTCTTCCTGTTGCTTGCTGTGATAGAATCGTAGATCACCAAAGCTGGAAAGGTCTTCAGTGAAGGGGCAACTAAGGCTGAGAGAGGCAAGTCAGTGGCAGTGCTGGTACCCAGGCCCACACTCCTGACCCTCAGATCACAGCTCCTTTTCAGTGTGATGCCCTGTATGTCTTAAAACATAAATAAAAGTAGGTTACAGTCATACAGTATGGCTGTGGAGGGTTGGAGTGGAGGGCAGGTTGTTCCCCACATTCTTCCTTCTCTGCCCACGAGTCAGCCCTGAGCAGAGATTCAGGGTCCTGTCCTGTCTAGCCTGGCTTTTGGTTTCCCTCCCCAACAGGTCCTAACAACTTTCTTCAACCTGAGTGTCCTCTATCTTCACGGCAACAGCATCCAGCGCCTGGGGGAGGTGAATAAGCTGGCTGTCCTTCCTCGGCTCCGTAGCCTGACACTCCATGGGAACCCCATGGAGGAAGAGAAAGGGTATAGGTAAGTGCCCTGCCCCTGGAGGTAGCGTCTAGCTGGGCTCCCCTAAAGGAAAGGAGGAGGAGAAACAAGAAATCTACGACCATTCTTCTGCCATGCTTGGACCTGGGAAGGGAGTAACAGACCTCTAAGCATTCCTTGCTCTCAGTCAGGATAAACCTAATCTTTCCCAAACTATGCTCAAGTCCCTCCATTCCTTGCAGTCAGGGAAGACAACAGCAACTAGTGGAGGGGGAAGGGGATTCTGGTGGGGGTGCTGGCCCCCAGCCTAAGTCTTCCCCACAGGCAATATGTGCTGTGCACCCTGTCCCGTATCACCACGTTCGACTTCAGTGGGGTCACCAAAGCAGACCGCACCACAGCTGAAGTCTGGAAACGCATGAACATCAAGCCCAAGAAGGCCTGGACCAAGCAGAATACACTTTGAGGCTCCCACGACCCTAGTAGTCCTAAAGGCCTAAGCATAGACAGCATGGTTTGACAATAAATAATTTGAGCTGTTGAGCAGATGAGAAGTCACTTACACCTTGTAGAGATGTTCTCTAACTCAGGCAACTGCAAGTAGCTCTAGCCTTTTCTTTTCTTTTTTTTTTTTTTGAGACGGAGTCTCACTCTGTCACACAGGCTGGAGTGCAGTGGCACGATCTTGGCTCACTGCAACCTCAGCCTCCCAGGTTCAAGAGATTCTCCTGCCTCAGCCTCCCCAGTAGCTGTGATTAAAGGCGCCTGCCACCATGACTGGCTAATTTTGTTGTTGTTGTTGTTGTTTTGAGACGGTTTCACTCGTCACCCCAGCTGGAGTGCAGTGGTGCGATCTCAGCTCACTGCAACCTCCGCCTGCTGGGTTCAAGCGATTCTCCTGCCTCAGCCTCCTGAGTAGCTGGGATTACAGGCGCCTGCTACCACATCCAGCTAATTTTTTTTTTTGAGACGGAGTCTCGCTCTGTCACCCAGGCTGGAGTGCAGTGGCACGATCTCGGCTCACTGCAAACTCCGCCTTCCAGGTTCACGCCATTCTCCTGCCTCAGCCTCCCAAGTAGCTGGGACTATAGGCACCTACTACCACGCCTGGCTAATTTTTTGTATTTTTAGTAGAGACGGGGTTTCACCATGTTAGCCAGGATGGTCTCCATCTCCTGACCTTGTGATCCACCCACCTCGGCTTCCCCCAGCTAATTTTTTATATTTTAGTAGAGACAAGGTTTCGCCATGTTGGCCAGGCTGGTCTTGAACTCCTGACCTCAGGTGATCCGTCTGCTTTGGCCTCCCAAAGTGCTGGGATTAGAAGCGTGAGCCACCACGCCCAGCCTTTTTTTGTATTTTTAGTAGAGATGGGGTTTCGCCATGTTGGCCAGGCTGGTCTCAAACTCCTGACCTCAGGTGATCTGCCCACCTCAGCCTCCCAAAGTGCTAGGATTACAGGATAAGCCACTGCACCTGGCCAGCTCTAGTCTTATTTTGCTGAAAAAGGGAGGCAATTGAGGGAAAGGCCTGCTGGCCTGGGACACTGGAGACGTGGGTTTACCACACAGCCTTGGGAAATTTATCTAACTCTCTGGGCCCCTTTGTACTTTTCAGCTTAGAGATTTGGGGGTTAAAGTAGATCAGTAATTTCCAAACTCTTCACAGAGTACCAGGGTCTGTAGAGATGCCTCACAGGCCTCCATGACAGGCCAAGAAGATGGCCTATGATCTCTGAAACCAGCCCCCACTTCAATCAGATCAAAGTAATTCCATTCTGTTTTATATGCTGGGATTCTGCTTAAGATTTCATTTGATAAAAAGAATCTTCTGCTTAAAAACATTTGCTTGCTGACTCCATATTAGGTATTCCCAGAAGAGCCTGGTCTGCTTTCTCTCTCCACCCCCCAACCCGCCATGTCTCCCTTCACCCCCAGGGGCTGTTGGTAATTCCATTGAGTCTGAGGCAGGGCCCCCAAGAATCAAAGCTGCCTCAGATTCAGGTCTGTTCAGCTTTGACAGTGTTCCCATCATCACTGGACAAGGGACAAGAACAGTCTCATCCAGTCTGAGGTTAGCCCAAGCCAGGTCTCAGCTAAGAGCTGACACCCTAAACCCTTGTCTCTTGGGTTCATCTTCAATATCCCTGGAAGATGTCCCCTTCCCCCCATCTTACTCTCATAGACCTAAGTAATCAAAAGTAGAATGGGTAGAACAGAGGGGCCAGAACCAGCACATGGATGAATATACTTCCTTTATCGAGGGTGACAAACCAAAACAAAAAAAGACCAAACATGTAAAAACCCAGGGTTCTAGAAATACAAACTCAATTCATTCAAATTCAAGCTCATCCAGACCCTGGTCACAAACCCTAGTGAGGTGCATGTGAGCACCAAGTCAGGGAGAGGGGGCAGGAGTGACTCTGAGGCCAACAGAGAGGGTGGGAAGGGGATCTCCCTAGGTCCCCTGGTGATCACCCCCCACCCAAACTGGTATCTCCACATTCTCAATGACTATGAAGACATACCAGGCTCTGTCCTTTTGGCCCCCACCCCATCCCTGGCCAGAGCTTCAAAGGCCAGTCCCAAAAGGTTCTACCCTCACTTGCTCAGGCTTCTAGCCTTCCTCTTCTCCTCCTTCTTCACATTTTTCTCTGTGATTAGTAGCAGGTTAGGGTACTGTATAAGCCGCAGTGAGGCTGGGGGCCAAGGGGGTGGGGTAGAGATGGGATGAAGAGAGGAGAAGAGCTGTCCAAGGACCCCTCTCTTCATGGGATCCCAAACTGTACAACCAGCTCCTCTTTTGCGTCCACACGGATCTGAGAAAGTGCACTGTAGGCATAAGCAGCTATCCTGGAGACCTGAGACAGAGAGGGGCCGGGGAGGAGAGGAACAGAGACAGGTGAGGAGGGCAATCAGGAAAAATGGGGAGGGGAGATTAGATGGTGATGGAGAAGGAGGGAATGAAGGGGAACAGGAAGGCAAAGAGAAAGACAGGGATGGGAGAGACAGAAGGAAAAGAACAAAGGGGAGTGAAACAATAAAGGTTGCAGGAAGGAGATAGGAAAGACATAAAAAGTTAAGAGAACGAGGTGGGAGGGAGCTGGGGCCTACAAGGCTACCAGGCTCCCTAACTCCACCTTCCCTACCTCCTCTGAGGCAGAGTGGGTGAACCCTCTGCCATACCCTGGGCAGTGTGAGAAGGGTGGGCAGGGGCAGGTGAGGGGTGTCTCACCTGCTGCAAATCAGAGAACGGGATGGGCTCACTGGCCAGCACTTGGTGGGGCTGGCTGGTAAGAGACGGCAGCGGTGGCAGCTTCTTCCAATGGGTCAGGCTGCTGCTCAGCACAGCCAAGCGGGTGCTGACCAAGAGAGAGGGGGTGGGGGTAGGCAGTTAAGCCACAGTCTGCCCTGCCCAGCCCAGGTAAGCCTCATCCCCTCAGGCCAGAGAAGCAGGGTGTCGAGGAGGGGTATCTGGGAGGGAAGGTCTCAGCTCATCACAGACTCAATCTAGGCCCATCTCCCTTGGCCTCAGCGCCCTCAAGAGTGTCACAGGGTAAACAGGGCTGACATGAATAACTACTGAAGCACCCAAGTGATCTGTGGTCAGTCTCCAGGGCTGCACCAAATGAGAAGCTTGGACTAGGGGCCAGGCTCCAAAGCTGGAACAGTGATGGAGGGTGGGAGCCCAAGTAGCCTGAGGGACCCACGCTGGCCAGGTGCTCACCTGTACTGCCTGGCACGGTCCATGTACTCATGCTGCTCCATGCCCTGTGAGTCTGCAGCAGACACATCAATGATGTTGCTATGGGGAGAGGAGACAGAGATGACATGACAGGTGCTTCCGAGAAGGACAAACAGGACTCAGTGCCAGGTACCAACTCCAGGGCTATCTGACACCAGTTTCCCTCCTGCCTACTGGAGCAGGGCTGGACATGGAGGCACCTCTCCCCAGTGACCTTGTCCCATCCCCCATGTCCTGAGCCTGGCTCCTTCTATCCTAGCCTTTAATATGGATAGAGGAGCTCTGACCCAGGCCTGGTCCTCTGACACTTACCTGGCTGTCTTGGCAAGGATGGAAGAGAGCAGGGCCTGCTCATCAGTGCGAGCGGAAGGCAGGCTGTGGTAGTTGGGCTCGGCTCCATTGAGAGCTTTGGTAGGGGGGCTGCTAGGGTCCAGCAGCAGCTTCCGCTCCTCTCGGTCCTAGAAGTGGTCATGGGAGAGAAGTCAGCCCCAGGACCCGTAGATCCTGCCTTTCACGGGTGCTACCCTTAGCCCAGCTCTGACCTTAAACACCAAAAATGTTTCTATAAGGAATATCTAAAGTGCCCAGCTTTATGGAATGCCAGATAAGACTCAGTTCCTGCCTATCCTTGGGAGCTCAACTGAGTTGGTGTTCTAGGATAAATGAGAGTGGAACCAGGCAGTCCTAGAGGCCCTGAAAAAATGGACAGAGGCACAAAGCAGGTAGTCAGCAACAGCCCTGGAGCTTGAAAAACATTCTAGGACCTGGCAAAGAAAGGATACTAGAGGCTGGAAGACAGTGGAGCTGAGACATAGCAAGCACTGGGATCTAAAGGGGAAATCAGTGCAAGTCAAGAGCCCAAGAACAGCCTTCCTCATCCCCTAGGACCAGGCCTTCCCCAGCAAAGCTGTTCGCTTCCAAGATGGAAGCCCTGGCGAGTCCAGACAAAGCCCTAGGCCCCAAGAGAAAGCAAGCCCAACCTCTCCATGGCCATTTCTCAAATTATGTCAGGGCAGGAATCCCAGCCCAGCTCTGGGTCACACAGTACAAGTGTGTTCCCTTCTTGAAGGCAGGTCCCTTCGAAGGTGTTCACCCTCCTGTGCTCTGGTGCTCTTTTTGTACGTGACTCCCAGAACCAAACTGAGTGTACATGGTGTATCCTGATCTGAGCAGTACAGCTGTAGCCATGTATGGTGATTCACACCAGTAATCCCAACACTTTGGGAGCCCAAGGCAGAAGGATTGCTTGAGTCCAGGAGTTTGAGACCAGCCTGGGCAACAAAGCAAGACCTCGTCTTTGCAAAAAAAAAAAATTAGCTGGACTTGGTAGTGTGAGCCCTGCAGTCCCACCTACTTGGGAGGCTGAAGTGCAACGACTGTATGAACCCAGGGTTTGAGGCTGCAGTGAGCTAGGACTGTGCCACTGTACTCCAGTCTGGGCAAGAGAGCAAGACCCCATCTCAAAACAAACAACAATGGCGCTGTTCCCTCCCTTGCTAAACCACCTGAGTAGCCCATGTAAATTTTCAGCAGCCCTGTTCCTGCTGGCCTGTGCTGATAATCACAACCCCTGAACTAATGTAAGACCAAACCAAGCTTCCTCATTGGTTTGGTCTTCCTCCTTGTCCTCTTTCAGTCCCCTGTTCTATCTACTGTAATATTTCTGGATTTGACCCTGCCTTGAGACCATCAGCTGCAAATCCTTGCTTGCTGTATCAGCAGTAAATGAGAAAAACAGACCTGCTGGGTATCTATCCAACCCATAAAGAGCAAGAGTGCCCTGAACAAAGCCAAGGATGGGCCCAGGGGGACATCCTGGCTAATGCTGACTCACCAACCTTCAGTGCCAGACTCCTCAATGCTCCCCTCCAGGCCTATCTCAGTTCCTCAGTCTTTCCTGCTGCAGGCCGCAGCTCCCCTGCCCACAACTCCACAACTCTCCTTGTAGAGGGCTACTTCCTCCTGCCCTGCTTAGGGAGGCCCAGCCTTTTCACCTTACTCTTCTTTCTCAAGGCTAGGTTGCCCAAGTGTCCTCAGGCAATTTGATCCAGTTCCCAACAGCAAGAGACAGAAGCTGTGGGCTTTGCCCCATCACCTCTATAAACTCCCAGACACCCTTCCTCCCTAAATACATAGGCTCAGTATTAAAGAGCTAAAAAGACAAAATGTTTGCCAAAGATAAAACTATGTATTTCTAAGGAAAGCTGGCTCCATAATGAGGCCCAAGTTAGCTTCCTATGTGTCTGTCCTCCCAGCTCCACTTCAGACAGATCTTCCTGCAGGACAGGGTAGTCTCTTCCCTATCAGGGGTTCTTCAAGAAGAAGGTTGGCTGATCACTTCTCAGCCTTCAGCTAAGATCAAGTGAACAACAAGGTTATTTTCTTGAAACCCAGACTTAAAGAAGAGGCCATGCTACCTACTTCAGAGCAGACAAACATCACCCCACTCCCAAAGTGCGAGTGGAGCATGGGTTAGGTTTGTCACATCAAGGTTTGTCTCTGCATTAGTGTAACCCAAGAGGCAGGGTTTCACTGTCTACCTTAGCACAGACATAGCAGCCTGCCCGTGACTGGCCACCTGGTCTAGGGGCATGGCTGAGACAGCTTGGCCCCATGGATAAAGTACATGGCCTAGCGTCAGAACACCTGGGCACTAGCACTTCTCAGCTTGGCCAAATCACTTAGCTTCTCTGAACTTCTTCCTCACCTTTCAATAGACATAACCCACACTAATATGACGGATGTCTGGCAAGAGTCAAATTAGATAACTGTGAAGGCCCTTTGTAAACTGTAACGTGTTGTATATTTTTTATTATGATAAAGAGACAGAGATGAGAGTCGGAGAGGGGCCTGCCCAAGAACTCAAAGAGGGACTGTGGGATGGTGGATGGTTATGGCCCTTGCTACATGAGGCCTCAAATCACCCAGCAGTGATTAAGCACCTTCTCTGGGTGTTAGGAACAGAAATGAGAGCCCCCCAAGGAGAAGGTAGAGATTCAGGAGAGCAGCAGGCCCAGCTCTCCCTTCCAAGTAGAAGCTTGTATCCTTTCTCATACGGCATTAATCCTTCTTGACTCATTCCCTGCAAGAGTCCATATTATGCTTTAAGGGACAATTTCCCACTAGGCTACAGCTCTCCCAGTAGGCAGGGTTATTGTTGTCTCTTTCTCAAAAAGGTGGAAGTGAAGTGAGAGGTATTAGGCACAACACATGCCTAACACAGGGCAAAGGAAATATGTGTTCATTGGGTGTATGGAGAATTGAGAACCAGAAGCCACCCTTGCTTCCCATACAAACGACATTTTCCTAGGCTTAAGCCCTTAATCCAAAATACGTTCACTGAAGAACGAACTACTTCCCAAGTACCAGTGATATAATCTATTTTTGTGACCATCTTCCCCATTAGACCGTGAGCTACCTGAAACCTTTCTACTCTCTCAGGTCTACTATATGTTCAAATGTAGAATCCGGGCTTAGAGACGATCAAAAAAGGAGAGTAGACAGCAACTTGAGACTTCATCCTTGAATGTCAGGCCAGGCAGGGCAGGGATTAGAGTGTGGGGAGAAGTGAGAATGCACTAAGAGGAAGAGGGAGAATTTAAAACTGTACAGGTCTCCCCAGCCTAACCCTTTCTCCAAAGGTATCAGATCTACAGCCAAATTCTCAGAATAGGCATGTCTCCAGCTAAAGGAACCCTCAGGCCCCAGGCAGACTGCACTGAGGCAAGCCAAACTCAGAACCAAATGAACTTCCCGCTCCATTTCTCTTTTCCCACAATCTAGCCAAAGCTAAATCCTCTTTGTTGCTTCCCAGACAATTTCCCACATGTCCCGATGTCCTCACTGTATCGATTAAATCCTTCATTGGCCAATTCAAAGGCCACCAACTTCCAGAGTCGTCCCCTGGCCCTAGACTAGCAGCGACCTTCCTTCTGCAACCCCAGGGACTAAGACGATACACGAATTCCTGATTCATCTCAGGACAGACTAACTCAGGGCCTCAGCTTACCCACCCCTAAAATGGATTCGCAAAGCCCACTAATACACAGAAGACACAGGAAGCTGGGGAAGGGAGTGTTTCCCGGGGACCTAGACTGAGGATCCTTGAATCTGAAAAGTTTTGAAGGTAGGAGCAAACGGAAGTGGTGGGAGCGAGCCGGACAGGCGGCTGCCTGCACACCCCGAGGCGGGGACTGTGTAGAAATCTGGGGCTTTAACAGGGGTAGGAGCCCGGCTTGGCGTCTCCTCTGTAATCTGTCCCCTCCAGGCCTCCGTATTCAGTGAGCCCTGCAGTCCGGCTGCCCGTCCTCCGCAGGTTTCTTTCTGGGCCCCATGCCCCAGTGTCTTAGCCCTCATTCCCGAGCCCCGCCTGCCGCGGCCGCACCTGGTCCGAGTCCTCGTTCTCGCTGCTGTAGCAGCACCCCATGGCCGGGGTCGGGCCGGGCGCTCAGGCCGCGCCGAGGAGGGACGGCGTCCGTGAGGAGCCCTTCCGGTCACATGACCCGCGGCGGCCTCCCGCAGGCAACCACCCGCCCCCACCCCCCGTACCCCCTGTCCCGGAGCCGCTTGGCCGCCTCAGTCAATACCCCGGCTTCCGGTCCCGCCCGCTAGCGCGTGATCGTTGTCAACCAATGGGAAGGCGTAACCGTACACGCAAGCACGTGATGCGGGGAAAGGGCGGGGCGGATCACATGACTTCATCTTTCCAGTCTCTAAACTGGCAGTAGTGGCCATCGTGAATTGTGTTATGCGTTCTCGTGGCCACTAGGCCACTTTTCTGGGCCATTGAGCGAACTCGTACCAAATGCCCTCGTATGCCCTTGTGATATACTCTTCTAAATGCCATGCGAGGGGCGACTGGGATCCAGGCCTGATGCTCCAGATCGTACGGTCTGGGTGCACACACACAGATGATCCAGATGACCAGTACCTAGTCGGGGAACACAGAGGGTGTATCGCCCAGCTGGGCTGGGGGTGAATACACAGAGGGTGTATTCTCCACCTGGGCTGGGGATCTGCGACTTACAGGAAGAAGGGACCTTATACTACCTTCACATGCTGACGCGCAGCGGAGATAAATCCTGGTAGAGGAGATAGAAGCCACCTCACTGACCTCTCTGCTTTCAGGCTTTTATCTTTAATTCTGCCTTTTTTAACAGCACCCATTGTAATCGAACGCACAAAGCTGACCATCAGTTCTCTTTTCCTAACCCCCGCTCCATGTCTTCCCTTGGGCCCTGAACACAGGTCCAAGTCCGTCCAAGATTGTATAGTGATCCATTTGTTGTTCATGAGCGTGTGATTGGGTGTTCACCAGCATGTATCAAATGTGCCACCCTCAAATCTTGTTTTGGCACATTACCCGTCTGACATAACAAGAGCCTGACACCTCTCCCACTGCATGTTCTGGGGTGAGGGGTGGAGGGGTCAGCAATGTGTTTCACTGGACATAGAGAAATAATGTAGTTTCCTGATTGATCTACTGGACTTTGTACATGCAGCCTGGTCTGCCTACTGTCTTTACTGTCTTCGAGACTCAGTACAATGTCCTCCTGATTACCTTCTCTGACTCCATTCTCTGGACATGCCCAGCTCCCTATGCTTAATCCTCATCCAGTGTTAATTCATGCATTTATTGAATCAACAAATATTTGCTGAGCGTCTACTATGTGCCACACATTGTTATATCTGGATATGCAGCAGTTCACAAAACAGCCAAAGTCCCTGTAGTCATGGAACATCCAATAGTGATCACACTATATTGTATTCTCTGTTCCTGGGTCAGTCTCACCTACCAAACTTGGGAGTTCCTGGAGCACAGTGACAGGTTCTGACTCTTCCCTGTAGCCCAAGGCATGGCCTTGCTTACAGAAAACTTGCATATCAATGAGCATGTTACAGTCACCCCATCACCTTGGCTCACCCCATGCCCCATCTTCTGATCCAAAGTATTGGAGAAGTCACCAGATCTCATACCTCTTATAACCCCTCAAATCAAGACCCTGAGGTTCTGTAAATCTTTTGAGGTTCCTGAAGGGTAGGAGGCAGCTCAAGCTCGTCCCTGGGGCTGGTAACTTGAACTGCAGGTCTCAGGTGACAGCAGCAGCCTCAGCATGAATAATTGAAAGCCATTCCAGCCTCCTACCTCAGGGTTATCCCCCGCAGCAGGCCCTGGACTCCCCGACCTGTCCTGTGCTCTGGTCCTCCAGCCCAGGTAAGCAGGGCCCTGGATTGTGGGTTCCCAAGCTCACCAGTTCAAGCCCACCGCATCACTCACCTATTCACACCCATCCATACACTCTTTCATTTTTACTCCCCGCCATCACCAGGGGCCTTGCAAGAAGGCCGGCAAGGAGGTCAGATCTGGATGAGGAGGAGAATGGTCCAGGACATGGGAGGAGAGGCCCATTCCCCATAGGTCCCTGGAGAGAAGAGCTGAGTAGAGGGAAAATGTGTGCTGTGTGTTATGTGTATGTACACATTTGTGAAGGGAATTCTGAGACAGCACAGGAGAAGAGGGGAATACAGCGGAGAGGAGATGGGGCTGGAGAATTATTAAAGAATCAAAGACTCCTCCCATCCTCAGGGAAGAGCAGGCAGAGGGAGAGTCCTGGGGTGGGAAAGAGGACATCTCACTCTAACACCCTATGGGGTATTTTGATTGCATTTTACTGAGGCAGGGCACAGTGATAGTGAAGGTGTTTTTGACTGCAAATCTATGCTCTTTTGCTACACAGCAGTGGTCAGAGGAGACCAGGCAGGCAGAGGGTAGGGGTGGGGGAAGATATCCCAGAGGTGAATTAGTGAAAGGGGTCCTGAAGAAGGGGTGACTTCAAGGATAAAGAGAAACAAGTCAGGGGAACAATGTGAAGATGGGACCAGGGGTTGGGACCGGGAAGAGGTGGTTTGGGGCTGGGTGCTGAAAGTAGACAGTATAGAGTCCTTGAAAGTACACAGGCTTGGAATCACACTAACCTGGATTCAAATCCCAGTTCTGCTCTGTGACTCTGGACAAAAGACTTAGCCTTTCTGAGCCGTGGTTTGTGAAATATAAGGATAATAATTGCTACTGGCAAAAGCTACACAAATAGGCAAATTGTGGGTATGGGATTCCCTCCCTACCTCCCTCCACCCCAGGGCCCAGGTAGGGACCATGTCCCCTGCCATTGCATTGGCCTTCCTGCCACTGGTGGTAACATTGCTGGTGCGGTACCGGCACTACTTCCGATTGCTGGTGCGCACGGTCTTGCTGCGAAGCCTCCGAGACTGCCTGTCAGGGCTGCGGATCGAGGAGCGGGCCTTCAGCTACGTGCTCACCCATGCCCTGCCCGGTGACCCTGGTCACATCCTCACCACCCTGGACCACTGGAGCAGCCGCTGCGAGTACTTGAGCCACATGGGGCCTGTCAAAGGTCAGTGTTCCCTAGCCTTCTGCTCCAAGAAGTACCCCCAAGACAGTGAAGGAATATTTGGGATCTGTTGCTGCTTAACTGGATGAATTGGGCAGGTTCTTGATCCTCTTTTAGGGCCTCTTTTTTTTCTCATCTGGAAATGAGGAGCTTGGACTAAGTCATTTATTCAGCAAACATTTATTGCCACCTCTTTTGTATTAGGAATGTGCTAGGTGCCAGGGAGAGGGGTAGAGGCCACAGAGATGAATGAGCCACAAATGCTGGCCTCAAAGGAACCATAATACACAGTGGAATAACCATCTCAGCAGATAACCCATAGCTTTGTAATTATCTGTCTCCACATCTTTCCTCTCCACCATGGAGGCTTCCACATACCATTTAGGGTAGCTGTCTGCCTGGATTTATCTCAATCCCAGCATAAGTGCTTTTAGGGTCTTATTTAAGAAATTCGGCTGTGTGGTGGCTGGTGCCTGTAATCCCAGCACTTTGAGAGGCCGAGGTGGGCAGATTGCTTGAGCTCAGGAGTTTGAGACCGGCTTGGGCAACATGGCAAAAACCCATCTCTACAAAAAATACAAAAATTACCCAGGCATGGTGGCACATGCCTGTGGTCCCAGCTACTTGGGAGGCTGAGGTGGGAGGATTGCTTGAGCCCAGGAGGCTGAGGCTGCAGTGAGCTGTGATTGTGCCACTGCACTCCAGCATGGGTGACAGAGCAAGAACCTGTCTCAAAAAAAAAAAAAAAAAGAAAAAGAAAAGAAAAGAAATTCACTGGCTGGGCATGGTGGCTCATGCCTGTAATCCCAGCACTTTGGGAGGCCAAAGCAGGAGGATCACTTGAGCCCAGGAGTTCGAGACTAGCCTGGGTAACAAAGCAAGACCCCCGTTTCTACAAAAAATTTAAAAATTAGCCGGGTGTGGTGGTGAGTAACTGTGGTTCCAGCTACTGGAAATGCTGAGGTGGGAGGATTGCCTGAGCCTGGGTGGTCAAGGCTGCAGTGAGCCGTGATCATGCTACTGCACTCCAGCCTGGGCAACACAGCAAGACTTGGTCTCAAAAATAAATAAATAAAAGTTCATCCAATTCCAAGATCAGAAATACATTTGATGAGCAATAAAAGGGGAATGAAACTACAAATTCTAACAGAGACCTTTCATAAATCTGAAAGATAGGGTGGTTGTTTCTGCCTGGGACTTCATGGAGAAAGAGCAACATTTGAACTGAATCTGGAAGTTCTGAGTTGGCCAGGCAGATGGCGATGGGGGTGGGAAGGGCAAAGCCAGCCACATATACACATGTGGCATGAAGGAATGAGACAGCTTGATGGATTCTGGGCACAGTTGTTTGGGATGGCTGTGATACAGGCCACAGGTGGGAAGTACTGAGAGATGAACCTGGAAAGGTAGGATAGGATCAGGTCCAAGGTCCTGAATGCCAGGCTGAGAATCCCAAGTTCAATCCCAAAGGCCTTCAGCTCACAGGAGCCAAGGAGTAATAAGGTCAGATTTGTTGGAAAGATTCCAGGGCTGGTGTGAAGACTACACTGTAGGAGACGGGGACCAGGAGGGCAGCTGGGGCTATGGTACAAGAGACAGATGAGACCCCGGCTGGTTGGGAGCTGCAGTGAGGCAGGTAGGCATTTGAGATATCTTTTATCAGGGGCCCTGCATCCATCTCCCATGTCTTCTGCAACAGCCATCTCCCCTCATAGGTCAGATCCTGATGCGGCTGGTGGAGGAGAAGGCCCCTGCTTGTGTGCTGGAATTGGGAACCTACTGTGGATACTCTACCCTGCTTATTGCCCGAGCCCTGCCCCCTGGGGGTCGCCTTCTTACTGTGGAGCGGGACCCACGCACGGCAGCAGTGGCTGAAAAACTCATCCGCCTGGCCGGCTTTGATGAGCACATGGTCAGCCTCCCATCTCCCCAACCCAGATTTTTGTCACCCCAGGCCTTGCCCCCAGACATCCCTTGTGAAGGACTCCCATCTAAGGAGAAGGAAGCACCTCCACTCTGGGGACTGTGATGCTGGATGGTGTGTGAGCTCCTGCCCTCCTGTCCCAAGTCATCTGCACATTATTTTCTGCCGGATGACGAAAGAAACAGCTAAGAGGAAGGTCTCTGGAACCCAGCAAATTTGGGTCCAGCTCTTACTCTGCCTCTTGTTAGCTACGTGACCTTGAGCAAAGCATGCATCCTCTGAACCTTAGCTTCTTCAGAATGGAAATCACAATACTGATCCTGACTTCTTAGGTTCTGAGGTCAGAGGAAATGTGAGAACACTCATGGGAAGCTAAGCCAGGACCTGGCATGAAGTAAGCCAGATCCTGGTGGGGTCTTGACTGGGAGAACAATTCCCCCCACCCTCACCTCCAGCTCCCCCTATCCCCACAGGTGGAGCTCATCGTGGGCAGCTCAGAGGACGTGATCCCGTGCCTACGCACCCAGTATCAGCTGAGTCGGGCAGACCTGGTGCTCCTGGCACACCGGCCACGATGTTACCTGAGGGACCTGCAGCTGCTGGAGGCCCATGCCCTACTGCCAGCAGGTGCCACCGTGCTGGCTGACCATGTGCTCTTCCCTGGTGCACCCCGCTTCTTGCAGTATGCTAAGAGCTGTGGCCGCTACCGCTGCCGCCTCCACCACACTGGCCTTCCAGACTTCCCTGCCATCAAGGATGGAATAGCTCAGCTCACCTATGCTGGACCAGGCTGAGGTCCAGGCCCAGGGGTACTTACTGATGCCCACCCCCACCCCCACCCAAGCAGGGACCTCAAAATCCCCTCCCTTTCCTGTTTGGGGCCTTGACACACGCTGGGCTCAGGGCTAGGGAGTCTCTCTTCCCACCTCTGACCTCTTTCAGCCTCTACACTGACCTCAAGTGTCAAGTTCTATCAGGCTGCTTGGTCTCACTAGGCCCCCTCTTTCCAGAGAGAACCATGGACTGACAGCAAGAAGCCTGAGCTCCCGACCCAGCTCTGTCACTGATTTGCTGAGTGACTCCAAGGGAATCCCCACCTTGCTCTGAGATTTAATCTTCTCTCTTAACACGAAGGAAGCTGGATGGGAGAGCTCCAGGGGCCTCCCAGTTCTCGGCCTCAGAAAGCCTCCCATCCTCAGCCCATGCCATTCTGGGTGGGATCAGAGGAAGTGGCAATGAGTTAGACGCCCTGCAGGAATAGCTGGATGCAAGCTGGGCCAGAGAAAATGGCACAGAACCCTGGACCCAGGGCCAGGGATGCCCTGGCCTTCCCTAACTCTGGCCCACCTAGCCAATTAGGTGTGGCTGATGTCCCTTGAGTGCCCTCTTCCTAAAGCCCAAAAGAAGATGCTGGACTCCTCTGGGCCCCACCAACAAATAGGGAATAGACATGGGTGGAAAATCACTCCTTTGTCTTTATTAAAGAAACTTAGACCAGACCTGGCAATCAAGGGGTGAGGTACTGGCCAGGAAGGTGGAGTAGGTTTCAGGCCCTGGGGATTTCAAGTGCAGACTGATGGCCTGGGAGGGGCCAAAGAGACCAGATCCTGGCAGCAGCTGAGGAGGTGCCCAAGGGCACTTTCAGGCACTGGGGCCATCAGCTGGTTCTGTGGGCAGGGGTTGGGGGTTGGGATGCAGGGTAGTTTGGGCTGGCCTGGAATCTCCCTGAGGCCACCCTGCCTTGTCTACCTAGATCATCCACTGGTCCTGATCCTGTTCGTTGCCTTCCATGTCCACCTGGAGAGGAGGCTGGGTGTGGGTGGGGAGGGGCCTCAGCCAGCCTCAGCCCCAGATCCTGCCCCTGGCTGGATCCAGGGTTTCTGTACCCCTTGGCCATCAACTGGGTCAGGAGCAAGGGTCCAGGAACAGAGGCCCTCCCCCATACCCCTTGCCTACCTCATTGACCTCTCCATCATCCGGTGACTCATTGTAGTCATTCATCTCGTCCATGTCCTGCATATCCTCATCATCCTCTGAGTCCTCTTCACTATCCTCATCATCTTCATCATCCTCTTCTTCCTCGTCATCATAGTGCTGGTGGGCAGGACAGAGCCTGTAAGCCCTACAGGCCTGCATGGACCAGTTCAAGAACTGACCCACTTGAGCCTCTCTCTAGGGCCAATGAATGACCCCCTACCCCGACACTCCCTCCTTGAGTCTAGCAGGCTGGTGCATGTTCTGCAGGACCTTAATGCTAGGCCCAATGCCCACCCCTTCTATCTCCCCTTTTAGGCTTTTACCCAGATCTGAGAACCACAACTGCTCTGGGTCAGAGACAGGACATTCAGAATTAGAGCAGAGCCTCGGTCCACTGCGGCCCCCACACAGGCCCCACCTGCTAGAGCCACTCACCTCTGAGGCTGGCTTGCCAATAGGAACCAGGTTGTTGTCTTTCTCCGCGATGCTTTGGAGCTGTGGGCAAAGGCACAGAGGAACAAGGCCAGAGCCCAAGTAGGGCAGGTCAGGGGCATGGGACTGGCCCATTCTGCCCAGAAGACAACCCACACGTGTTGGGGAGAAGCTTCCTCCCAGTTCTCAGGGAGATACAATCCCTTTCTTGTCATCTGCCATTTATGAACTTGATCCAAATACTTAAACTCTCTGAGCCTTCTTTTTTTTGTATAATTATGGTGAGGATGAAGTGAGAGACTTATCAGCCTAGAAAGCATCATCTGCTAGATCCTCAATTAATAGTCAAAATTATTTCCTGTGCTTTAGGGAAAAGAGCTTGGGCTGAGTGTCAGCAGCCTGGGCTCTAATCTGGCCCAGAAGTCACATGGTACCCCTGTAAAATAGGGTACCACAAGATGAGAACCTTGGCTCCCTGGCTCCCAGCCCGATTATTCCCAGCTCAGGGCAAAAAGCTCTTCCTGGGTAGATTTCTGGAGTAAGGCTGGGTCATGGCCCACTGAAGGAGGTCTCTGTCTGTGCTGAGGTCTCTGTGCTGTGCTAGCTGCTCACTCACCCAGGCCTGATGCTGCTGTTCCTGCTGCTGCAGCTCTGTCTCTTCCACACAGGGTCGATCCAGATTAAACCACAGAGTCTCAGTCACACGAGGGAAGAGTGAGGGGAACAAAGTGGACATGGCTCCTAGACTGAGGGAAAGGGTCAAGTGAATGTGTTTTGCTTTGTTTTTGTTTTTAATTTGGTTGTAATTTGATTTAGGGATAGGGTGGAAGACAGCAGGAAAGCAGCCCCTCCCCCTAGGAATCAGACAGACCTGGCTTTGAGTCCTGGCTCCACCACTTACTAGCTGTTTGACCTTGGCTGAGTCACTTAACCTCTCTGAGCCTCAGTGTCTTCATCTGTAAAATGGGGATAATAACAATTATACCACTGTCAAAGTTATTCTGATAATTAAGTAAATAATGGATCAACAAAGCTGTTTGCAGGCTGTTCAAGGAGGGATGAGAATGGGAGTCAAGTGTAGGGATAGGAATCCAGAATGCAGACTGGCATTATGAAATTATACAAAATTAGAGGTAGCAGGGTTCTACTGAAACTATCCCTACCTCCTCCACACACTAAAACCTGCTTTTTGACCCTTTATGATGGCCCATACCACACCCACCCAGTGTCAGAAATTTAGGACACTAACGACCTCTCATGAATCACAGCCAAATGTCGGGGTGGAGGGATTGTAGCATATGCAAGCAGGGTTCAGTAAGACATTCTAGGAGGCATGAATAAGTGGATAAATAAGTAGATGGAAGATTGAATGGATGAACTAACATTATAAGGGTACAATCAGCTTTGAGCGGCTGAGGGAGCCGACCAGGAGTGCCAGATAATCTGAATTAAACTTAGGACAGGCGAACTGAGGCCCAGCGACAGGCAGAGACTGGCTTTAGGTCATACAGTGTGTCGGGGCTTAGAATTCCTCCGTGAAAGGGATGAGCAGGAGAAAATAATCGATGCCTGGTCCTGCTTTTGTCTTAATTTATCTGACCGACCCAGGGCCAGCCGCTGCCCTTCCCTGTATCTCAGATTCCCAACCCGCGTAATTAGGCACGACGGTAAACACCCTCATGTCCAAGAAGTACTGACAGACCAGCGATCTCGGCTCCGAAAGCCCAACCCACCGTCGCAAAGCCACCGCCCTTTCTTTGCTCATTACGATAATGACCATGCAGTTGACCAACAGAAAGAAAGCAGGGCGGGTCTCAGACAGAAATTTGGCCTTATAGGGTTGCTAAACGCGAAAAAAGCGGGGCCTGGGTAGGACCAATTAACTGAAAGAAATGCTGGGTGACAGGAAGTGACACCAATGAATGACGGACCTTGTGTGACGGGGTGGGGCTTAGTCTCGAGGAAGCGGCCAATGAGCTGGAGCTCTTTAAGGGTTAAGGACTCTCAATATGGAGCTCCTGGGGAGTCGGGTCAAAGGAAATGGGTTTCTCTGGGGGAAAAAGGAATGAAGGGGCAAGGAGACGGTTGCAGCCTTGCGTCTGTACTTACCGCGCCGGGAGGCTGCTGCCGGCGGCGACCCGGAAGCGCTTCACCCAGCCTGAGCGGAAGAACCCACCAGAATCCGGGACTCACCAAACGCATGCGTCCTTCGTCTCCTTTTGTTTTCCCCGCTCCCGCCCACTAAACCGGATGTGACGTTGACCTACCTTAGTCACATTGTTAGGGAAGGAAGTGTGCCGCGCCTACCTATCTGCCCCGCCTTGAGTCTCAGCCAGTCGGCGTCTCCATCCTGGCGCCAGCACTACGGTCTCGTTTAACCACTGCCCCGTTTAACCCCTGCCCTTTTGTTGCCAGTCACCATTTGCTTGTTAACCCCTTCTGAAGAAGAGCTGACAGCAACCTTTTAGTGCGAGGGCCATTCGTCCTGCTGCATCCCAGAAAACTAATCTGTTACTACTTCAGAATTGCTGGTTGATGTTAGGCCCCTCCTATCTGTGCTCTCTCAGCTACAGTTTCCCGTTTGAGCATATTCATTCTTTTTTATTTTTGCTCTGAACAAAAATATTAGAGTTACAATATTACTATATTCCAGGCCTTGCTAGAAACTGGGGATAAATCTAGGAATATGGTCGCTTCCCTGGAAGACCTCACAGTCCAGGGAAGCCAAACCCTGCAGACATGCAGTAGACTTAGTGGTCTCTCTTAAGGTTGCTTGTTGAGTTTTGACATTGGAGATTATGTACAGACTTGAATGACTAGTTAGCCTCAGGCACAGCATTCTGTTGCTGGGGGAATCAGCTGCCCTCCTCAGGCCTGGGCCAAGTACACTTAGAGATCGCCCTCGTCACCTCTCCCATCCTTTGCTGATGCCTCTGTTCTAGTAACCTCTGACTCAGCTTCGCCTTTAGAGATACTCATGCTTTCTGGCAACAGAGGTCCTTCAAACCCAATTCCTATTAAACTCCATCACTTACCAGCCTCTTTCAGGGACAGCAGTTATCCGCATTTCCAGTACTGTCCTGGCCAGATGTGTGAGTTTTGGCAATTCCTTTTCCTCTCTCTGGACTCAGCTTCTTTGTCAACCAGCATCATAATCTCTGCCCAGCCTTCCTTCTATCCTGGGCTGATGTGAAGATTGGATAAGAATTGTTCAAGAGGTCGTGTACTGTGCATATTGAATGTGATTATATTGCCAAATAGCACTGTTTGTTATAGTTTTTCATTAAAGAGTAAACTTTGCCTCTTGGAAATGACTACCTTTTTCATTCATTCAACAAATACCTACTGAGTGCCTTAGTATATGTCCATCACTATTCTTAGTAGTGGGTATACAATAGTAAACAAAACAGACCAAAAAAGTCCCTCTTTTCATGCAGCCTTCATTCTGAGAGAGGTAAACAATAAAGAAGATAGATAAATAAAATATGTAGTTGTAAGATTGCAGTAAATAAGAGAAAAAATAAATCTGAGAAGTGGGAATAAAATATTTGCAGGGGAGGTGTTTTATTTCAGACTGGGGGGCCAAAGTCACTGGGAAGGTGACTTTTGAGTAAAGGTCTGAAGGAGCAGAGAGCCTTCTGATATTTGTGGAAGAGCATTTCAGAGAGAGAGAATACAAGTGCAGAGGGCCTAGAATGGCTTGGGCATAGTGTCCTCTAGGGAGAGTAATAGGTAGGAGATGAGGAGTTGGGGAGCCAGTGGAGGGTTGTGAGCACAGGGTCCACACAATCTGATTTACAGTTTAACTGAGTTACTCTGGCTGTTCTCCAAATAGACTGGGGTAGGGGAGACAATGGCAGAAGCAGGGAGACCATTTGGGAGCCTATTATGATAATCTAGAGGTAGTGGATGAGAAGTGGTTGAATTCTGAATTTATTTAGATGGTAGAGACTACAAGGTTTGCTAACAGATGGACAATGCCAGAATAAGAAAGGAGCCACGATTTTTGGGCTGAACGACTAGAAGATTGGTGTTGCCACTTTTTTGAGTTGGGAAGGAATGGGGAGGTGATGAGGGGTTTGGTTTTTTTTTGACAGGGAGCTTAGGTTTGAGTGTGTTGAGTCTGAGATGCCCATTAGAGTAGAGATGTTGGGGCGGCAGGAAGGCATATGAGTCTGCAGGTCAGGGCAGAGATCTGGGCTGGATAGATCATTTGGGAGTCATTGGCATGTAGATGGTGTTTAAAGTCATGAGACTGGATGAGATCACCAAGGGAGTGAATGTAGTTGGAAAATAGTTTCCTCCAATATTCAGAATTTGAGGAAACTAGGAAAAGCAGCAAACCAGATGGAGAAGGAAGGCCAAAAAGATAAGTAGAAAGCTGGGTGAGTTGATGGTATCTTGGAAGCCATGTAAAGAAAGGGTGGTAGGAGAAAATGGTTTACTGCAGCCTCATTCTGTACAAAATTGTGCTTTTGTTTATTTCCCCAACAGACCATGAGCTCCTTGAGGGCAGGGACTGAATGGTTACTATGTCCCCAGGGCCCAGCATGACCTTCTCCTGGATTCCTCATCTTCCTTCTGTGACCTGTGTCTCCATCAGTTTCTCCTCCGGCATCTTTTTCTTACAGGATTCTTACCTCAGGTACCATTTGCCCCGTCCTTCCTGATAATTCCGCCTGCTGGAAATTCCCTAGTAACAGAGTTTCTTTTCAGGGTCATCAGCCAGGCTCAGTAAGTAATGATGACTGGTTAGCTGGTGACATTTATTGAGTACCAACTGAGTGCCAGACACCTTTCTAGGCCCTGGGGACAGAGGGGAAGCAGAAATAATTCCTGCCCTAGAGAAAAATAGAGTATAGTGAGTACTAAGACAATTATAGACAATTATAGAGGAGGGTAATAAATGTTAAAATCAATGTATGTAGAGAATACATGAGAACACAGAGGAGGGATTGATGAATGGGTTCTGAACAAACTAAGTTTAGACTTTTGTTCCAGAAAAGGAAACATTTGAGTGGGCCTTGAGGGATGAGTAGGAGTTAAGCCCACTGGTAAATAAGTAGGAAAAGAGGGTGCACAAAGAGGCATATTTCATTCAAGGGCATGTTTGGAGAACATTGAGAATCTGGGCAGAACTAGATATGTGGAGTGGAGAAAGATGAGAAAGAATGATAGGGGACCCAGATAGGGAAGGTCTTTGGTGGCCCTATATGGAGTGGATGGGATGGGATCTGGGCATCTTGGGTCTCACCTTTGTCTTATTGCCGACTTGCTGGGGACCCCAGGTAGATGTCTCCCCATTCACAAGCTTCCGTGTTCTCTAACATAATATCTAACCATGTCGCCAGCTCTGATGTGAGTCCCTGGAAGGGATTCCCCTAGCTTGATCCTTTCCATTCTTAGATTTTTACATTTGCCTTATTTGTGATTTATACAAACCAGGGCCTAGGAATGGAAAGCAGGGTCAGGATGGAGATTTCTCAACAGAAATCAATAAATCCAGAGCCCAGAGGCTGAAGATGGAAACCATGATTCTATGCAGAGAATTCTCTAGGATCCAGGAAGGGCCAGAGTTGAGTGGTGTGAATTCAGTGCTAGTGAAAGCTGCTTACTCATTCCTTCCATAAACCTTGAGGAGCATGGCTGACCCTGGTAGGGGACAGGGGAGAATGTAACAGTCACAGTCACTACCTTTCATACATATGGAGGGATAGTTGGTCTCCAGAGAGTTTTCCCACTCATAGTCTCCACTTATCCTTAGCCCAGCCCTGGGGATTCTGCCTTCATTTAGCAGATGAGGAACCTGAGGCTCAGGAAAGTAAAGCGGCTTGTCTGAGTTGAAGCTACAACTCAAGAATGTCAAAATCTTGCATTGTTCCACAAATCTTCCTTATGGGCTGATATGTGCTTGCCGATGGGGACTCACAGAGGAATTCGATTTGAGTCCTAGTCCTCTGCAACTACCCAGTATGGTGTGGATACCAGACTAACGCAAGTCATTAGGCCCTTGAGGCCAGATCTCTGTGTGATTCATCTGTATTTCCCCGGCACCTTGCACAGTGTCTAGCACAGAGTAGCCACTCAACAAATGTTTATATAAGATGGGTTTTTTTCCTTGGGTCTAATGGAATTATAGTTCACGTGATGAATGGTATAACAGGGATAGGTTCTAAAAAGAGAAAAGTGGGAATGTTAAAAAGTGAAGAGCAGTGTGGGAGGGGAGGTGGAGAAGGCTCCTCAGAGAAGATGAGACCTTGCAAGAGGAGTTAGGAAAGAATATTCTAGTCAAGAGCAGACAGCATGTGCAGAAGTGCAGAGGCCTGAAAGGGTGTGGTGTGCCCAGGACATGGCATTGACCGAGGGCCTGTTGTGTGGCCATCGTGGTGATGTGCACTGTGAAAGAAACAGGACCAGGAGACAGTACCCTGTGCTCAAAGGACAAGGCACAGCCTTGGAGGAGGACAGGGACATGCTGAGAAAGGCTTCCTTGAGCAGGGGAGACTTCTGCTGGGTCATGAAGGATGCTTCATAGTTCGAGTCAGAGAGGAGGAAAGAGGAAACCTCCCAGGTGTGAGGGGCCTCCTTAGGCAGGGGCTGTGGTTGGAAGGAATAAGGAGAATGCCCAGGCAGGAGAGCATGGTGTGTGGAGGGCAGGCTGGTCGGGTGGGAGGGGCTGCAGAGCTCCACTGGGTGGGCTAGCTGAGGGAGTGCACCTTAGCGTGGAGTATAAGGCTTGTTCTGCCTCATGGTCACTCAACACCTCATTTATTTCCCATCATTGTGGCCTCCCTGGACCTGACTCTGAGTTTGGGATGGATAGATGCGTTGGAAGGGATCTCTGTGAATTATCTTCCAGTTCCCTAGAAAGCCAGCCCCAGGAGAGGTGCTCCAGCCAGGTCCCTATCTGCATGGTGGTTTTGCGTATGTTTGCTTACCACAAATATATGGTAAGGTTTCCTCACTAAGGTTTAATGGGCTAAGGTTTCCTCACTCTGACTACAGCAAAATAGATGCAAAGTTTGAAGAGAGGCCCTCTGCATTGGAGGCAAAGGCTGAGGAGACACAGACCTACACACACACACACCCCCCCTCACTTTCATGCAGAGGTGGTAGGCAGAATGAAGGCTCCCTGGAGATACCCATGTCCTAATCCTATGGTGTGTATCCTACCTGGCAAAAGGGACTTTGCAGATGTGATTAAGGTTAAGGACTTTCACATGGGGTGATTATCCAGGTGGGCCCAATCTATTTACATGAATCCTTAAAATCAGATAAAACTTTCCCAGCTGTGGTCAGAAAACAAGACGTGACAAGGAAGAAGCATCAGAGAGATTCTACATTGCTGACTTTGAAGATGGAGGAAAGGGCCATGAGCCAAGGAACACAGGTGGCCTCTAGAAGCTGGAAAAGGCAAGGAAACGGATTCTCCCCTAGGGCCTCCAGAAAGACCTACTGTCACCCTAATTTTTTTTTAATTTTTTAATTTTTTTGAGACAGTCTTGCTCTGTCCCCCAGGCTGGAGTGCAATAGTGGGATCTCGGCTCACTGCAACCTCTGCCTCCCAGGTTCAAGCGATTCTCCTGCCTCAGCCTCCCGAGTAGTTGAGATTACAGGCGCCCACCACCACACCCGGCTAATTTTTGTATTTTTAGTAGAGACGGGGTTTTGCCATGTTGGTCAGGCTGGTCTCGAACCCCTGACCTCAGGTGATCCGCCTGCCTCAGCCTCCCAAAGTGCTGGTGTGAGCCACCGCACCCGGCCCCTGACACCCTAAATTGAGACGCATGTTACACTTGTAACCTGCAGAACTGTAAGTTAATAAGCTTGTGTTGTTTGCTGGGCACAGTGGCACATTCCTGTAGTCCCAGCTACTCGGGAGGCTGTGATAGGTGTGTTACTGGATAGTGCTCTGTAATTTCAGGCTCTTGGTGTCCTGAACAAAGAACTGGACCAGACACACACAGATATTAAGCACAGTATTACACTCTTAGAGGGGGAGAGTGGACTGACCTCTGGCAGATGAGATCAACATTAGTTTTGTGTACTCTGGGTCTTTGTGTGTGTGTGTGTGTGTGTGTGTGTGTGTGTGTGTGTGTGTGTGTGTGTGTTCTCTTCCCAAGGCTGCCTAATCTCTAGCCAGTGTCTGCCTTTTTGATTGATAGATGTGTTGCTTAGTTACTTTGGCCCTTGTGTGTCACCTCCATCCCATAATTTTAAGTACATGAGTGATTTGCAGTCCATATGCATGAGCTTCAATGAGCTAATTACCAAACGGGGTCATTTTAAGGATACTTTTTCTCTTTAATGTGCATGCCCATCTCTGAGGAGCTGCCCGCAACAGGTTTGGTCCGGATTTAGCCCAGATGGGGGCTTCTTTTTCACTTTTGTTTTGGCTGTTCTGGTTTTTATCTCGCTTCTTGCTCACCTGCCCCTTCACCTGGCTTCTGCTCCCTGCTTTTACTCATTCTGCCCTTGATCCAAATTTTAATTCCCTTTGCTATTCTCCTGCTGTATTTTCCCTCTTCCCCTGCTTCAGGAGGATCGCTTGAACCCTGAAGTTTGGGACCAGCCTGGGCAACAGAGCGAGACCTTGTCTCAAAAATCAATTAATTAATTAATTTGTGTTGTTTTAAGCCACTTAGCTTGTGGTAGTTTGTTATGGCACCAACAGAAAACAAATGCACAGGTACACACGTATATCCTCCCACCCTGATAGACAACCACAGTCATACACGCTCAGGCAGATACAGGCAGGGAGACCCAGGAACATCAGCTGGCCCTAAGTGGGGGCTGGGGAGAAATGAAGCTTCAGGTGTGTGCTGCGGGGTGGGTGGTAAGGCCTGCTCCTTGGCTGGTGTGGAGAAACTTTGACCACATTTCTCAGTCTTAACTTTGCTCTGCTTCCTCTCAGTCCTTACGTCATACTTTTAGCAACCTTTACAACAACATTTTGTCCTAAACCCTGTTGCAAATACATGTATGAACCTCAAAGACTATATATTAAATGAAATAAGCCAGTCGCGAAAGGACAAATACTGTAGGATTCCACTTTTCTGAGGTTCCTGGAGAAGTCAAATTCAGAGACAGAAAATAGGATGGTGGTTTCCAGGGGCTGGGGAGTAGGGAGTTATTACTGTTTTGGTATTTTTTTGTTTTTACAGATATCCTGTTTCTACTTAAAGAGTTATTACCGTTGTCAAGCTGGGCATGGTGGCTCACGCCTGTAATCCCAGCACTTTGGGAGGCCGAAGTGGGCAGATCACGAGGTCAGGAGATCGAGACCACGCTGAAACCCCGTCTGTACTAAAAATACAAAAAATTAGCCGGGCGTGGTGGCGGGTGCCTGTAGTTCCATCTACTCGGGAGGCTGAGGCAGGAGAATGTCTTGAACCCGGGAGGCGGAGCTTGCAGTGATCCGAGATCGCCCACTGCACTCCAGCCTGGGCGACAGAGCCAGACTCCATCTCAAAAAAAAAAAAAGAGTTATTACCATTGACCATGAACAACACAGGTTTGAATTGCATGGGTCCACTAATATGTGGATTTTTTTCAATCACAGATAAAAAATACAGTATTCAGAGGTTGCGAAACCCACATATATGAAGGGTGGGACATCAGTATGTGTGGATTTGGGTATGGGGGGCTCCTGGAACCAATCCCCTACATCTGTTGAGGGAGGATTGTATTTAATGGATACAGTTTCAGCTGGGGAAGACAAAAAGTGTTCTGGATGAGCCTGGTCATGGTGGCTTATGCCTGTAATCCCACCATTTTGGGAGGCCGAGGTGGGAGGATTACTCGAGCACAGGAGCTCAAGACCAGCTTGGGCAACATGGCAAAACTCCATCTCTACCAAAAATACAAAAATTAGCCAGGTATAGTGGTGTGTGTCTGTGGTCCCAGCTACTTGGGAGGCTGAGGTGGGAGGATTGTTTGAGCCCAGGAGGTAGAGGTTGCAGTGAGACAAGATGGTGCCATTGCACTCCAGCCTGGGTGATAGAGCAAGACCCTGTCTAAAAAAAAAAAAAAAAAAAGAGTTCTGGATGGATTCACAACAATGTGAATGTACTTAATGTGAGTGTACTGAACTGGACATGTAAAAATTGTTAAAATGATAATTTTTATTATATGTATGTTGTCACAATTAAAAAAAAAAACAACTTGTAGATTAGGCACCATTTTGGAGAATGGGTTCGGGGGAGCCTCCAGTCGAACTTCCCCACTGCAGTGCAGCTGGAAACTCAGTAACTGGTTCTCTGACACCTCCCCGCCACTCCCACCCCAGTGCCACATATCCCCATCTCCATGCCCCACTCCAGTCCAGAGCCATCTATCGCCTGGGCTACTGCAATAACTGGCTAGCTTCCCGCCACACCACTTCAAACCATACGTGGCTGCCTAAAACCTTTCCCTGGCTTCCCATTGCTTTTAGCCTGTGAGTTGAAGTCCTTGCCAGGCAAGATCTGCCCCTGCCTTCCTGTCCACCCTCATCTAGAGCCAACCTCGTCCTTGCTTTCTGCACCCCAACCACACCCCAACAGTTTTGCAGATCTTCAGACCCACTAAAACATGTTCTGCCTCAGGGCCTTTGCACAATGCTCCCATTGCCTGGGACTCTGTCCTTCTTCTTTACTGGGTCAGCTCCCTCCATTTTGGTCTCAAGAGAGGTCCCCCCTGCAGATTAGCTCTGGTGCAAGGAGCACTCTTCCATAGCATCTTCTCTTTTCCTCATGGCATCTCACCTAATACATACACTCACACACACATTTATGTGTGTGTGTGTATATGTGTGTGTATATATATAAAACATATATTTTATATATAAAATATATGTTTTATATATATAAAATATATTTTATATATAAAAAATATTTTATATATATAAAACATATTTTTATATATATATATAAAATGTATGGTAAAATATATGTAACAAAAAATTTACAATTTTCACCTTTTTTTTTGGACACTGAGTTTCACTCTTGTTGCCCAGGCTGGAGTGCAATGGCGCGATCTTGGCTCACCACAACCTCCACCTCCTGGGTTCAAGTGATTCTCCCACCTCAGCTTCCCAAGTAGCTGGGATTACTACAGGCACGTGCCACCATGGCCTGGCTAATTTTGTATTTTTAGTAGAGACGGGGTTTCTCCATGTTGGTTGGGCTGGTCTCAAACTCCCGACCTCAGGTGATCTGCCCACCTCAGCCTCCCAAAGTGCTGGGATTACAGGCATGAGCCACTGCGCCCGGCCAATTTTAGCCATTTTTAAATGTACAGTTCAGTGGCATTAAGTACATTCACATTGTGTGTAACCATCACTACATCCATTCCCCAGAACTCTCATCTTTCCCAGCTGAAACTCTGTAATTAAACAGTAGCTCCCCACCCAGCCTCCCCAAGCCCCTGGCACCCACCATTCTACTTAGTCTCTATGAATTTTTACTACTCCAGGTACCTTAAATGGAATCATACAGTATTTTTCTTTTTGTAATTGGCTTATTTCACTTAGCATAATGTCTTCAAAGTTCATCTATGAAGCTGTTGTTGCATGTGTCAGAATTTTCTTCCTTTTTAAGGCTGGGTAATAGTCATTTGTACATATCACATGTTGCATATCCATTCATCTTTTGATAAACATTTGGATTGTTTCCACTTTTGGGCTATTGCAAATAGTACTGCTATAAAAATGATTGAACAAATACCACCTATTTTAACTATACATCTAATTGTGTGCTTATTCGTTTAAATTGTGCCTCTCTTCCTCATCTCTGGGCATCACAAGTGTTCACCAGCATATCCTCAGCACCCAGCACAGTACCTGGGCATCAGTATTCAACAAGTATCTGTTGAATGAATGAATGAGACACCAAAATATACCTACTGGACATATACAGTGTCTGTAGTGTGTAAGGAAGAGCAGAGGACTTGAATCTGGGGCCCAGCTCATTGATTCCTCATTGCGTGCTCTGACCTTGACCAAGGCCCTTCACCTTTGTAAACCAAAGAGTATCTGAGACAAATCTCAACCAATTTAGGAAGTTTGTTTTGCCAAGGCTAAGCATGCACCCATGACACAGCCTCAGGGCGTCCTGACAACATGTGCCCAAGGTGGTTGGGGCACAGCATGGTTTTATATATTTTAAGGAGACATGAGACATCAATCAATATATGTAAGATGTACATTGGTTCAGTCTGGAAAAGTGGAACAGCTTGAAGTGGGGGTGGGGGTCTTCCTGGTCATAGGTAGTTAAGAGATAACCATTTGCATTCTTTTGAGTTTCTGGTTAGCCTTTCCAAAGGAAGCAATCAGATATGATATGCTTTTATCTCAGTGAGCAGAGAGATGACTTTGAGTTCTGTCTATTCTTTGTCCACAAATTATGAGGAAGGTGTGTAGTTTTTTTTCTTTTTAATCTTAGTAGCTATTTTTCTTGGAATAGAATGTGAGGCAGGTTTGCCCTAAGCAGTTCTCAGCTTGACTATTCCGTTAGTAATTGACTTGGTCTTAGTAATTGACTTTTCCCATAGTAATTGACTTGCCCTTAGTAATTTTGGGGCCCTAAGATTTATTTTCCTTTCACACCTTCAAACCTCAGTTTCCCCATGTGTAATGTAGGGGCACTATCAGCCCCACAGAGTTCTTGTCAGGGTCAAACGAAACAATACATGTGATAAGGTTCGGCTTCTGACCCAAGGAACTGCTCAGTGACCTAATCTAGAGGCCTTGATCTAAGTACTGAGGGAGAGAGGAGGCTCCAACTGGGGGAGCTGACTGACTGGATTCGAATCCAGCCCAAGGTCTGTTACCCATCCTCTGGGGACCTTGGCTCTGTATTCATTTCCTGTAGCTGCTATAACAAATTACTACAAACTTCTTGGCTTAAACCACACAGATTTGTTATCTTTCAATTCTGAAGGTCAGAAGCCATAAATCAATGTGTCAGCAGGACTACATTCCTTGTGGAAGCTTCCAAGAACAATCAATTTCCTTGCCTTTTCCAGCTTCCAGAAGCCACCTGCATGCCTGGGCTGGTGGCCTCCCTTCCTTGTGTCCCTCTAACCTCTTGTTTCCACCTTTATGTGTCCTACTACTCTCTCTGAGCTCCTGCCTCCCTCGCATCAGGATTACATCAAGTCCATTCAGAAAATCCAGGATCATCTCCCCATCTCAAGACCCATTTCTTAATCACATTTGCAAAGTCCCTTTTGCCATATAAAGTAGCATTCAGATGTTCCAGAGATTAGGACGTGGACACAGGTACCATCTCTCTCCCATGTGGGCCTCAGTTTGCATTTTAGGAAAATAAGAGCATTGGTCATGCCCTGTCCTCCCTGTCACCCTTGCTCTGTGGAGTTCTACCTGAGGCAGGAATATTGGGTGGAGGCCAGAGGGTTGGGTCCTGCCTGCCTGACTACCCTAGCACCCAAATTCTCACAATCTTGTCACCAGCAGTTATAGCCCCAGGGCCTGGCTGTCCCCCAACCCGTGTTCCAGTGCCCCACTGTTCCCTTCCATTTCCTGGGTGCTTCTGATTCAGGACTTTTTCCTGGACCCTTCACTGGACTCACAAGAGGGGTGCCCTGTTTATTCAGTCCACCACGCTCAATCTCTTGCAGGAGGGAGCACATGAGTGAGTGAGTGCAGGATCTGGTTGGCTGATCCAGGTGCTGGCAGCAGCAAGCTCCATGCAGGGCCCTCGGCCAGTCTAGATGTGAGCGAGCAAGGGCAGGATCCAGCCGGCTGCTCTGGGCACTGGCAGGAGAAATCTCCATGTGGGGCCTGCGGCAGTGCCCAGGTGGGGGTGCCCATGACCCCTAAGCCCCAGAGGGAGTATTACAGTGCTCTCCTAGTTCTGCTGTCCATGGACGGTGGTGTGTTAGCAGCTCAGTTGGCCCCTTGCATCGTCTCATGGGGTGGTTGCCCTCTGCCAGCAAGGGCAAAGAGCCAGTGTGACAGCCTTTCTGGGTACCCACACTTGGTGGGTCCCGAGCCCTTGGCCAGTGTCCAAGAAGAATGAGGTTGTGCAGACAATTGAAGAATGATGAAGGTGGAGAATTTTATTAAGCAATGAAAACAGCTCTCAGCAGAAAGGGGAGCTGGAGAGGAAACAGGAAGGGCCAGTCATCTTCCCCCGAAGTCAGGCCATCTCTTCTGTAGTCCAGCCATCTCTTCCTCAAAGTCCGGTTGTCTCCTCGAAGTCCAGCCATCTTCCCATCTACTGACTGAGTCTGGGGCCTTTATATGCACAGGACGGGGAGTGCATGCTGATTGGTTTGTGAGTATGCAAAACAGGTTAAAGTGAAGACATCACTCAAAGATGGGCATGACAGTGTAGAAAACCAATTAGGAAAGGGTAAGTATATGTAAAATAGGTGAAGGGTGGGGATCAATCAGAGGAAAGCACAACAAATGGGAAGACAAGTCTTCAATCTGGTCTGAGGATTTAGCTTGTAGCTTGGCTTTCAGGCTTTAAACTGGCTTTGGCTTGGAAGTGGGGTTTCACCAGGGACCAGTCCCTATTTGCCTAGGCATTTGGCTGCCTCCTGTCCCTCTCATTTCCCCCTCTGAAGAGGTACAACTACCTGTTGTTAGAATAGGGACAAAGACAATCTTAACTACTTCCTGCTGACAGGGGATGCTGTTTTGAGCAAACAGCAATCAGAGCTCCCTCAGAGGCCTATCTAAGCGTCCCAGGTTAAAGGGAGCCATCATTCAAGGCTCTGTTCGGAATTTGATGGCCTCTAAGTGAGAAGAAACAGTTTGGGTTATTAGATGACATGGATCAAAATGGAACAACAAGGAGGTAAAGACAGCTCAAAAATCCCAAGTCTGCTGACATGCCCAGATAACTAGTGGCTATAGTTATGCCTGCTAAGATTTGGATGCATGGTGCTTGGCTTTGGTTTGCTCCCTTGTTTTCATTTTCCCAAAAAAACCTCCAGATTATGAGCACCACATCCTATTTACTCCTATCAGCTGCAGGATAATTGCCCAGAACTAGAATATTGATTCATATTTTTACATTACCCATCCCCTCTATTTCTTCTGAGCTACAACCAGAGATCACTAGTTGGTTCACAGGAATAAGCAGGATTAATCTAAAATGTAGGCAAAAGCTTAAAAACAACTGAAACTAGAATTTAATGACAAGTGTATGATAAATTTTGAAACATAATTTTTCTCTCTCCAGTCCTCATTTCTGTTAAAAATAAACCATGATAGGACTGAGTTGTTTGCAAAATAAACTTTAGTCTTATACTTGGCCTGGTCATTTGCATAAAGTGCAGCAAGAATAATCATTTTCACATAGGCTTTTAAAATTGGCTTTGATGGAACTCTGTTTCACAAGGAATCTCAGGTAGGACCTTTTAAAGCTGAGCTCAGCCATGGGTTTGTACCCTCAAATACCTATGAGTTGGGTAAATTCTTCTTTTCTTGAGGTCCCAGATAACACAGGGCTCTTGGGCCTGTTAGAAAATGACATTCTCTACTCACCACAGGTTAGGAACCCTGTCCAGGGACTGTGTAGACAAGGTATGAGGCCAGTTTTCCCAAGGGGATTTTATTGGCTCTGCAAGTCAAGCTTGATTCCCTAAAGGAAAGCATACCATTCCAGTCAAAACCTTGGTAAAATAACCGGTTTCTCCAGTTATATCCTGCTGCAAAAGAAAATAGATTCTTATTGCACTGATGCAAATAACTATATTGCCATAAGTTAAGAATATTTGCAAATAGTTTCCAAATTCTAGAGAAACCAGGCAGAGAGAAATATGCTCCAAATTTTCTTCACAGGAGTATACCTTACTCAATTGTTAAAAGCTGTAGATAGCTCAAAAGAAGTTTCCTTGACTCTGGAAAAAACAAAACAAGGATCAGCAATGTTTTAAGCAAAAAGTTAAAAAGGATTACTTCAGTTTTCTATTAGTTCAGTTTATTCAGTTAACTCTTGTTCTGCTTGATATTCAGGAGAATTTCAGCTCTTTATGACTCCTGTATGTTTTTCCTCTGTTCCAATGTCACAATCTCCAAAGTCATCAGAAACCTGCATTTGAGGGCACCTTTCAAAGTCCAATAGCTGTCCACAAATCATCTTTTGAAAAGGGTCAAAACAAGACAACAATTGTCTGTGAATGACAAAATATCCTTGGGTAGTCACAGTCAAAAACACAATTGACAAAGAAATTTGTTTTTTCTCTGTGGTTTACAATAACTTAACACAATAACCTTAATTATTACTGATAGCATATACTCAGACATTTGAGTTTTAGAAGGCCCATACAATTAGGCCGGGCACCATGGCTCATGCCTGTAATCCCAGCACTTTGGGAGGCCGAGGTGGGTGGATCATGAGGTCAAGAGATCTAGACCATCCTGGCCAACATAGTGAAACCCTGTCTCTACTAAAGTACAAAAATTAGCTGGGCATGGTGGCACATGCCTGTAGTCCCAGCTACTCGGGAGGCTGAGGGAGGAGAATCGCTTGAACCCTGGAGGCAGAGGTTGCAGTGAGCCAAGATTGTGCCACTGCACTCTAGCCTGGTAACAGCGCAAGACTCTTTCTCAAATAAATCCCATACAATTTTGGAACATATATTAATATTATTCACTAAAATATACCCTGAAGAAAGTCATACATTATTTTTATTTTGGCAATCCCATGTAACTAAATGTGTTAAATAATCCTGTTTACCTCTCTTTTGGATGCTCCAGGGGCCTTCAGTAGCATCCAAAAGTTAGGGGTTAGAAAAGACAACCTTGAACCTGAAGTTTGAATTTGGGAAGTCTATCAAACACATTAAAGATTTAAAACACTTATTATTTTGAAATAGAACTCCAGATCACCATAAGTTATTTATTTTAGCCAAAATGATGACTCAAAAATTTTAAAACAAGGCAAAAACCTTTCATTATCCTTTATTATTACATGAAAATCTTCTTCGAGAGAAAGTCAAATTTCACCCTTGCATGTAAATCCATTTTCAGTAGTCTCAATTACATGTTGTAATGGTAACTCTTAGCAATTTTTAATTTTAATGTAAAACCTGGTAAGTTTTTTTAATTATGTACTAGGCACAGATAAAGTCTGACTCTTTACAACATAGTTAATGGTGTGGTTAATCCATATGACCCCAGACCTTACCAAATTGTAAAGCTGGCAAGTCAAACAGTTCTCAAAAGCCAAAGAAGCAGTTTATAACCTTACAACATTTAGCAAACCTAGTATCTGACCTGCATACATTAGACCACATATTTTCATTTTGATAACATTTGTATTTTACCAATTATCTTCAAAATTGTTTTTCTTTCTCAAAGATTAAAGTCACATGAACTAAAAGGCAATACAGCTTTTGTTTTTCCTTCAAAAAATATTTGATCTAAGCACTTATTTTCTTTAAGCAAATTAGAGCTCTTTTTTTATATAAACATCACACACAAATAACACATATGTGATTACACAGACAGAAGATTCAGTAGTTGTAAGATTTTTCATTTGCCAATCTCCTAATTGGATTATTGGCCTCAGGGTGGAGCATTTCAAGAAGCAGAGCTAGGAAAGCATGCAGTTTCCAGGGCCTAATAAACAGGCATAGCTGGAAGACAAAAACAGATTTTGAAAGGGGTCTATCTGCTTTTAATTCCTGGGGTTCTATAAGAAAAACAGAGTTTTTTTTTTTTTTTCCAAAATGGGATCCGTGGTGACTTCTCTGTTTTTCCCAAGGTGTCTTATGCTCTCAGAAGTTATCTTAGGGCCTCTCATGCATGCGTTAAGAGTGACAAGACAAATTGGGGAAAAATAATTCAGTTGACTGAGAAAAAATTGTTTTGCAGAGAAACAAGATCCATGAAGAAAAAAACACAAAGGCCTTTTAAATATACCTATAGCTTGGATATCCACTTTTAATTAAGCTGAGCACTCTTTAAGATAACCCTTTTAAATCCCTTAGTACCCAACTTTAGCCATGCCAAGCCACGAATATTTCTGGCTTTTGAACTTTACCATTTCTTTCAACATTTTGCACAGGGAGAGAGAGGCCAGAGGCCCGACTGGCAGAAAACTTTTACCCTTCTGTCCACATGTTCACAATTCTTTCCCCTTCTCACTCCATCCTTATTCCACTCTCAGCCTTCCTCATCTCAGTAAATAGCCAAGCACTCCTCTCTAATTGCTCAGACCAACACACTCTGGAGTCATCCTAATTCCTCCCTTTCTCTCATGTCCTCCATCTCAGCAAATCCTATCAAAACATCCTTCAAAAGACATGACATTACTCCTCCCTTTTCACCACGTCCACTGCCACCACATAGCCCTGGTTCAAGTCATGGTTGCCTTAAGGCTGGGCCATTCACATAGACATCTGTGTCAATTGTTTGCTTTCCCTTGTCCCTAGAGTCAGATCAGATGCTGAACTGGAAAAAGCAAATAAAGTTTCCATTTCATTCAGAGTAAAATCCCCCATCTTTGCTGAGTCTGAACCACGGGGCCCTGAAGATCTGGCCTGGACCCCACACCTGCCGCTCCCAGCTCACTGCTGGCCACACTGGCCTCCTCCTCGCTGTTTGTTCCTGAAATGCACTGAGTACATTTTTGCTTCAGGGCCTTTGGACCTACGGGTCCCTCTGTCTGGAGCACTCCTTCCTCCATGTTCACATGACTCCCTTCTTACCTCATTATGGTATCAGCCCAAGCATCACCTCCTAGATCTTTCCTGTAGAAGATAGTAGCCCCTGCTTCATCACTCTCTGTCCCCTTAGCCTGCTTCAGTTTTCTTCAGAGCACAATCATCATCTTTATTTGTTTTCTGTCGTCTCTCTCTAACAACCTCCCACCCCCAAACTAGAATGTCAGCTCTATGACAGTAGGGACTTTTTCTTGGTCACTTCTGTAGCTCTAGAACCCAGAACAGCCTAGCACATGGTAGATGCCCAATAACTAATTCTGAGCTTAGTTTTTGAATGAATCCCCACTTCTACCCTCCTGGTCAAGGCACCATCATCCCAGGCCTGGACTTGTGAAACAGCTTTCTAACTGGTCTACCTTGCCCAATTCCAGCCTACACGTAATCCCATCTGAACACACCAAGACTGCCAATTGAACTGTGACATTCCCCTGCTTAAAACTCTTTCACTGTGACCAGTTGTAGAAACAACATTTTGTTTATCCATTTATCCATCCGTGGACACTTGGGTTGCTTTCAACTTTTAGCTATCGTGAATTAATGCTGCTGTGAATATGACTGCACAGATAGCTGTTTGCATCCCTGCTTTCAATTCTTTTGGGTGTGTGCGCACAAGAGGAATTGCTGGATCATATGGTAATTCTATGTTTAATTTTTTTTCACAGCATCTGGACCATTTTACATTCCCCCTCCACTAGATATGTTATTATATACAAAGGTGGACGGCTATACAAGGACATTCCCTACAGCATTGACTATAACAGTGAAATATGAGAAGCCACTTAAATTCAATAGAATAATGAAATAGAATCATATAGATCTATGTACACAGATAAGGGACCATCTATAGTACATTCTGTTAAGTAAAGCAAGCAAAGTGAGCTGGGCACAGTGGCTCATGCCTGTAATTCTAGCACTTTGGGAGGCTGAGGTGGGAGGATCACTTGAGCCCAAGACGTCAAGGCTGCTATGACCTATGATTATGCCACTGCACTCCAGCCTGGGTGACAGAGAGAGACCCTGTCAAAAAGAAAAAGAAAAAAGAAAAGAAATCAAAATGCAAGGGAATTAGGGGTTATTCTTCTTCCTGAGGACTGGTGCCATGGCATCCAGAGAAAGAACATTGGTGGGGATACTGATGAAAAAGAATAAAGTTTGTAGATTAGTTAAAAGTATTCCCTTAATGTTAATTTCCTGATTTTTTAAGTAATTGGGCTTTGGTTTTGTCAGATGCCAACATTTGGGGAAACTGGATGAAAGCATATGGGAAACCTCTTTACTACTTTTGCAATTTTTCTGTTAAGTCTAAAATTATCTCAAAACACTAAGTTAAGAAAATCAAATAAACTTGATGTCTTAAAACAATACCAATTAGGCTGGGCGCAGTGGCTCATGCCTGTAATCCTAGCAATTTGGGAGGCTGAAGTGGGCCGATAACCTGAGGTCGGGAGTTCGAGACCAGCCTGGCCAACATGGTGAATCCCCACCTCTACTGAAACTACAGAAATTAGCCTGGCATAGTGGCATGTGCCTATAATCCCAGCTACCTGGGAGGATGAGGCAGGAGAATCACTGGAACCGGAAGGCAGAGGCTGCAGTGAGCTGAGATCACACCACTGCACTCCAGCCTGGGGGACAGAGCAAGACTCTGTCTCAAAACAAAACAAAACAAAAACACAATACTTATTTACTTATACTTCAAGATTTTGTGAGTTTAATTATACTTCAAGATTTTGTGAGATTTTGCCCAAGAATTTGGGCAAGACTCATGATTGGCCCATCTTGGCCGGGCGTGGTGGCTCACCCCTGTAGTCCCAGTATTTTGGGAGGCCTAGGTTGGAGGATTGTTTGAGCCCAAGAGTTGAAGACCAGCCTGGGCAACATGGCGAAACCTCCTCTCTACAAAAATACAAAAATTAGCTGGGCGTGGTGGTGCGTGCCTGTAGTCCCAGATACTCAGGGAGGTTGAGGCTGCAGTGAGCCATGATGGTGCCACTGCACTCCAGCTGGGGTGACAGAGTGAGACCCTGTCTCCTAAAAATAAAAAATAAGGTAAAATAAAGATTGGCCCATCTACCCTCAACAGTTGCCTGGACTCCCTGGGGCTCAGTGCACCTAGATGCTGGACTCGGATAACCATCTGATCTTTGATGTAGTGGACAGACACTTTGTTCTTGCCATCATCTTTGGTACCTGAGATAGAAAGCCTTAAAGAGAGGCCACGCCCATGATTAAGTTTCAGGTCAAAACAACGAGCAAAAAGGCAACGGCTATAGTTGTAGGTGTAGCAAATCAGTGTGCCTTTTATCTAGAGGCTACTGAAAACCAGACATTCATTAAAGATATTCTGGTCACTTGGATGAAGGCTGGCCTTGGCATTCACCTGAATCTTTAGTAGAGTCTTTAGCACCATTGGCAACTCAGCCAGACCTGGCCTTGGCCACGATAGTGGAGCCTGGGATTGGAGGGCATGAATTTTATGAAGCCTGTAATATCAGAAATTCGTTGGTTGAGGACATACCTCTTTCTTTTTGGACCCTGTGGGCGTAATGCTATTGATACATGTGCAGAGGAGGAATTAATATGACTGTGATTGACAGAATAATTATGAAGTGCAAAGACCTCAGATCTGTGATCAGCTTCCATAGAAGTATTTGCTCAGAAGCTTCTCAGAAACATTCTCATGATTGAAGAAGCCTTGAAGAGCCCGTATTTCTGTCTATGAAATCTCCTGTTTATTGTACTATGAGGACCCATCAGAAAGTAACTGAGGTAGTGCTGATTTCCTGAGCAATTATTCAGTCCACTGTCTCAAATCCATCATGCAGAATGTTCACAGAGGGTAAAGTAAGTTTGACTATTATAACTACTCACTTTTATAAGTGATTTAATTTAAAGATTAATATGATAAGTACTCTGTTTTTCCTGGGAATTTTGTTGTAGAAAGAGTAACTGCTGTGTGGCTAAACTAAGGTTATAAGCCAAATTGTTTCCTCAGAGTTTAAGAAACACAATACTAACTCTCATGGGTTTACTAGTTGTCTGTTGCTGCATAACAAATCATTCCATAATTTTGTGGTGTATTGCTGCAGACAATGTTAAACTAAGTGGATGAAAAGGATATTCACATAGTCTCAGAGTGTCTCCCTACAAGGTAGGATTACTAACAAAGGGAAACTAATAATTATATAGTAAGGAAATCTCCTTAACCCAATAATCACCAGCAATAAGATGCAGCAACCCTCATCATGTACCTCTTGATATGATGCACTGACAAAAGCACCTCTCTTCTCTAATTTTCTTGCCAAAATGCATAAGCTCAAGCTAATTACAGGAAAATATAGACAAACCCAAATTGAGGGACATTCTGCAAAATAACTGAACAGTAATTCTCCAAAAGTGTCAAGGTCATAAAAGACAAAGACATTGAGGAACTGTCACAGATTGGAGGGAGACTAAGGGGACATGACAACTACATGCAACCTGGAATCATGGACTGAATCCTGGGCCAGAGAAAGGACATTGGGGGGGAAACTGGTGTAAAGGGCATAAAGCTTGTAGATTAGTTAACAGTATTGCCTCAATATTAATTTCCTGATTTTTTTAAGAACTGGGCTTTGGTTACATAAGATGCCAATATTTGGGGAAGTTGCATAAAAACATACGGGAAATCTTTTGACGATGTTTTGCAGTTTTTCTGCAAATCTAAAATTATTTCAAAACAAAAAGTTTAAAAATCAAATACACATAGTTGCTTGAAATAGTAACTATTTTATTATATTCCAAGATGTTGTGAGTCAGGAATTTGGCCAAAACTCAGGTGGGCGATTCTTCTGCAAAGACCCCCACAACACATTCAAAGTCACAGGCAGAGGTTGTTGGGGGAGGGCATTGAAAAGAAGAGAAGAGTCATAGGTGGGTGCAATGGAGGGAGGGCAGAGGGCTGCTGACTATGGTGCAGGACTCATCCATAATGGAGCCCTGGGGAGGCAAGGGCTTCATAACTAGACACTGGTCTTGTCACCTCAGACTCACCTGTAGCAGGACCAGATACTGAGGTCAGACTGAAAACACAGGCTCTGCCTCAGGAGAGGCTCTCTACTAGCTGAGTAAATGATGACAGTATTGGAAATGTTCCCAACATCATAATGGGAAAACATCACTTCACACTACATAAGCAATACACAGGGGCAGTGCCGGTCGTCTTCCCAGGTTAGTAGCAGTTCTACTGCCTCCAAGAGTGTTGGAGAAATACAAACCAAGCATTAGGCACTTTTAACTTGAAAACATGAAGTTCTCTTTCCTAACTTTCTTTGTTTCCTTATTTCTTCTTCTTCTTCTTCTCCTTCTTCTTCTTCTTCTTCTTCTTCTTCTTCTTCTTCTTCTTCTTCTTCCTCTTCTTCTTCTTCTTCTTCTTTCTTCTTCTTCTCCTTCTCCTTTTCCTTCTTCTTTTTTTGCTGAGACAGGGTCTCACTCTGACAGTACAGTGGTGCCATCACAGCTCACTGCAGCCTCGACCTCCAGGGCTCAAGCAATCCTCCCAGCTCACCCTCCCAAATGGCTGAAACTACAAGCTCGCACCACCATACGTGGCTAATTTTTCTATTTTTGTGTGCAGATGAAGTTTTCCTATGTTGCCCAAGTGGTCTCAAACTCCTGGGATCAAGTGATCCATCCACCTCAACCTCCCAAAACGCTGGGATTACAGGTGTAAGCCACCACACCCAGCCCACTAACTTTTTTATATCGGCTAATGAAATAGTTTTAAGTTTAGACCCTACGAGGCATAAAGAAATAATTTTAGTTATGTTATCAGATGTACAGTAATACTCAAGTGTGCAACTGTGGATAACTTGAGTTCATGAGGTTTTTGTTTTTTTGTCAAAAGAATAAATTTATAGTGAAACTACCCAAAAAAGCAAAGTACAGAACAGTATGCTACCATTTGTGCACAGAAATGGGATATATATGGTGTAACTGCATCGAATTTACTGGATGTATGTCCAGGGACCAGAACTCTTGGTGGCTTCATGTTCATACTTTTGCAAGCACATGTGTAGTATCCTTAACTTAAAGGTACTGTTGTATACATTCTAGTGTTATCAAAATTTACATACATATTATCAAGTCAGAGAGGTCATTCTGTGTCTTAGTATTTTCACTTCATATTTGGTATATTTATGTATGTATACACACATACCTATATGTATTTAAATAAGATTTATAGTCACATGGTCCAAAAATCAAAACAATGTGGAAAGGTTTACAGAGAAAAGTCTCAAGCCTAATCCTGTTCTCTACTGCCAGGTGACCATGTTATTAATTTCTTTTCATACCTTGCCACAGAATTTTCACCTGCAAACACAGATATTCTTTTCTTTTTTAATGACAGAGTCACGTTCTGTTATCCAGGCTGGAGTGCAGTGGCGTGATCTTGGCTCACTGCAAACTCCTCCCGGGTTCAAGTGATTCTCCTGTCTCAGCCTCCTGAGTAGCTGGGATTACAGGCATGTGCCACCACACCCAGCTAATTTTTGTATTTTTAGTACAGATGGGGTTTTATCATATTGACCAGGCTGATGTCGAACTCCTGACCTCAAGTGATCCGCCTGCCTCGGCCTCCCACAGTGCTGGGATTACAGGCGTGAGCCACCACGCCCAGTCAACACAGACATTCTTACTCCTTTTTTACAGAGAATTTATTATTATTATTTTTTACATAGCATTTTTCTGCACCTTTCTTTTTCCACTTAACAATGCACTTGAAGATTTTTCCATATTTGTACATCAGGAGCTTTCTCTTTCTTTGTTACCACATTAAATTCCACTGGGTAGATGTACCATAATTTAACTGGGTCCTTATTGAAAGACAATTGAGCTGTCTCCTAGACAAAGCCTTGTGCACCTTCCCGAACAGAGGGTCTAACCAAGCAGGCAGGATGGGGTTATAAAGTAGGTGGGGAGGTGGGAGAGACTCCACCTTCCCAGGTGGGCTGAGAATGGAGGTAAGGCCCTGCAACAGGACAGAGGGAAAAGTGGGGATGAGAGGTGGGAGGCGAGATAGCGCCCACTGTTCTCGCTCAGCCCCCTCCTCCGTTTGCCGCTGACCTGTTGGCCTCCCCCAACCTCTGAGCCTGCCTCTGCCTAGGTAATTTCCCAAGACCCAGAAGGGGTGAAGGGTGAGGTGTGATTGCCCCCACCTCCTTGCCTCCCGCAGCATCTGCTCCGGGACCATGAACAATAGCTGACAGCTCCATGGCCCTTGCTGTCCCCATCTCAGCTTCCCTGGGCATCTAAACCTCAGCTGCCATGGGGTAGGAGGACAGGCTGAGGAAGCAGAAGCCTGAGGCTGTCTAGAGTCTCACTCCTGCATCAGCAGGCCACCACCTGTGGTTCCTCCTTGTGCAAATTTGAAAAGAATTGCATAAAACACTGGAGAAATCCAAGAGGGGAAGTCCACAAGGGCGGTGGCTCCCTACAAGGTCACAGAGCAAGCTGGTGTCAGAGCCTGGACCTACAGCGCTGTTGGTGGAGGTCCTGCCTCCAGGTAGGGGAAGGGCTCCCTCTCACCTCTACACGCAGCGCATTTCTTGGCTCAGCTGCCCTGTAGGGGATGCAGGGTGGGGACAGCAGAGATCTGGGCCTGGGAGGGAGAGAGTACACAATCACATGGCTGTTGCCCCTGTCTCAGGCCTTGTCTACCTCTGACTGTGGCTCTCTGGCAGGAATAGATGGACATGGCCTGGCAGATGATGCAGCTGCTGCTTCTGGCTTTGGTGACTGCTGCGGGGAGTGCCCAGCCCAGGAGTGCGCGGGCCAGGACGGACCTGCTCAATGTCTGCATGAACGCCAAGCACCACAAGACACAGCCCAGCCCCGAGGACGAGCTGTATGGCCAGGTGAGGGCAGCCTGGTGTAGGACAGCATGCACACAGGTCAGAGGGTGATGGCACGAGCAATGGCAGGTCCAGTGTGGTCAGAACCAAGGGTGCCGCTGCTGACAAGGAAGGGGAGGGGCGGCCAGGGCCACCATGCCACAGGTAAGGCCACTGAGGCAGCTTGGGGAATATGAGCTCCAATTTGAACTCCAGGCTCAGGAGTGTGCTTGTATTTCATTCCTCTGGTCTCCTGGCCTGCTCCCTACAAGGTTTCACATTCCCAGAGGGCTGGGGATGTGCCTAGGGAGAGACTGTGGCGTGGACACAATCTGTGGGTTAAAGCGAAGACAGGACAGCCTGGAAGCCCCATGACATCTGAGTCACTCCCAACATTCCATTTGCTTATTTTTAAATCGGGGTTAAAAAAAAAAAACAAATACATAACATACATTTTCCACTTTAGCCATTTTTAACTGTACGGTTCAGTGGCATTAGGTATGCTCATGTGGTTGTGCAACCATCACCACCATCCATCTCCTGACCTCTTTCATTCTCCAAAACTGAAATGGAAACTCTGTGCCCACCACTTCATTTGCTTTTCAGAACCTTCTAGAGCACATCCTCCTTGCCAGGAAATGGTGTGGATGTAGACCTTTGAGAGAGACAGATGACTATCATTCTCAGGGCCATGAGCTATATGAGAGTGATGATATTTGTTGAGCCCTTACTATAGCAAGGGAGTTCTTCTCATTGTACTCAGTAACTCTTTTGGAGGCAACAACCCTTGACCCTGACAGGCAGGACCCATGTCTGCCAAACCCTAAGACCCATGATGTGCAAGGGGTCTTGCAGGAAGACCAAGAGTTGGAACATCCAAGGAAAAGCAAGTGTGAAGTCGGGCTGGCAGGGAAGCATGTTCTGTGTCAGCCGGCACTGGGCGTGGGCCAGGGTGTGGGAGGTGGGTAGGTCTGGCTCCCCTCCCATGGATTTCCCTATTGTTTCTCCTGGGTGCTCAGGCCTGTCACGCCTCTGCCATCACTTGACCCTAGGTGCAAGGGTTCAGCCCAGAAATTTTATGCAATTGATTCATGATTTCTCAGGTTTTCTGAGTCCTGGCCTAGAGTGACTTCCCAAGAAAAAACTCCACCATTTCTGCTTGTCTTACCTGCCTTGTATTTACCTTTCTAGGATTGCCTTTTCCACATTTAGTCAAGTCTAGGTTCAGACCCACGTGCAGGCTATAGCTCCTTCGTTCTCCACCACTCTCAGGATCTATCTAGAGTCTCCCCACCTGGACCTCCAGACCCTGGGAGAGCCAGACCAGCCCCTTGACCTCCACCCTCCCCCACAACCTGGGCCAGGTTCCTCTCCTCCCTGTCCTCAGTTATAATTTTTTTTTTTTTTAATTTGAGGCAGAGTTTCGCTCTTGTTGCCCAGGCTGGAATGCAATGGCATGATCTTGGCTCACTGCAACCTCTGCCTCCTGGGTTCAAGTGATTCTCCTGCCTCTGCCTCCTGAGTAGCTGGGATTACAGGCGCCTACCACTGTGCCTGGCTAATTTTTTGGTATTTTTAGTAGAGACAGGGTTTCTCTGTGTTGGTCAGGCTGGTCTCGAACTTCTAACCTCAGGTGATCCGCCCGCCTCCTTAAATCTTAACCTCACTGTTTACCATGGGTGTAGCTTACTTAAACTCTGTAAAAATGGGGGTAAGGATTCGTACTGGGTTGTTGAGAGGATAAAGCGCAAAAGCCTCAGGGACTTTGCACCTATGGTTTTCTATGCCTAGAGTGTTCTTTGTCTCCCTTCTACACACAGCCCACCCACCCACTAAAACCATACCCTCCCTGAGGGTAGAGGTGTTATTTGTTTTCTTCACTGTGGTGTTCCTAGGACCTAGCACAGTGCCTGATGTATAATCAGCACTCAGTTAATATTGGCTGGATGCAAAATGAATAATATAAATAAGCTGAATAACATGAAATAGGCCGAACGCGGTGACTCACGCCTGTAATCCCAACACTTTGGGAGGCCAAGGAGGGTGGATCACCTGAGGTCAGGAGTTCGAGACCAGCCTGGCAAACATGGTGAACCCCCGTCTCTACTAAAAATACAAAATTAGCTGGGCATGGTGGCACGTGCCTGTAATCCCAGCTACTTGGGAGGCTGAGGCAGGAGAATTGCTTGAACCCGGGAGGTGGAGGTTGCAGTGAGCCAAGATCACGCCACTGCACTCCAGTCTGGGCAACAGGAGCGAAACTCTGTCTCAAAAAAAAGTTAGTTTAATAACATGAGATCACTTTTTAAACCGTTAAGAGCTGTACTACTAATAATTACTCTCTCAGACAGTGGCTCTCCCTCATCTCCTATATCCCGTGGATTACCCTCTGTTAAAAGCCAAAATTAAGCAGGCATGGTGGCTCACGCCTCTAATCTTAGTATTTTGGGAAGCTGACATGAGCCAAGGAGTTTGAGACCAGCCTAGGCAACATAGTGAGACCCCATCTCTACAAAAATACTTTATATTAGCCAGGCATGGTGGCATGTGCCTGAATTCCAGCTCCTCGGGAGGCTGAGGTGGGAGGATTATTTGAGCCCAGGATGTTGAGGCTGCAGTGAGCTATGATCACACCACTGCGCTCCAGCCTGGTCAACAGAGCAAGACCCTGTCTCAAATAAATAAATGAATAAATAGGGCGGAAAGCACCAATATTGTAATTGCCTCCGTCCCCAGGTGGGAGCTCCTCAAGGGCCCTCCCCAGGAAGTGTTCCTCTGGATGACCTACCTGGGGCAGAGGAGCCAGAATATGGAGGAGATGGCTGTGGTGGGGAGAGACTTAGTCCTGTGTCTTCCCCACCCAGTGCAGTCCCTGGAAGAAGAATGCCTGCTGCACGGCCAGCACCAGCCAGGAGCTGCACAAGGACACCTCCCGCCTGTACAACTTTAACTGGGATCACTGTGGTAAGATGGAACCCACCTGCAAGCGCCACTTTATCCAGGACAGCTGTCTCTATGAGTGCTCACCCAACCTGGGGCCCTGGATCCGGCAGGTATGAGTGCTGTTCCCACAAACATTAACCTCAGCAGAGGGCGGAGCCTGCCAGTTGCTGGCAGGGAGGGCTTGGTCCAGGAATTCGGGTCTGAGGGTGGTGGACGCCCTGCCCCCTCCCACAGCTCTGGTCCCCTTCAAGGGTAAAGCTGCTGAGATACGTGGCTGACAGGAGTATTCTGTCTCCTCCCCACTCAGGTCAACCAGAGCTGGCGCAAAGAGCGCATTCTGAACGTGCCCCTGTGCAAAGAGGACTGTGAGCGCTGGTGGGAGGACTGTCGCACCTCCTACACCTGCAAAAGCAACTGGCACAAAGGCTGGAATTGGACCTCAGGTGAGGACCTGAGGAGATAAGATGAGGAGTGGGAGTGGGGCTTTGGGGTTGGGAGGGGTGCGGTCTGGCCCAGAAGCTAAGGGTCTTACGTTCTCCTCCCTCAGGGATTAATGAGTGTCCGGCCGGGGCCCTCTGCAGCACCTTTGAGTCCTACTTCCCCACTCCAGCCGCCCTTTGTGAAGGCCTCTGGAGCCACTCCTTCAAGGTCAGCAACTATAGTCGAGGGAGCGGCCGCTGCATCCAGATGTGGTTTGACTCAGCCCAGGGCAACCCCAATGAGGAGGTGGCCAAGTTCTATGCTGCGGCCATGAATGCTGGGGCCCCGTCTCGTGGGATTATTGATTCCTGATCCAAGAAGGGTCCTCTGGGGTTCTTCCAACAACCTATTCTAATAGACAAATCCACATGTGTCTTGTGTCTTGTAATTTCGGGACGAGTGGGTTGGAGGGACACATTGCTTCATCTTTTCCATTGACAGGCCCCAAATTGGGCTGGAACTAGCCTAATGTTCACTGGGAAGGAGGGTGTGGGGGTTGAGCTAGAATCCAGGTATCTGATCCGTTAGTCTGGGTCTCTTACCCCTGCACTGGCTTCCCCCTCATGCCAAGCTCATCCCACCGGCACTACACATGGAGAAAGACACAGACGGAGTGAAGAAGGGCAGAGATAGCCGATGAGTTATTGGGCTTCAAGTTGGGAAGAGAGTTTCTTTAGTGATGTGGGCTGGGTGGAGATATTGGTGGGGAGGAGGGTCTTGATGAACACTTGCCTTGTTTCCATTTATTTATTTATTTATTTATTTATTTATTTATTTATTTGCGACAGGAATCTTGATATATTGCCCAGGCTGGTCTTGAACTCCTGTGCCCAGACAATACTCCCTCCTTGGCCTCCCAGAGTGCTGGGATTATAGGCATGAGTCACTGTACCTGACCTGCTTTTTAAAAAAAAATGACAACTAATGTTGCAATTAACAATCTTTTACTTAGTGGAATGTTATACTTAAATTCCAGAAAGGATTATTGGGTCAAGAGTACATATAATTTTGAGAGTTACAACTTTATGGGGGTTGTATCAATGTGCCTCCCCCACCAGCAAAGTATGAGAGTGCCTCTTTCTCCACTGGGTGTGATGGCTCATGTCTGTGATCCCAGCAGTTTGGGAGGCTGAGGCAGGAGAATCTCTTGAGCCCAGGAGTTCAATATCAGCCTGGGCAACATGGTGAAACCCCAACTCTACAAAAAACTAAAAAATCAGCTGGGCATGGTGGTGTGTGCCTGTAGTCCCAACTACTAGGGAGGCTGAGGTGAGAGAATCGCTTGACTCCCAGCAGGCTGCGGTTACAGTAAGCTATGATCATGCCACTGCACTCCAGCCTGGGCAACAGGGCAAGACATTGTCTCAAAAAAAAAAAAAAAAAAAGAGAGAGAGAGAGAGTGCCTGTTTCTCCACAACCTTGTCAACCCACTATGCCATTAAACTTTGGTTTTCTGCTCATCTTACAGGTGGGGAAAGGGCAGCTCAGTGCAGTTTTCATCTGCCATTGTTCTGAGATCTTTCCATATTGACCTATTGATATGTTAAATTACCAGGTAGTAATCCATTCTAGGTGTACATTACATTGAATTCAGTCTCCTACTGATGGGCATTGGAAGGAATGGGGTTCTTTTATGATCCTGACATTGCTGAAAGCCACAGGCCAGTTATTTAGTAGAATACTCCTCCATTTGGGTTTGTCTGTTTCCTCATGATTCATTGAGGTTATGCGTTTTGGGCACAAATACCCTACATGGTTATCCCGTGCATCATAATGGGAGGCATGTGGTGTGGGGTTTGCTCATTCCTGGTGACGTTAACTTTGATCTTTTTCTTGAGATTGTGTCTGCCAGGTTTCTCCACTACACTTTCCCCTTTGTAACTAGCAAATATGTTGTAGAGAGAGACTGGAGAACTAGAGATACTCTATTCATCAGCACACTTCCACCTATATGTTCTAGTAGCTGATGGACCTTAAACATGTCTTACTATGTTACAGCTCTTTCACCAACCCTTCAATACTTTTCAGTGGTATCAACTGTAAAAACCAAACTTCTTCACAATAGCACAGAAGACCATGCCCCTCCTTTGAGCCCTCAAGCCAAATCTCTCCCACACCACCCCATAAATGAGCTCCAGTCACATTTCTCATGTTGGGGGTCTTTGCTCCAGCAACTCTTTCTCTGCATGCCTGAAATGTTCTTCATTAATCCTCTGCAGCCTAGCACTTTGTGGCCACTTAGATCACAACCTACAATCCCCCCCTAAAATGACTTCTGACCACTCAAACTGACAAACCCACCCAGCTGATTTCTCATCACACTACTCTATGTCCTTGTGCAGATTTTTATCTACTGTGTTTGTTGTCAGCCTTTTCCCTAACAAAACATACTCTCCCGAAAGCAGGGTTGTGTCTGTGTCATTTTATGCTACATCCCCAGGGTCTGGGTCAGTGCCTGGCACCGAGAATGTGCTCAGTAAGTTAAGGAATCGCTGCATCCATTCTGTCAGTCAACAATTCCTTCTGAGCATCCAGTCCACTGGCCCATGCTGGTCTCAGCCAACAGAAAGGGAATTGAGTTCCTTGCAAGGTCTGGTGGGGACAGACAGTTCTGAGAACCAGTGACTCTTAGAACAAGGAGATGAGGCTTTCACAGAGGGAAGCACAGAGTGTGGTATTATTCTGCTGAAGCCCAAAGAGGTCAGGGAAGGATTCCAAAGGAGTAATGTTTGCCAAGCACAAAACAGCACAGGGAATGGCATTCCATGGACAGGTCTCAGCAAGTGCAAAGGCTTAGAGGTAATAGAAGTGCAAGCAGAATTCCAGGGTGGCTAAGAGAGGTTGTGTGGGGAATGGGCAGCAGTTAAGGCCAAAGAAGAAACACTGGATCTGCATTCCTTAGGACGGTGCCCTGTGGGCCCCTCACAGAGCTTCTCTCCTGCAACTGCTAGGTATAAGAAGGCAGGCTTAGAATCGGACTGAGATCAGTAGTTTCTGCAGCTGGGAAGATGAGTGAGGTGAGATTGCATGTGTGATAGGCTGGCACTCAGGGAAGACCTCAGGGTTCTCTCCTCCCCACTCTGAGGCCCCTCTCCTGCTTCCTGAAGCCCAGAGTCTCCACCTCTGTGAGCCAAACACCTTCCTGTTATCTGCCTGGTCCTAGGGTAGCCTTCGGGTTGGGGTTAGAAGGAATGCCAATGGTTAACCTTGTGGTATTAAGCTTCCAGCTCAGGCAGATACTCTCTGGACTGGTTCAAGCTGACTGCCTGACTGTCCCTCCCTGCTGGCCCTAGCACCCAGACTCCAGATAGGCACACCACCTCACCCTTCAGAGCAGGGCTCTGAGACTCCACAAGTGGTGAGGACTTACCAGAGGAACTGAACTTGACCTCCAACCCAACCTTCCATTTGCTGGTATTATTCTGAAGCCCTCATGGCCCAGGGGCCTGCCTCAGGTAGCAGGTCTCACTCCTGCAGTGGAGGGGCCATAAAGTTCAGTTCATGATCAGCCCCCAAGCCAGGGGCAGCGGATGACAGGGCAGGAGTTCCATCTAGAGGAGCTCCTGTGTTCAGGCGTTCCTAGACACCTGCCTGCCCTTCTCCCATCAGCACTGGGGTATAAAGAAGGAAAGAGGCCTGAGGTTTCCAGAGGCCTCTACCTGCTGAGGTCTTAAGAGGACTCAACCCTCTGGGAAATACAAATAAAATCCTCAACCCTCCAAACAACTGAATGGACACCTCTTGGCCAAAGAGACCCCGGAAAAACTTTAAAATCCAAGTTTCCTGGCCGTGATGATAGGTCACTCACACCTCAGCACACCTGCTTCCTCACGAACCGTTACCAGGCTTCTTTCCCAAGAGCTAAACAGAAACCAGCCCTGAAAACCAAGAACAGGAGACTCCTTCACTGATTTCAATTTCAACCAATTCCGAGACTCCCTTCCCTTTCCTGATTTTGACATGACAGCTGATCAGCTTACAAAACATTCCTGGCTGATCAATGACTCTCAACCATGGACCAGTTCTGGCTGGTTTACAGAGGCAGCACACAAAGTGCTTTGGGTCCTGTGTTTCACATTTTGACATACAGAGCCTAATTCAACTGCATTTTAATGTCTCCACCCCGAAGTGAATATGGGACATATTTAACATGTTTTATTGGTACACATGTGTGCAACTCTCATGAATATTCATAAATCCTCTTAAAACTTATTAAATATATATGTTTAGCCAACTGATTTAGTGTAAAACCCCTGTCCCTTCAATTCCTAGCTTGTAGGTTGCAACCCATCAAAAGAAATAAAGCTCTCTTTTCCAAATGTAAAGATCTTATGATTTTAAGCCAATATAATTGAAGACAAGAGTAGGATCCATGGAGCAGCCCAGGTTCCCCCAGCCTAAGTGAATGCACAGGTGCCAGGTGGAGCCATTGACAGCTCATTTGTCTCCCTGACAGCTTTGGGAGGAAGGTGGGTAAGCTCTCCCCGATCTAAGATCTCTCACTTTTGAATTGAGATCTCGAGGACTTCATTTTTTTACCCTGATCCCCTCCATCCGGACCCTGCAAGTGCCATCTTTGTTGGTCCCAGGTTTCTAGATGGGGAGGTTGGGGGCAGTTAAGCCTGACTCATCCGGCGCATCAGCCCATCAGGTTTGGTGAGGATGCTTGCCCTCTAGTGGCACACGAAGGAATGTCTTATGCTTTTCTGGGGAATCTAGATTCTAAGGAGACAGTCCCAGACCAGCTGCCATCAGGAACATGCATGTTTCAGAATTATGAGAAAAAGTCTTGTGAATATTTTGGATCCTGGAAAAAAGCTAACCTGGAACAATATAAAGATTTATAGGCCAAAATGGAGAACTTTTGGCAGAATGTCTGACATGCCTAAATTAGTTTATTTGCATGCACAATAGGGTTCAGGACCTCTCAGAAGCAATGGGAGGTCTTTTTTTTTTTTTTTTTTTTGAGACAGAGTCTCACTCTGTCATGGGGAGTGGAGTGGAGTGGCACGAACATGGCTCACTGCAGCCTCGACCTCCCAGGCTCAATCATCCTCCCACCTCTGCCTCTCAAGTAGCTGGGATTATAGGCATGCACCACCACACCCCACTAATTTCTTTATTTTCAATTTTTAATTTTTTATAGACCATGCTGGTCTCAAATTCCTGGACTCAAGGAATCCTCCCACGGGAGACCATTTTTCAGTGTTATTATGAGAGCTCTAAACACAGTTGGGAGTCTCAGATAACCTCCTTAAATGAGACTAATTCAAAACTGAAGGAGTCTAATTCAAAACTTGACCAGCATATTCAAACCTATCTGCCACTATTGGACAGGTAGCTGAAGACACTGCAAAAAGCCTTATAGCCCAACAAATTGAATTCCCTGGCTCAAGTAGTAATAGATAATTTAATTGCTTCAGATTTTCTTTTACCCAAACAAGGAAGAGTCTGTGCAGTGGCCCATAACACCTGTTGCACTTACATCAACACTTCAGGTGAAGTAGAAACTCATATAGGGTTGGGCACAGTGGCTCACACCTATAATCCCAGCACTTTGGGAGGCTGGGGAGGGAGGATTGCTTGAGCTCAGGAGTTTGAGACCAGCCTGAGCAACATGGTGAAACCCTATCTCTACAAAAACTGCAAAAATTAACCAGGCATGGTGGCACATGCCTGTAATCCCAGCTATTTGGGAGGCTGAGGCAAGAGGATCACTTGGGCCTGGGAGGCATAGGTTGCAGTTAGCCTAGATCACGCAATTGCATTCCAAACTGATAAAGCAAGACTCTGTCTCAAAAAAAAAAAAAGAAGAAAAACTCATACAGAAAGAATTTCCAAACAAGCTAAATGATTACAAGAAATAAAACTACTGATCCTATCAATGATCTGTTCAGTTGGCTTTCTACCAAACAGAAATTCCTTTCAAGATGCTATTGAAGGCTGGGCGTGGCGGCTCATGCCTGTAATCCCAACACTCTGGGAGGCTGAGGCGGGTGGATCATCTGAGGTCAGGAGTTTGTGACCAGCTTGGCCAACATGGTGAAACCCCGTCTCTACTGAAAAATACAAAAAATTAGCTGGGTGTGGTGGCGACACCTGTAATCCCAGCTACTTGGGAGGCTGAGGCAGGAGAATCGCTTGAACCTGCTAGGCGGAGATTGCAGTGAACCGAGATCACGCCACTGCACTCCAGCCTGGGTGAGAGTGAGACTCCATCTCAAAAAAAAAAAAAAAAAAAAAAGGTGCTATTGAAGTTTTTGTTATAATTATAGTCTCCATCAAACTTTTCTTCATAACATTTAAATTACTTATAATATGGGACAGGCATGGGGGCTCAAGCCTGTAATCCCAGCACTTTGGGAGGTGGGCAGATCATTTGAGGTCAGGAGTTCAAGACCAGCTTGGCCAACATGGCGAAACACTGTCTTTACTAAAAATACAAAAATTAGCCGGGCATGGTGGCATGTGCCTGTAATCCTAGCTACTCGGGAGGCTGAGGCAGGAGAATTGCTTGAACCTGGGAGGCGGAGGTTGCAGTGAGCCGAGATCACACCACTGCACTCCAGCCTCGGCAACAGAGGGATACTCTATCTAAAAAGTAAATATAAATAAATAAATAACTTATAATATGTATAACCAACTGCTGTAAGTCTGCTGCTAAAACCAGAATTATGCTGGCTCAATGCATAGAACTTATAGACAAGTTAAATTGGTAGCCCTACCTTTTGGCCTTTATATTGCTTGATAGACCTTAGGGGTTGATGAGTACCTGCCCACCTCTATTTCTGTCTGGCCAAGATGTTCAATTGGCTGTAAGTCTCTTGGCCACAAGGGTCCCACCAAGGGACTGGATGGATCTGGAGCAGGTAGCCTCAGCATCCTGGCAACGACATGGTACAAACAATTTGGCCATTGATGCTGACTGTGGCAGATCTTGGCTAAAAGGAAGAAATGTGGAATAAAAAGAAAATCCAAAGACCCCTCAACTGACTGAACAAACCCCTCTTGGCCAAGGAGACCCCAGAAAAACTTTAAAATCTAGGTTTCCTGGCTATGATAAGACAGGAGGCTGGTCACACCTCAGTATACCCTCTTCCTTACTGTTACCAGGCTTTTTTCCTAAGAGTTAAGCAGAATCCTGTCCTGGAAAACAGAGAATGGAAGACTCCTCCGCTGACTTCAGCTTCAACTGCCTGATGCCATGGCCAGACTTCACTCTCTTTTTGTGATTTGACACGACAGCTGACCAGCTCACAAAGCTATCCTTCCTGATCAGTTCCTGTTAACCATGGGCTGGTTCTGGCTGGTTTACAGAGGCTGCACACAAAGTGCCTTTGTGTCCTATGTTTCACCTTTTGATGTGTATGGCCTAAGTCTGCATTTTAATGTTAAGTCTCAGCTGGGTATGGTGGCTCAATGCCTGCAATCCTAGCACTTTGGGAGGCCAAGGCAAGAGGATTGCTTGAGCCTAGGAGTTCAAGACCAGCCTAGGCAACATGGTGAGACCTTGTCTCTATTTTTTTAATTAAAAACAAAATACAAATATAAAAATAATTACTGTTAACTCTCCACCCCAAAGTGAACACAGGATGTATGTAACATGTATGTTTGCTTAGTATACATGCATGTGACTCCCTTTCATGAATATTCATAGCTCCTCCTATAACTTATTAATAAGTATACTAGCTAACCTATTTAGCATAAAACTCCTGTCCCACCTCTCCTCCCTCAAAGTGCCTGCTTTCCATCTCAGCCAGAGGCTCCACTTCCCAGCCTGCAGGTTACAACACAATATTAGTAAAAGTGTTCTTTCCAAGTGTATACATCTGGTGATTTTAAGTTGATACTTCCCAGGTTGTCCAAGATTCAGGTACAGCTCACTATTGCAGGATACAAGCTGGGATCTCCTGGGAGTTGGTCTCTTTGCAAATCGTATTATCTCTGTATCACCTTTTATGAAATCCTAAAAGAATTTAAATCTGAAACATGTGACTCCAAAGATTTTGAATAAGGAATTGTGAACCCATGGTAAACTCCTGGCTTAAGGGTGTCCAATTTTTTGGCTTCCCTGGGTCACATTGGAAGAATAAGAAAGTTTAAGAAAGTCTGTGAATTTGTTTTGGGGCACATTCAAAGCTGTCCTGGCCACATGAGGCCTGAGGGCTATAGGTTGGACAAGCTTCTAGCTGGCTATTTCTGCATTTTGTCCAAATCCATCTTTTAATTATTATCATTATTATTATTATTATTTGAGACGGAGTCTCGCTCTGTCACCCAGGCTGGAGTGCAGTGGCGCGATCTCAGCTCACTGCAAGCTCTCCCTCCCGGGTTCACGCCATTCTCCTGCCTCAGCCTCCCGAGTAGCTGGGACTACAGGCGCCTGCCACCACGCCCGGCTAATTATTTTGTATTTTTAGTAGAGAAGGGGTTTCACCGTGTTAGCCAGGATGGTCTTGGTCTCCTGACCTCGTGATCTGCCCACCTCGGCCTCCCAAAGTGCTGGGATTACAGGTGTGAGCCACCGCGTCCAGCTGAAACATAATTTTTCTCTTTTTGGTTTCACATTTTTACTAAAGACAAATCATGGTAAGACTGATTTGCTTTATTATACTTGGCCTGATTATTTGTGTAACGTGCAGCAAGAATACTTACTTTTCACATAGGCTTTTTAAGTTGGCTTTGATGGAACTTTGTTTTGTAGAAGAATCTCAGATTAGACTTTTTCTTTTAAGGCCGGGCTCAGGGGCTCACTCCTGTAATCCCAGCACTTTGGGAGGCTGAGGAGGGAAGATCACATCAGGAGTTCAAGACCAGCCTGGCCAACATGGTAAAACCCCGTCTCTACTAAAAAACACCAAAAACTAGCCAGGCATGGTGGCAGGTGCCTGTAATCCCAGCTACTTGGGAGGCTGAGGCAGGAGAATCACTTGAACCTTAGAGGCAAAGGTTGCAGTGAGCCAAGATCACACCATTGCACTCCAGCCTGGGCGACAGAGCGAGACTCTGTCTCAAAAAAACAAAACAAAACAAAACAAAACTTTTTTTTTAAAGCCGAGTTTGGCCATGCGGTTGTACCATCAAATACCTATGAGTTGGGTGAATTCCTCTTGAGAACCCAAGATGATTTGGGGCTCCTGGGTCTGTCAGAGAGTGACATTCTTTACTTGCCACAGGTCAGAAACCCTGCTCAGGATCTGTGTAGAAAAGGTATGAAGTTAGTTTTCCCAAGGGGCTCTTATCAGCTCTATAAGTCAAGTTTGATTCCTTAAAGGAAAGCACACCATTCCAGTCAAAGCCTTGGTAAAATAACTGGTTTCTCCAATTGTGTCCTGTTACAAAAGAAAACAGATTCTGGCTGGGCACAGTGGTCATGCCTGTAATCTCAGTACTTTGGGAGGCTGAGGTGGGCAGATCACTTGAGGTCAGGAGATTGAGACCAACCTGGCCAACACGGTGAAACCCCGTCTCTACTAAAAATACAAAAATTAGCTGCTTGTGTTGTGTAATTGGGTAATAAGAGATTTTAAAGAATTTTTTTTGTAGAGCACCATGGTTTAAAGTCAGCTTAATTAAAATTAGATATTCAAGCTCTAACAGCCTGGGACTCCTTGGGGAAAACAGGAGGCGCCAGAGACACCATTTTGGAAAAAAACCCTGTTTTCCTCTTGGAACCCCAGGAATTGAAAGCTGATAAATTCCTCTCAAAATTTAAGGCTTTGTTCTGTTTTGGATTGCAGTATCTGAAGTTTTTGACTTTTGGTCTATCAGAAATTATATCGCATTATGAGAGAGTTTTGGTGTGTAATAACTAGGTAGGAAATATACTTTAAGGAATGGCTAATGGAAATTATAGATGATCACGTAGCTCTTTGCATGTTTGGATTAGAGAAGCATGCTCTTGGCCACCTGGAAGGTATGGAAATACCTTTTTTTTTTTTTTTTTTTTTTTTGAGACAGAGTCTCACTCTGTCACCCCGGCTGGAGTGCAGTGGCAAAATCTCAGCTCACTGCAATCTCTGCCTCCTGGGTTCAAAGGATTCTCCTGCCTCAGCCTCCCAAGTAGCTGGGATTACAGGCACCTGGCACCATGCCCAGCTAATTTTTGTATTTTTAGTAGAGACGGGGTTTCACCATGTTGGCCAGGCTGGTTTTGAACTCCTGACCTCAGGTGATCTGCCTGCCTCGGCCTCCCAAAGTGCTGGGATTATAGGTGTGAGCCACCGTGACTGGCTGGAAATATCTTCTTATCTCCCACTGAGAGATAAGACTTCCACAGAAGATGGGCTGATTCCCCCTTTTTTGGGGAGGGATCCAGGGTCTGGTATAAAATGGGATCTTCATTTTGGGGGATCTGTTTTGCCTTCCAGCTGTGCCTGCTTATTAGGGCCAAAGGTACTTGGGAGTCCCAGCTATTTGGGAGACTCAGGCAGGAGAATCACTTGAATCCAGGAGATAGAGGTTACAGTGAGCTGAGATCACACCACTGCATTCCAGCCTGGGTGACAGAGTTAGACTCTGCCTCAAAAAAAAAAAAAAAAAAAAAAAAGAAAGAAAGAAAAAAGAGACAGATTATTTAGATTATTTATTTACTTACTTTTTTTTTGAGATGCAGTTTTGCTCTTGTCACCCAGGCTGGAGTGCAATGGCACGATCTCGGCTCACTGCAACCTCTGCCTCCCGGGTTCAAGTGATTCTCCTGCCTCAGCCTCCTGAGTAGCTGAGATTACAGGCACACACCACCACACCCAGCTAATTTTTATTTATTTATTTTTAGTAGAGACAGGGTTTTGCCATGTTGGCCAGGCTGGTCTTGAACTCCTGTCCTCAGGTGATCCACCCACCTCAGCCTCCCAAAGTGTTGGGATTACAGGCGTGAGCCACTGCGCCCGGCCAAGAAACAGATTCTTATTGCACTTATGCAAATAACTATATTGCTATAAGTTAAGAATACTCACACCTAGTTTCCTAATTCTGGAAAAATCAGGTAGAAAAAAACAAATATGCTCCAAATATGTTGCCAGAAGTATACTTTACTGAATTGTTTTTTTTTTTTTTTTTGAGACGGAGTCTCGCTCTGTCGCCCAGGCCGGACTGCGGACTGCAGTGGCGCAATCTCGGCTCACTGCAAGCTCCGCTTCCCGGGTTCACGCCATTCTCCTGCCTCAGCCTCCCGAGTAGCTGGGACTACAGGCGCCCGCCACCGCTCCCGGCTAATTTTTTGTATTTTTAGTAGAGACGGGGTTTCACCTTGTTAGCCAGGATGGTCTCGATCTCCTGACCTCATGATCCACCCGCCTCGGCCTCCCAAAGTGCTGGGATTACAGGCGTGAGCCACCGCGCCCGGCCTACTGAATTGTTAAAAGGTGTAAATAGCTCAAAATTTTTCCTGACTCTGAAAACAAAACAAAGTTTCAGCAGCATTTTAAGCAAAGTCAAAAACATTTCTTCAGTCTTCTATTTGTTCATTCCATGCAGTTAACTCCTGTCCTGTTTAATCGTCATGAACATTTCAGCTGTCCATGAGTCCTGAAAGTTTTTCCTCTATTCTGACGTCACAATCTCCAAACTTATCAGAAACCTGCATTCAAGAGAACCTGTCAAAATCCTATAGTTGATTATAAACCACCTTTTGAAGAGGATCAAAATAAGAAAACAATTGTCTGTGGTTGACAGAAGTCTTAGGACAGCCACTATTTAAGCCACAATTGAAAAGGAAATGTGGGGGTGGGCACGGTGGCTCACGCCTGTAATCCCAGCACTTTGGGAGGCCGAGGCAGGCAGATCACCTGAGGTCAGGGATTTGATACCAACCTGGCCAACATGGTGAAAATCCGTCTCTACTAAAAATACAAAAATTAGCTGGGGATGGTGGTGGGTGCCTGCAATCCCAGCTACTGAGAGTCTGAGGCAGGAGAATCGCTTGAACCTGGGAGGTGGAGTTTTCAGTGAGCTGAAATTGTGCCACTGTACTACAGCCTGGGTGACAGAGTGAGACTCTGTCTCAAAAAATAAAAAAGAAAAGAAAAGGAAATTTTGGTTAGTTCTGTGACAACAATTTTACATAACAATTATGACTATTAATAACATACACTAAGTTATCAAGGAATTATGGGTGTTTTCCATAATTTTGGAACATGTCCAATAACATATTTATGCAAATATAGGCCAAAGAAAGCCAAATACTATTTCACATTTGACGATGCTTCCTTTATGGATTTTATACTGAATAAGCCAAATTTCACCTTTACGTTAGTGTACTATTAATGTTAAACCCAATTCTTTAATAAAACCTTTTAGACAAATTTATTTAATCTTAATCAGTTTGACCATAAAGTAAGATTCTTATAAACTTTTGTTTCCTCACCTCCCCAGAAAAGTGGATCCTAAACCTTTTATAACCCTTTACAATTTTTGTGAACGAGCAGATTAATGCTCTAAGAAAAACCTGTTGTGCTTTTATTCCAATGTTTGATTTATAGAAAAAATGAATACCCCTTTAACTTTAGCCAACATGTTCACACAGAATTTCTTTTATGACATTAATTTTTCACAAACCTCCCACAATTTGTTCAAGCCTTCAGCTTTATCTCATCTAAAACAATCCTTTAACCCTTTAATCTAGGCAGAAAAATCCACATTCCCATGACTTCTTATAATCTTTTACCAAAAACACATTTCACTTTCCTTACACACCTTGCATGTAAAACTGATGTTATTTCCCAAAGATTACTAAAGGCATATAAACTAAAAGGCATCACAGTTTTTATTTTTCTAATAAAATATTTGATTTAAGCTCTTATTATTTTTTAACCTATTAATCAAAGCTCTTTTATATCTCACACACACAACATATATAAATACACAGACCAGAAGATCCAGTAGTTGTAAGAATTTTCATTTGCCAGTTTCTTTTTCTTTCTTTTTTTTTGAATCGGAGTCTTGCTCTGTCGCCCAGGCTGGAGTGAGGTGGCTTGATCTCGGCTCACTGCAAGCTCCGCCTCCCAGGTTCACGCCATTCTCCTGGCTCAGCCTCCTGAGCAGCTGGGACTACAGGCTTCTGCCACCACGCCTGGCTAAGTTTTTGTACTTTTAGTGGAGACGGGGTTTCACTGTGTTAGCCAGGATGGTCTCGATCTCCTGACTTCGTTATCCACCTGCCTCGGCCTCCCAAAATGCTGGGATTACAGGTGTGAGCCACCGCGCCCGGCCATCATTTGCCAGTTTCTTAATTGGATTACTGACTTTAGGGTGGAGCCCTTGGGGGAACAAGGTCAGGAAAGCATGCAGTTTCTACAGCCTAATAAGCAGGCAAGCTGGAAGGCAAGACAGATCCCCCAAAATAAGGGTCCCATTTTATACCAGATCCTGGATCCCCCCCACCAAAAAAGGGGAAATCAGCCCATCTTCCGTGGAAGTCTTATCTCTCAGTGGGAGATAAGCGGGTATTTCCATACCTTCGAAGTGGCCAAGAGCATGCTTCTCTAATCTAAATATGCAAAGAGTTAAGTATTCACCAATAACTTCCACTGGCCATTCCTTAAAGTATATTTCCTACCTAGTTACTACACACCAAAGCTCTGTCATAATACGATGTAATTTCTGATACCACCAAAAGTCAAAAACATCAGATACTGCAATGCAAAACAGAACAGAGCCTTACATTTTGAGAGGAATTTGTCAACTTTCAACTCCTGGGGTTTCAAGAGGAAAACAGAGTGGTATTTTTTTTTTTTTTCCAAAATGGTGTCTCTGGCACCTCCTGTTTTTCCCAGGGAGTCATAGGCTGTTAGAGTTTGAATATCCTGCTTTAATGAAGCTGACTTTTAACCATAGCACTCTTAAAAATAAAAATCCTTTAATGTCTCTTATTACCCAACTTCAGCCATGCCAAACTACCAATATTTCTGGCTTCTGAACTTTACCAAAGGCAAACTCCCAGGTACTCGGAGAAAAAAAATTCAAGACAGTTTGTGGAGGGAAAGAGAATCTACAAATGTTCAGACAGATCTCAAACTAGAAAGGACTCATTCCCTAAGCTGGGGATTGAACCCTGAACCTGGGCTGCCACTGTGAAAAGACAGTCTTAGCTGCTGAGCTACAGCATTGGGCAGTCTCCATTGCCCTTCCCAGAAGGAGGCTAGAGTCACCAATTTTGAGCTTGCAAAGGCTTTTATCTGATCAAGATAATTTTTAGGAGTAACTATGGCATGAACCCCAAAACTCCTGTCTGCTGGATGGTAGAAACGAAGAGAAAGTATCGCCACGTGGTTACAAGGTGAAGCTCCCAAGGACATAAAACAAGACGAAAGAGAAATTTCATCCAGCTTTTCAGGGACCTTCAGCAAAGTTTATAACTGATCAGTTTGCTTGGCCATTTTGAACAGCGGGCTTACAGGCGTCATAGTGAGAGACAGGACTAGCTGGATATCCTAGGCCTACTAAGAATCCCTAAGCCTAGCTGGGAAGGTGACTGCATCCACCTTTAAACACGGGGCTTGCAACTTAGCTCACACCCGACCAATCAGGTAGTAAAGAGAGCTCACTAAAACGCTAATTAGGCAAAAACAGGAGGTAAAGAAATAGCCAATCATCTATCGCCTGAGAGCACACTGGGAGGGACAATGATAGGATATAAACCCAGGCATTCAAACCAGCAAGGGCTACCCTCTTTGAGTCCCCTCCCTTTGTATGGGAGCTCTGTTTTCACTCTATTAAATCTTGCAACTGCACACTCTTCTGGTCAGTGTTTGTTACGACTCGAGCTGAGCTTTCACTTGCCGTCCACCACTGCTGTTTGCCGCCATCGCAGACCCGCCGCTGACTTCCACCCCTCCAGATCTGGCAGGGTGTCTGCTGTGCTCCTGATCCAGTGAGGCACCCATTGCCGCTCTGGATTGGGCTAAAGTCTTGTCATTGTTCCTGCACGGCTAAGTGCCCGGGTTCATTCTAATCGAGCTGAACATTAGTCGCTGGGTTCCACAGTTCTCTTCTGTGACCCACGGCTTCTAATAGAGCTATAACAGTCACTGCATGGCCCAAGATTCCATTCCTTGGAATCTGTGAGGCCAAGAACCCCAGGTCAGAGAACAAGAGGCTTGCCGCCATCTTGGAAGCGGCCTGCCACTATCTTGGGAACTCTGGGAGCAAGGACCCCCTGGTAACAGTAGGCTTGCATTCTATCCTAAGGTACCCTTCTTTATGGCAGAACAATATAGACACACAAAGCACACCAGATTCGTTACAGCTTAAGGCTAGCCTCACAAGTCTTTTTTCTCATTAACCAAAACTTGCCTGTGGTAAGGTGGGGAAAGTGAAGAGCTCAGGAAGACCAGAGAAAGACTCACCTATCCCAGTGACACTGAATCAAAAGTTCAGGCAGCCGCTCATTGGTTAAGAAGGGATCTTTTCCAGGAGTTGCATCAGCTCTTAAGTGTCCCCGTTTGGGGAGCAAAAAGCTCTCATGTCCCAGGATCCTGTACATACACAATTCTGTCACCCACAGCCATCAGCAAAGATTTCAAGGTAGATTAATCCAAAGAGAATAGCAATTAATATCCCATGGTGCTAAATCCGTTCTTAGCCAAGAGGAACTTTACTCTGAGAGGGGCTTCTAACTCCCTAAATCTTAGAAGGGACTCTAACACTCCTGAGTTGGGCCTCAAACCAAAGTTCAGTCAAGTGTCCTTGCCTTTTATTAAGAGGGGCCTTTAACCCACTCTGTCTTAGGAGAGACTTTAACTCCCCTAAGTTGAGCCTCTAACCCAATTCCATCCTTTACCTGGGTACCCCGCCACTTACCCTAGATAGCCAATTGGTGCTGCAGTCTATTTCCTTTGGGTAGGGTGTCTCCTCAGGGTTCGACAGGAAGATGTTACCAGAAAGGGATCCAGATCCAGACCCCAAGAGAAGGTTCTTGGATCTTGTATAAGAAAGAATTTGGGGTGAGTCCATAGAGTAAAGTGAAAGCAAGCTTATTAAGGAGGTAAAGGAATACAGAATGGCTACTCCATAGGCAGGGCAGTGGCTTGAGCTGCTCCACTAAGGATACTTATTGTTACTTCTTGATTATATGCTAAAGAAGGGGTGGATTATTAATGAGTTTTCCAAGGAAGGGGTGGCCAATTCCCGTAACTGAGGGTTCCTCTCCTTTTTAGACCATTTAGGGTAACTTCCTGATGTTGCCATGGCATCTGTAATCACGGCACTGGTGGGAGTGTCTTTTAGCATGCTAATACATTATAATTAGCATATAATGAGTGATGAGGATGACCAGAGGTCACTTTGGTCGCCATCTTGGTTTTGGTGGGTTTGGGCTGGCTTCTTTACCACAGGCTGTTTTATCAGCAAGGTCTTTGTGACCTGTTATCTTGTGCTCACCTCCTAGCTCATCCTGTCACTTGGAATGCCACACCTCCTGGGAATGCAGCCCAGTAGGCTTCAGCTTCATTTTACCCAGCCCCTATTCAAGATGGGGTTGCTTTGGTTGAAACGCCTCTGACAGACCCACCAGAGGAGCCCTTCAGTTTGTATTAATATGATATGTGACTACTTATTTCACAGACACTGTGTGTCAAATGTCGGTACAATGCCAACAACTCACTTTCTTGGTTGTTGAGTTTCCGCATTACACAAATAAGGAAGCAGGCCCAGAGGAGAGCCTGGGAAATGAAGTTGGAGAGACCCATCCTGGGGTTGCTTGATTTAGGGATTTAGACTGGGAATGACTCCTCCATAGATCTGAAAGAAGAAACTGCACACTGTTCATAGTGGCTTCTTTTCTGCCAGCCCTAAACAGCTCAAGAAAGGAGAGTCTCTCAGTTATGAGGCTGGGTGTGAAGCATTTTTTTTTTCTTTGAGAGAGGTCTTGTTATGTTGCCCAGGCTGGTCTCCAAATCCTGGGCTCAAGCGATCCTTCCACCTTGGCCTCCCAAAGTGCTGGGATTACAAATGTGAGCCACCACATCCGGCCTGAAGCATCTTGGTTCATGCATCTAGCAAACCTTCAGTCTGTGTCTCTCAATCCCACTGGACATGAGGTCTGCCTATAACAATTATTTGGCTACAACCCCTTTAATATCCTGAACTTAGCTAAACAGTTATTTTAAAAATCCATATTCAAATATAACTAAAGAAGAAACAGAGGAAAAGTAATTTGTAATATGGATTTCTATTTATATTCGTTTTGACTCCATTAGCAGATAGCAGTCACTGCCCTGTTTGCACTTGTTTTGAATCAGTGAGCCTGTAGCTGCCAAGTGCAGACTAACAAGAGGTAAATAACCTGTATACCTTGAGCAGCTCTGACTTTAACTTATTCTTTTATTTTTTATATTTTTATTTTTTTTTATTTTTATCTCTTTTTAGACATGAGGTCTCACTATGTTGTCCCAGTTGACCTCAAACTCCTGCACTCAAGTGATCCTCCCACCTTGGCCTCCAAAGTACTGGGATTATAGGTGTAAACCACTGTGCCTGGGCTTTTATATATTTTTTAAGTGCACATTTTAATGTTTAGCTTGTCAGCCTTAAGTAACGAGATCCAGAAAGCTTGAGGATAGCTACACAGAAGCATAGATTCAAGTTGTCCTGAATATACACTTCGATTCACAGCAGTTACAAGTGAGTTTTTAAGGAAACAGAATAGTTCCTAAGTTGTTTATCAAGAATTTAAAATAAAATAACATAAGCAATTCATTGGCTATACATTGTTTTTTGTATCACAAATTCCAGGAACAGATAACGGGTGAGGCAGCTAGTCAGGGACAAAACGCCTTGGAACAATTGTCTCTGGGCATGGGTGGGGAGGGTGTGACTGAAGTTCCATACTCATGCCTTTCTGGGCCTGATAAATTGGGCATGTCTCACATCATGAGACTGCTCTGAGCTATTTTTCTTTTCTCAAGCTTTATACCAAATTCTAGGCCGTGGGCTTTCATTCATTCAATAAGTATGTATTGAGTGTTTATGTAATCGGAACTCTTCTGGGGTTACAATTTAACTTACTTTCTCACCTCCGAATGGTTATCACCTCAACGAGGACTAAATCCAATGATTTTTTTTTATCTTGCCAAAATTCCTATCTAAGGGGTCTGGGGAGTCATGCCCTACAAATCATAAATTCTCATCAGATGGGTTTTATTTAACCCTATATATCATGACTTACTTTCCAACCTGACTCTGGCATAACATGACGAGACAAGGAAGAAAAGCAAAATATTTTAATATTTTTACCTCAAAACATGTTTCTTTGCCATATCTTGAAATGGCCCTGCTACTGTCCTTTGTGGGGGAAAATTTTCATCTGTAAAGAATCTCTATTAACATAGCTGGATCTTTTTCTACCAGGCCCTTCCAATCATAAAGAGATTAACTAAGTGTAGCACCTTTTATAGATCTGAATAGGAAACACTTGTCATCTGTTGTTTCTAAGGGCAGCCACTATAAGACTTCAAAAGAACCTTGGTCTCCACAGTCTTTTATCTTAACATTTCTTTTCTATCAACCCCAGGTCTTTAGACAAACTCAACCAATTGTCAACCATAAAATGTTTAAATTTACGTATAGCCTGAAAGCCCTGCCACCCCACTTTGAATTGTCCCACCTTCCTGGACCAAACCAATGATTTTTTTTTTTTTTTTTAGATGGAGTCTCCCTCTGCCGCCCGTGCTGGAGTGCAGTGGTGTGATCTCGGCTCGCTGCAACCTCCGCCTCCTGGGTTGAAGCAATTCTCCTACCTCAGCCTCCTGAGTAGCTAGGATTACAGGTGCCTGTCACCACGTCCAGCTAATTTTTTGTATTTTTAGTAGAGACAGGGTTTCACTATGTTGGCCAGGCTGGTCTCAAACTCCTGACCTCAAGATCAGCCTGCCTTGGCCTCCCAAAGTGCTGGGATTACAGGCGTGAGCCACCGTGCCTGGCCAATGTATTCCTTAAATGCATTTGATTGATGTCTCATGCTTCCCTAAAATGTATGAGACATCCTTCTCCCCTGATTGTTTTCAAAAGCAGTGATCCATTGAGGTGCTCATTTTTGTAACCCCAGTTACTAGAAAAGTGCCTGGGTAAGAGTATGTAGGATCTCTATAAAAGCTGAATTAACGAATTTTGTAATGACTGCACCTCCAGACAGGAGCTGTCTTCCGGGCTTCCACAGTCTCTGACAGCCCTCTCCCACAAAGAGTTTACCAACAGCAAGGACTTTCCTGGATGACTTCCACTGGGTTGGGGATTAAGGATTGAAAGGGGAGAGGCTGGGTGTGGAATATTCTGGCTGTGCTGGCTGTGGACTTAGTCCTGTGTCTTCCCGCATCCAGTGTAGTCTCTGGAGAAAGAATGCCTGAGCTTTACCAGCACCACCCAGGAAGCCCATAAGAATATTCCCATCTATATGGATTCAACTGGAACCACTGTGGAGAGATGGTACCTGCCTGCAAACGGCACTTTATCCAGGACACCTGCCTTTACGAGTGACCCCCCAACTTGGGGCCCTGGATCCAGCAGGTACGCATGGCTTCCTGGCATCCAAGAGCTAGCAGAGGAGCTGAATTTTCCAGGCGTCTCTGCAGGCAGCAACCCCAGCTCCAGTTCTATTCAGGGCTGGGTTCCTGGGATTCTTGAGCCTGAGCCCTTCTTTTCTACCAAAATCTCCCAGGTGGATCAGAGCTGGCGCAAAGAGTGGGTGCTGAATGTGCCCCTGTGCAAAGAGGACTGTGAGCAATGGTGGGAAGATTGTCGCACCTCCTACACCTGCAAGAGCAATGGGCACAAGGGCTGGAACTGGACCTCAGGTGAGGGCTGGGGTGGGCAGGAAAGGAGGGATTTGGAAGTGAAGGTGTGTGGGTGTGGAACAGGTGTGTGACATTTTGGGGTTGTAGGGCTGGCAGAATCAGAGACCCTTTGGGGCCCAGTGGCTAAAGGTCTTCCCTCTTCCCTACAGGGTCTAACAAGTGCCAGGTGGCAGCTGCCTGACTACCTTTCCATCTCTACTTTCTCACACCCACTGCTCTGTGCAGTGAAATCTGGACTCACTCCTACAGGGTCAGCAACTACAACCGAGGGAGCAGCCGCTGCATCCAGATGTGGTTCGACCTGGCCCAGGGCAACCCCAATGAGGAGGTGGCAAGGTTCTATGCTGCAGCTCTGAGTGGGGCTGGGCCCTGGGCAGCCTGGCCTCTCCTGCTCAACCTGGCCCTAATGCTGCTGTGGCTGCTCAGCTGACCTCCTTTTACCTTCTGATACTTGGACATCCCTGCCCTGTTTAGCCCCACAGCTCCCAACTATTTGGTTCCTCTTCTATGGTCTTGTCTCTGACAGCCACTTTGAATAAACCAGACACCACACATGTATCTTGAGAATTATTTGGGTATGAATGGGAATGTGGCTGTTTTGTTTCCCATTTCTTATTGATTGAAGCCAGTTAGACTGGGCTAGTTCCCAGCTCTGATGCTTGCTATGAACTAGCCTGATACTTAAGTATTCTTCTAAGGTAGGAGACATTTGTAGCTCTCGATTTTATTATTCACTATAGCTCCAATTTAGAGCCAAGCCCAGGCATTTTTCTTTTTTTGAGACAGGGTCTCACTCTCTCACCCAGGTTGGAATGGAGTGGCATGATCTCAGCTCACTGCAACGTCTGCCTCGTGGGCTCAAGTGATCCTCCCACCTCAGCATCCCAAATACTTGGGACTACAAGCATGTGCCACCACACCTGGCTAATTTTTCAATTTTTTGTAGAGAGGAAATCTTGCAATGTTGTCCAGGCTGGTCTCAAACTACTGGGCTCAAGCAATCCTCCTACCTCAGCCTCCTGAGTAGCTGGGTCTACAGGTGTGAGCCTCCACATTCAGCTAATACATATAATATAAAACATGTATTATATATGTAATAGTAGAGACAGGGTCTCACTATTTTACCCAGGTTGTTCTCAAACTCCTGCGCTGGAGTGATCCTCCCAAAATGCTGGGATTACAGGCATGAGTCACTGCATCTGGCCACAAGTCATGTTTATTTCTTGCTCAAGCTACAATGCTGAATGTGGGTTATCAGGGGGATTCTGTTTATTTCTCATTCCTGGACTACATTAGCAGCCAGGGGGTTCTGCTTCTCACTCAAGAACCCACGCTGATGGAGGCTCCATCTTCCATGAGACAGGAAGAGGGAACTTGGCAAATTCCATAAGGCTCTTCAAATTTCCACCCATCACTTATTTCATTGGCCAAATCAAGTCATGAGCATGCCTAAATTCAAGAAAGCCAGGAAAACATAATCCTATCATGTACTTGCAAGGAGAGGGGAATCACAAGGTTTGCAACAGACCTAATCATGAGTAAAAAGACTTCATTATTTTCTCGTAGATTTCTGTTTCTGGCATGGTCATAGTTACAAATTTAATTTTTTGGTTAGATCCTAGTAAGAAGGAGGACCAACTCTCTATACATATGCAAATAACTACATCAACCTGAAAAGTGGAGCAATCCACTGATGACCGCCCTGGCTAGTCTTGTAAACAAGGCCAATTGATGCCTTTTCGCCCTTCATTTATTTCTATTTATTATTTTTATTTTTTGAGACAGGGTCTCTTTCTGTTGCTCAGGCTGGAGTGCAGTGGCACAGTCATGGCTCACTGCAGTCTTGACCTCCTGAGCTCAATTGATCCCTCAACTTTAGCCTCCCAAGTAGCTGGGACTACAGGCACATGCCACCATGCTGGGCAAATGTTTTGTATTTTTTTTGTAGAGATGGGGTTTTGCCATGTTGCCCAAGCTGGTCTTGAACTGCTGCGCCCAAGTGATTCATTCACCCACCTTGACCTCCTAAAGTGCTGGGATTAGAGGCGTGAGACACCTCTGCCAGCCCACTGATTTCTTTTTTGAACCGAAAGCATAGTTGATCAATGCAAAAGCTAATAATTGGATATTAACAAAATTCAAAACTCTTGCACTTTAAAAGACACCCTTAAGAAAATTAAAAAACAAGCAACAGACTGGAAGGAAATATTTGCAAACACATCTGATAAAGGATCTGTATCCATAAAATACAAAGAACACTTACAACTCAGTAACAAGAAGGCAGACAACCCAATCAAATAATGGGCAAAAGAAATGAACAAATATGTCATTAAAGAAGGTACACAAATTATGAATAGTTACACGAAAAGATGCTCAACATTATTAATCATTAGAAAAATGGAAACTAAAACCATAGTGATAGACGGTTTTATACCTACTAGAATGGCAATAATAATAATGATAGGCAATAACAAGCATTGGCAAGGATGTGGAGAAATGGGAACCCTCACACAGTGCTGGTGGGGATGTAAAATGGTACAGCCCTTCGGAAAACAGTGTGGCAGTTTCTCAAAAAGTTAAATGTAAAACTGCCATACAACCCAAAATTCCACTCCCAGGTGTCTACTCAGGAGAAACGAAAACAAACATAACAAAACTTAAATATGAATATTAATAATAATCATATTTATGTATGTAAATATGATGTATCATTTATGTATGTAAATATGATATATCATATTATGTATCATTATATATAATAGCCCCAAGCTGGCAATAACCTAAATTTTTAGCAGCTGGTGAGTAGATAGACAAAATGTGGTGAATCCATACAATAGAAGACTGTGCAGCAATGAAACGTGATGACACATGCTATGTCGTGGATGAGCGTCAAAAACATTATGTTAAGTGAAAGAAGCCAGACCTAAGAGGCTTCATGTGGCATGATTTCACTTACATGAAATGTGCAGGGAAGGCAAATTTATAGAGGCAGAAAGTAGATTAGTAGTTGCCTGGGGCTGGAAGTGACAACAGGGATTAATTGTAAATGGGCATGAGGGGGGATAAGAATTGAGGGGATGATTCTGAGTTTCTGTGGGGTGTATCCATGAGGGAAAGTATTCTAAGGAAATTGGCATGTGGCTCCATAAAAATCTATCATCTGAGACAAACTCCATTCCCATCATGAACTTTAAAATATTGGTTGGAAGCCAAGCATGGTGGCTCATACCTGTAATTCCAGCACTTTGGGAGGCCAAGGCAGGTAGATCACTTGAGCCAGGGATTCTAGAACAGCTTGGGCAACATGGTGAAACCCCGTCTCTACATAAAAATACAAAAAATTTAGCCCAGTGTGGTGGTCCACGCCTGTAGTCCTAGCTATGCAGGAAGCTGAGATGGGAGGATCTCTTTAGCTCAGGAGGTAGAGGCTGCAGTGGGCTATGACTGTGCCACTGCAGTCCAGCCTGGGTTGATAGAGTGAGACCCTGTCTCAAAAAAAAAAAAAAAAAAAAATAGGAATTGCTGGATGGTAATGTTGTAGGAGTTTCTCCTCAGTTCAGCCAAAGACAGGGTCCTTGTCACCTGGCCATGAAATATTAGGCTTGCAGACACTTTGAAGGGTGAGAAAAATGGAATTTATTGGGCAAAAAAAAAAAGCGGGGAAACGGGGACCCTCGGCAGAGTGAGAGTCCTGCTAGTACACGCTTCCCACCTCTCAGGTTGAATCCCAGGTTCCACCCTGGAAGAGGAGGGGCCAGGCTCCTCAGCACGAACTTCCAGAGGCTCCACCCCAGTGCACATTCCTCCCAGTGTGCGGGTTTGTCAGAGGTTCTCTGGGGACCCCTTTACACTTGGCTGTCTCATTCCCCCCTCTCAAGAAGTACATCAAACTACTGTTAGAACAAGGATAGGGGTGAGGACGAAGACCGATCTAAACTGCTTCCTGCTAACAGGGAGCGGTGTTTTGGGAAACGGCAGTCAGAGCTCCCTCAGAAGCCTATCTAAGGGTTCCCGGCAGAAGGCGCCATCTTCCGAGGCTCCGGTTGCACGACCATTTGGAGTTTGATGGCCTGAAGGCAAGAGGAGAAAAACCAGGTTATTAGAAAACATGTGTTAAAACGAAACAAGGGAGGGTAAGGACAGCTTAAAATCCCTAGGCCTTTTACCAGTTTGCACAGGGAGAGGGAAACCAAAAGCCCGACTGGTAAAAAAAACTTTACCCTTTTGCCAGCATGTCATGCTTGTGGGTTCCCTTCCTCTGAGCCCAATCCTAAGCCAACCAGCTGAAGGTTTGGGAAATTAACTCTTTCCAGTTTGGAGGATGCATCTGAGGGGAGTGTCCTATAGTACAAAGACACAATTACCTATTAGTGAAGAGAAGACAGTGGAGAAGAAAGGAAAAAAAGGTGCTTTTTAAAGGAGTCCCAGGGGTTCAGCATGCATTCAAAAGGGGTACAGAGTGAAGATGAATGGCTACCCATCTAGAAAGAGGGGAGCAGGCATCCCTGTCTCCTATCTCTTTCTAGCAGATACCAGGGGTACATGAGGGAGAGAAGGAAGAGCGTCCTCTTTCCCTCTTCTGTCCTTGCATACCCAAGTCCTGGTGACCTTGGCAGGTGCTGCCATGGGTGCCACAGCAGCTTGCACCCATGAAGCAGGGAGTACCTAGAGAATAGGAATTATCAGCCAGACTCAGTGGCTCACGCCTGTACAACCCAGCACCTTGGGAGGCCGAGGTGGGCAGATCATGATTTCAGGAGTTTGAGACCAGCCTGGCCAACATGGTGAAACCCCGTCTCTACTAAAAATACAAAACTTAGCTGGGTGTGGTGGTGCATGCCTGTAGTCCCAGCTACTCGGGAGGCTGAGGCAGGAGAATCACTTGGTCCCAGGAGGCAAAGGTTGCAGTGAGCCAAGATCACACCACTGCACTCCAGCCTGGGCAACAGAGTAAGACTCCATCTCGGGGAAAAAAAAAGAGAGAATAGGAATTATCCGCTCTTACCTATGTTTCTATACCCCCTACAGTCAGTAGTCTTGGAGTTTCCTAGACCTCATTTATGCTGTGGGGAAAAGCAAGAGAGATCAGATTGTTACTCTGTCTGTGTAGAAAGAAGTAGACATAGGAGACTCCATTTTGTTATGTACTAAGAAAAATTCTTCTGCCTTGAGATTCTGTTAATCTATAACCTTACCCCCAACCCTGTGCTCTCTGAAACATGTGCTGTGTCAACTCAGAGTTGAATGGATTAAGGGCGGTGCAAGATGTGCTTTGTTAAACAGATGCTTGAGGGCAGCATGCTCCTTAAGAGTCATCACCACTCCCTAATCTCAAGTACCCAGGGACACAAAAACTGCGGAAGGCCGCAGGGACCTCTGCCTAGGAAAACCAGATATTGTCCAAGGTTTCTCCCCATGTGATAGTCTGAAATATGGCCTCGTGGGAAGGGAAAGACCTGACCGTCCCCCAGCCCGACACCCGTAAAGGGTCTGTGCTGAGGAGGATTAGTAAAAGAGGAAGGAATGCCTCTTGCAGTTGAGACAAGAGGAAGGCATCTGTCTCCTGCCTGTCCCTGGGCAATGGAATGTCTCGGTATAAAACCCGATTGTATGCTCCATCTACTGAGATAGGGAAAAACCGCCTTAGGGCTGGAGGTGGGACCTGCGGGCAGCAATACTGCTTTGTAAAGCATTGAGATGTTTATGTGTATGCATATCTAAAAGCACAGCACTTAATCCTTTACATTGTCTATGATGCAAAGACCTTTGTTCACGTGTTTGTCTGCTGACCCTCTCCCCACAATTGTCTTGTGACCCTGACACATCCCCCTCTTTGAGAAACACCCACAGATGATCAATAAATACTAAGGGAACTCAGAGGCTGGCGGGATCCTCCATATGCTGAACGCTGGTTCCCAGGGTCCCCTTATTTCTTTCTCTATACTTTGTCTCTGTGTCTTTTTCTTTTCCAAATCTCTCGTCCCACCTTACGAGAAACACCCACAGGTGTGTAGGGGCAACCCACCCCTACATATGCCATGGATACTAGCATGACCTTTATCCATGAAATGGGAGGCTTGGCTTGATTGGCAGGAATTAGCCATGCTCACTTGCACGCACTGTGCCTTTTTTTTTTTTTTTTTTTTTTTTTTTTTTGAGACAGAGTCTCGCTCTGTTGCCAGGCTGAAGTGCAGTGGAGTGAACTCGGCTCACTGCAACCTCCGACTCCCTGGTTCAAGTGATTCTCCTGCCTCAGCCTCCTGAGTAGCTGGGATTACAGGCACGCACCACCATGCCCAGCTAATTTTTGTATTTTTTTTTTCGAGATGGAGTCTTGCTCTGTCGCCCAGTCTGGAGTGCAGTGGCATGATCTCAGCTCACTGCAACCTCCACCTCCCAGTTCAAGCGATTCTCCTGCCTCTACCTCCCAAGTAGCTAGGATTACAGGTGCATGCCACCATGCCTGGCTAATTTTTGTATATTTAGTAGAGACGGGGTTTCACCGTGTTTGCCAGGATGGTCCCGATCTCCTGACCTCATGATCTGCCCGCCTTGGCCTCCCAAAGTGCTGGGATTACAGGTGTGAGCCACTGTGCCCGGCCTTGCACTGTGCCTTTTAACCCCTGTTATCATCTGCCTCTGAATCCCTTAGATCCAGTTTTCTTTCCTGGGGCTTTGACTCAAAGCTTGGAATAGAATTTGAAACAAAAATATGTGTCTAGGAAGGGCTGCATGGACTCCTTATCATAAGCCAAATGCTAAGGAAGGTGAAGCTGCAGAATTGAGTCCTCCTCCAACAAGGGAGAGAAAAAGATGTCTTGTGACATGCCCAGATAATTGGTGGCTATAGTTATGTAAGCTAGGATTTGGGTGCATGGTGCTTGGCTTTGGTTAGCTCTTACTTTCCAAAAAAGGAAACCTCCGATTAATGGGCATCCTATTTATTCCCATCACCTGGCAGGATTTGCAGGATAATTGCTCAGAACTAAAATATTGATCCAGATTTTTACATTACCCATCCTCTCCTTCTTTCTGAGCTGCAGCTGGAGATTGCTGGTTGGTTCACAGGAACAAGGAGTGTTAGCCTAAAAATGTAGGCAAAAACTTAAACACTAATGACTTTAGAATTTATTGACAAATGTATGGTGTTTTGAAACATAATTTCTCTCTCTCCAGTCCTCATTTTTGTTAAAAAAGCAAATTATGGTAGGATTGAGTTGTTTGCAAAATAGACTTTAGTCATATACTTGGCCTGATTATTTGCATAAAGTGCAGCAAGAATAACTATTTCTACATAAGTCTTTTAGATTGGCTTTGATGGAACTCTGTTCTTCAAGGAATTTCAGACAAAACGTTTTAAAACTGAGCCCAGCCATGGATTTGTATCCTCAAATACCTGTAAGTTGGATGATCTTCTCGTGTTAAGGTCCCATGACAAATTTGGAGCTCCTAGACCTGTTAGAAAGTGACATTCTTGGCCAGGCGTGGTGGCTCACACCTGTAATCCTAGCACCTTGGGAGGCCGAGGTGGGCGGATCACCGGAGGTCAGGAGTTCGAGACCAGCCTGGCCAACATGGTGAAACCCTGTCTCTACTTAAAATACAAAAAATTAGCTGGGTGTGGTGGCAAGTGCCTGTAGTCCCAGCTATTTGGGAAACTGAGGCAGGAGAATCACTTGAACCTGGGAGGCGGAGGTTGCAGTGAGCCGAGATCATGCCACTGCACTCCAGCTTGGCGACAGAGCAAGAGTCTGCCTCAAAAAAAAAAAAAAAAGAATACTCACGGATAATTTCCAAATTCTGGAGAAGCCAGGCAGAGAGAGAGAAAAATATGCTTCAAATTTTGTTCACAGGAGTGTAGCTTACTCTAGTATTAAAGGCCTTAAAGAGTTCAAAATAATTTTCCTTGACTCTGAGAAACAAAACAAGGATCAGCAATATTCCAAGCAAAAGTCAAAAAGGTTGCTTCAGCTTTCTGAGTTCAGTCCATTCAGTTCTTGTTATGCTTGATATTCGTGAACATTTTAGCTCTTCATGAGTCCTGTACATTTTCCTTTATTCCAATATCACAGTCTCCAAAGTTATCAGAAACCTGTATTTGAGAGCACCTGTCAGAGTCCTATAGCTTATTACAAACCAACTTTATTTTTTTTTGAGACAGGATCTTGCTCTGTTGCCCAAGCTGGAATGCAGTGGTGAGATCTTGGCTCACTGCAACCTCCACCTCCTGGATTCAAGCGATTCTCCTGCCCCAACATCCTGAGTAGCTGGGATTACAGGTATGTGCCACCATGCCCGGCTAATTTTTGTATTTTTTTTTTTTTAGTAGAGATGGGGTTTTACCATGTTGACCAGGTTGGTTTTGAACTCCTGACCTCAGGTGATACCCCTGACTTGGCCTTCCAAAGTGCTGGGATTAAAGGTGTGAGCCACTGCACCCAGCCGGATCAGGCACTTTTAACTTGAAAACATGAAGTTCTCTTTCCTAACTTTTTTCTTTCTTTCTTTTTTTTTTTTTTTTCCGAGACAGGATCTCACTCTGTCACCCAGGCTGGAGTGCAGGGATGCCATCACAGCTCACTGCAGCCCTGACCTCCTGGGCTCAAGCAATCCTCCCAGCTCATCCTCCCAAATGGCTGGGACTATAGGCTTAGACCACCATACCCAACTAATTTTTGTATTTTTGTGTGAAGATGAGGTCTCCCTATGTTTCCCAGGCTGGTCTTGATCTCCTGGGCTCAAGCAATCCATCAGCCTTGGCCTCCCAAAGCACTGGGATTATAGGCATGAGCCACCAAGGACGGCCCCCTAATGTTTTTTATATTGGCTAATGAGCTTTAAGTTTATACATACAAGGCATAAAGAAATAACTTTAAAGTTATGTTATTAGATGTACAGTGATATGATTTAGCTCTGTGTCCCCACCCAAGTCTCATCTTGTAGCTCCCATAACTCCCATGTGTTGTGAAAGGGACCTGGTGGGAGATGATTGAATCGTGGAGGTGGGTCTTTCCCGTGCTGTTCTCATGATAATGAATGGGTCTCACAAGATCTGATGGTTTTAAAAACGGGAGTTTCTCTGCACAAGCTCTCTCTTTGCCTGGTGCCATCCACATAAGATGTGACTTGCTTCTCCTTGCCTTCCACCATGATTGTAAGGTCTCCCCAGCCATGTGGAACTGTAAATCCAATAAACCTCTTTCGTAAATTGCCCAGTCTTGCATATGTCTTTATCAGCAGCGTGAAAACAGATGAATACAGTAAATTTGTACTGGGAGTGGGGCATTGCTGAAAAGATACCCAAAAATGTGGAAGCGACTTTGGAACTGGGGAACAGGCAGAGGTTGGAACAGTTTGGAGCGCTCAGATGAAGACAGGAAAATGTGGGAAAGTCTGGAGCTTCCTAGAGACTTGTTGAAGGGCCTTGACCAAAAGCCTGATAGTGATATGGACAATAAGGTCCAGGCTGAGGTGGTCTCAGATGAAGATGAGGAACTTGTTGGGAACTGGAGCAAAGGTAACTCTTGTATGTTTTAGCAAAGAGACTGGCAGCATTTTGTCCCTGCCCTAGAGATTTGCAGAACTTTGAACTCGAGAGAGATGGTTTAGGCTATCTGGTGGAAGAAATTTGTTTATTATTATTATTATTATTATTATTATTATTATTATTTTGAGATAGAGTCTCACTCTGTCACCCAGGCCAGAGGACAGTAGCGTGACCTTGGCTCACTGCAACCTTCGCCTCCTGAGTTCAAGCGTTTCTCATGTCTCGGCCTCCCAAGCAGCTGAGATAACAGGCATGTGCCTCCATGCCTGGCTAATTTTTGTATTTTAGAAGAGACAGGGATTCACCACATTGGCCAGGCTGGTCTCAAACTCCTGACCTCAAATGATCCAACTCAGCCTCCTGAAGTGTTGGAATTACAGGCATGAGCCACCACACCTGGCTGCGGAAGAAATTTCTAAGCTGCAAAGCATTCAAGAGGTGACTTGGGTGTGGTTAAAGGAATTCAGTTTTATAAGGGAAGCAGAGAATAAAGGTTCAGAAAATTTGCAGCCTGACAATGCGATAGAAAAGAAAAGCCAATTTTCTGAGGAGAAATTCAAGCCAGCTGCAGAAATGTGCATAAGTAACAAGAGGAACATTAACCCCCAATACAATGGGGAAAATGTCTCCAGGGCATGTCAGAGGTCTTCTTGGCAGCCCCTCCCATCACAGGCCCAGAGGCCTAGGAGAAATGGTTCCGTGGGCCAGGTCCAGGGTCCCCGTGCTGTATGTAGCCTAGGGACTTGGTGCCTTGTGTCCCAGCTGCTCCAGCCATGGCTGAAAGGGGCCAACATAGAGCTTAGGCCATGGCTGCAGAGGGTGAAAGCCCCAGTCCTTGGCAGCTTCCACGTGGTATTGAGCTTGCAAGTGCACAGAAGTCAAGAATTGGGGTTTGGGAACCTCCACCTAGATTTCAGAAGATGTATGGAAATGCCTGGATGCCCAGGCAGAAGTTTGCTGCAGGGGTGGGGTGCTCATGGAGAACCTCTGCTAGGGCAGGGCGGAAGGGAAATGTGGGGTTGGAGCTCCCACACAGAGTCCTTACTGGGGCACTGCCTAGGGCAGCTGTGAGAAGAGGGCCATTGTCCTCTAGCCCCAAGAATGGTAGATCCACTGACAGCTTGCACTGTTTGCCTGGAAAAGCTGCAGACACTCAATGCCAGCCTGTGAAAGCAGCCGGGAGGGAGGCTGTACACTGAAAAGCCACAGGGGCGGAGCTGCCAGAGACCATGGGAACCCACCTCTTACATTAGTGTGACCTGATATGAGAGATGGAGTCAAAGGAGATCATTTTGGAGCTTTAAGATTTGACTGCCCTGCTGGATTTTGGACTTGCAGGGGCCTGTAGCCCCTCTGTTTTGGCTAATTTCTCCCATTTTGGAGTGGCTGTATTTACCCAATACCTGTACTCCCATTGTATCCAGGAAGTAACTAACTTGCTTTTGATTTTACAGGCTGATAGGCAGAAGTGTCTTGCTTTTTCTTTGCTGAGACTTTGGACTGTGGACTTTTGAGTTAATTCTGAAATGAGTTGAGACTTTGGGGGACTGTTGGGAAGGCATGATTGGTTTTGAAATGTGAAGATATGAGATTTGGGAGGGGACAGGGATGGAATGATATGGCTTGGCTGTGTCCCCACCCAAATCTCATCTTGTAGCTCCCATAATTCACTCATGTTGTGGGAGGGACCTGGTGGGAGATGATTGAATCATGGGGGTGGGTCTTTCCCATGTTCTTGTGAGAGTGAATGGGTCTCACGAGATCTGATGGTTTTTAAAACAGGAGTTTCTCTGCACAAGCTCTCTCTTTGCCTGCTGTCATCCACATAAGATGTGACTTGCTCCTCCTTGCCTTCTGCCATTATTGTGAGGTCTCCCCAGCCATGTGGAACTGTAAGTCCAATGAACCTCTTTCTTTTGTAAATTGCTCTATCTCGGGTATGTCTTTATCATTCCTGAAAATGGACTAATACATACGGCAATACTCAAGAGAGCAAGTGTGGATAGCTTGGGTTCATGAGGTTTTTGGTTTTTGTCAAAAGCATAAATGTATACTGAAACTACCCAGAAAAAGCAAAGTATAAAACAGTATGCTACCATTTGTGCCCATAAATGGGATATGTGTAGTGTAAATGCATAGAATTTGACCAGATGTATACCCAGAGACCAGAACACTCAGTGGCCTCATGTTCATACTTTGGCAAACACATGTATAGTATCCTTAACTTAAATGTACCATTGTTGTGTGCATTCTAGTGTTATTGACATTTACATATCTATTATCAAGTCAGATAAATCATTCTGTGTCTTTGTATTTTCACTTCCTATTTTGTATATTTATGTATACATACACACATACCAATACATATTTAAATAAGGTATAACTTCACCTGGTCCAAAAATCAAAACAACGTAGAAAGGTTTACAGTGAAAGGTCGCATCCCTGATGCTGTCCTCTTCCCCCAGGTGATCACCTTATTGGTTTCTTTTCATACCTTTCAGCATTTTCTCCTGCAAGCACAGATATTCTAACTCCTCCTTTTTTACACAGAATTTTTTTTTACATAGCATTCTTCTGCACCTTCCTTCTCCCACTTCACAATGCACATGGAGATTTTTCCGTATTTGTACATCAGGAGCTTCCTCTTTCTTTGTTACCACATTAAATTCCACTGGGTAGATGTACCATAATTTAACTGGGTCCTTATTGAAAGACAATTGAGCTGTCTCCTAGACAAAGCCTTGTGCACCTTCCCGAACAGAGGGTCTAACCAAGCAGGCAGGATGGGGTTATAAAGTAGGTGGGGAGGTGGGAGAGACTCCACCCTCCCAGGTGGGCTGAGGATGGAGGTAAGGCCCTGCAACAGGACAGAGGGAAAAGTGGGGATGAGACATGGGAGGCGAGATAGCGCTCACTGTTCTCGCTCAGCCCCCTCCTCCATTTGCCGCTGACCTGTTGGCCTCCCCCAACCTCTGAGCCTGCCTCTGCCTAGGTAATTTCCCAAGACCCAGGAGGGGTGAAGGGTGAGGTGCGATTGCCCCCACCTCCTTGCCTCCCGCAGCATCTGCTCCAGGACCATGAACAATAGCTGACAGCTCCATGGCCCTTGCTGTCCCCATCTCAGCTTCCCTGGGCATCTAAACCTCAGTTGCCGTGGGGTAGGAGGACAGGCTGAGGAAGCAGAAGCCTGAGGCTGTCTAGAGTCTCACTCCTGCATCAGCAGGCCACCACCTGTGGTTCCTCCTTGTGCAAATTTGAGAGGAATTGCATAAAACACTGGAGAAATCCAAGAGGGGAAGTCCACAAGGGCGGTGGCTCCCTCCATGATCTCAGAGCAAGCTGGTGTCAGAACCTGGACCTAGAGCACTGTTGGGTGGGAAGTAGGAGGAGAGTCCTGCCTCCAGGCCAGCCGGGGAAGGGCTCCCTCTCACCTCTACACGCAGCGCATTTCTTGGCTCAGCTGCCCTGTAGGGGATGCAGGGTGGGGACAGCAGAGATCTGGGCCTGGGAGGGAGACAGTACACAATCACATGGCTGTTGCCCCTCCCTCAGGCCTTGTCTACCTCTGACTGTGGCTCTCTGGCAGGAATAGATGGACATGGCCTGGCAGATGATGCAGCTGCTCCTTCTGGCTTTGGTGACTGCTGCGGGGAGTGCCCAGCCCAGGAGTGCGCGGGCCAGGACAGACCTGCTCAATGTCTGCATGAACGCCAAGTACCACAAGACACAGCCCAGCCCCGAGGACGAGCTGTATGGCCAGGTGAGGATAAAGTCGGGTCTGGGGCAGGGGAGAGAGCTGCCTTTGACAGAGAAAAGTTAGCAGGGTGAAGTCAGCTGTGGAAGGTGATGAAGGCAGAGGATGACTGCTGTGATCCTGGAGGGCCTCCCCTGGGAGGACACCAAATCTACAATAATAAAGGAACCACATACCTAACACCCACTATGAGCCTATGAGCCTTGTGCTTTCACTCATGCCATGTTAGTGAATATGCCCAAAGGGCAGGGTGGGTGCGTGGTAGTCTCTACTTACGCAAATGAGGAAATAGGCCCAGAGAGGGCGCAGGTGCAAGTGGGAAATGAGGAGAGGGACTGTCCATACCTTTCCCAGCCTTAATTGTGTGCCAGCCCACAGAGCTCAATGGCACAGTAGAAGAGGAGCTGGGCCCATCATGGTCATGGTGCAGCCTACATGTACAAACAGTCCAGGTTTCCACCCCCATTAGGTACTGAAGAGACAACGACCAATCCAATATGCTGGGGAGACTTCCCAGGCAAGAGACCATTGGCCTTGACCTGGGAAGATGAGTAAGAGTTTTCTAGGAGGAAAAAGCGGGAAAGGGCAGCCTGGTAGAGGACAGCATGCACACAGGTCAGAGGGTGATGGCACGAGCAATGGCGGGTCCAGTGTGGCCAGAGCCAGCGGTGCCACTGCCCACAAGGAAGGGGAGGGGAGGCCAGGGCCCTCATGCCACAGGTAAGGCCACTGAGGCAGCTCGGGGAGTATGAGCTCCAATTTGAATTCCAAGCTCAGGAGAGTGCCTGTATTTCATTTCTCTGGTCTCCTGGCCTGCTCCCTAGAAGGGTTCACATTCCCAGAGGGTGAGGATGTGCCCAGGGAGAGACTGTGGCATGGACAGGCTCCGAGGGCTAAAGCAAAGAGAGGACAGCCTGGAAGCCCTGTGACATCTGAGTCATTCCCAACATTCCATTTGCTTATTTTAAAATCAGGGTAAAATTTAAAATAAATAAATAAAATAAGTTCTCCATTTTAGCCATTTTTAACTGTACAGGTCAGTGGCATTAAGTATGCTCATGTATGCCGGGTGCAGTGGCTCACGCCTGTAATCCCAGCACTTTGGGAGGCCGAGGTGGGCGGATCACCTGAGGTCAGGAGTTTGAGACCAGCCTGACCAACATGGAGAAACCCTGTCTCTACTAAAAATACAAAAAAAAAAAAAATTAGCCGGGCATGGTGGCCCATGCCTGTAATCCCAGCTACTCGGGAGGCTGAGACGGGAGAATTGCTTGAACCTGGGAGGCAGAGGTTGCAGTGAGCCGAGATCGCGCCATTGCACTCCAGCCTGGGCAACAAGAGCAAAACTCTGTCAAAAAAAAAAAAAAAGTATGCTCATGTGGTTGTGCAACCATCACCACCATCCATCTCCTGACCTCTTTCATTCTCCAAAACTGAAATGGAAACTTTGTGCCCACCACTTCATTTGCTTTTCAGAACCTTCTAAAGCACCTACTCTTTGCCAAGAAATGGTGCAGATGTAGACTTTGAGAGATACAGATGATTATCATTCTCAGGGCCATGAGCTATATGAGAGTGATGATATTTGTTGGGCCACTTCTATAGCCAGGGAGTACTTTTCATTATATTCAGTAACTCTTTCAGAGGCAGAAACCCCTGACCCTGACTGGCAAAACCCATGTCTGCCAAACCCCAAGACCCATGATGTGCAAGGGGTCTTGCAGGAAGACCAAGAGTTGGGACAGCCAAGGAAAAGCAAGTGTGAAGTTGTGCTGGCGGGGAAGCATGTTCTGTGTCGGCCGGCACTGGGCGTGGTGGCCCAGTGGGTAGGTCTGGCTCCACTCCCATGGATTTCCCTATTGTTTCTCCTGGTTGCTCAGACCTGTCACGCCTCTGCCATCACTTGACCCTAGGTGCAAGGGTTCAGCCCAGAAATGTTATGCAATTGACTCATGATTTCTCAGGTTTTCTGCATCCTGGCCTAGAGTGATTTCCAAAGAAAAACCTCCACCATTTCTGCTTGTCTTGCCTGCATTGTATTTACCTTTCTAGGATTGCCTTTTCCACATTTAGTCAAGCCCGGGTTCAGGCCCACGTTCAGGCTACAGCTCCTCTGTTCCCCCACCACTCTCAGGATCTATTTGGAGTCTCCTTGCCTGGACTTCCAGACCCTGGAAAAGCCACACCAGCCCCTTGACCTCCACCCTCCCCCACAACCTGGGCCAGGTTCCTCTCCTTCCTGTCCTGAGTTAAATCTTAACCCTACTATATACCACAGGTGTAGCTTACTGAAACGCTGTAAAAATGGGTTTAAGGATTCATACTGGGTTGTTAAGAGGATAAAGTGCAAAAGCCTCAGGGACTTTGCACCTATGGTTTTCTATGCCTGAGTGTTCTTTATCTTCCCTGTACACACAGCCCATCCACCCATTAAAACTATACCCTCCATGAGGCTAGAGATGTTACTTGCTTTGTTCACTGGGGTGTTCCTAGGACCTATCACAGTGCCTGATGTCTAATAAGCACTCAGTTAATATTGGCTGGATGCAAAATGAATAATATAAATAAGCTGAATAACATGAAATAACTTTTTCAACCATTAAGAGCTGTACAAACAATAATTACTGTCCCAGACAGTGGCTCCCCTCTATTATGCTCCGTTAAAAGCCAATATTGGCCAGGCGTGATGGCTCACATCTGTAATCTTAGCACTTTGGGAAGCTGAGATGAGAGGATTGCTTGAGCCCAGGAGTTTGAGACTAGCCTGGGAACCATAGTGAGACCCCATCTTTTTTTTTTTAATACTTTAAGTTCTAGGGTACATTTGCACAACGTGCAGGTTTGTTACATATGTATACATGTGCCATATTGGTGTGCTGCACCCATTAACTCGTCATTTACATTAGGTATTTCTCCTAATGTTATCCCCCCCTCCCCCAACCCCACGACAGGTCCCGGTGTGTGATGTTCCCCACTCTGTGTCCAAGTGTCCTCATTGTTCAATTCCCACCTATGAGTGAGAACATGTGGTGTTTGGTTTTCTGTCCTTGCGATAGTTTGCTCAGAATGATGGTTTCCAGCTTCATCCATGTCCCTACAAAGGACATGAACTCATCCTTTTTTATGGCTGCATATATTCCATAGTGTATATGTGCCACATTTTCTTCATCCAGTCTATCACTGATGGACATTTGGGTTGGTTCCAAGTCTTTGCTATTGTGAATAGCGCCGCAATAAACATACATGTGCATATGCCTTTATAGCAGCATGATTTATAATCCTTTGAGTATATACCCAGTAATGAGATGGCTGGGTCAAATGGTGTTTCTAGTTCTGGATCCTTGAGGAATCGCCCCACTGTCTTCCACAATGGTTGAACTAGTTTATAGTCCCACCAACAGTGTAAAAGTGTTCCTATTTCTCCACATCCTCTCCAGCACCTGTTTTTTGCTGACTTTTTAATGATTGCCATTCTGACTGGTGTGAGATGGTATCTCATTGAGGTTTTGATTTGTATTTCTCTGACGGCCAGTGATGATGAGCATTTTTTCATGTGTCTGTTGGCTGCATAAATGTCTTCTTTTGAGAAGTGTCTGTTCATTTCCTTTGCCCACTTTTTGATGGGGTTGTTTGATTTTTTTCTTGTAAATTTGTTTAAGTTCTTTGTAGATTCTGGATATTAGCCCTTTGTCAGATGGGTAGATTGCAAAAATTTTCTCCCATTCTGTAGGTTGCCTGTTCACTCTGATGGTAGTTTCTTTTGCTGTGCAGACGCTCTTTAGTTTAATTAGATCCCATTTGTCTCTACAAAAAGATTTTAAAAATAGCCAGGTGTGGTGGCATGGGCCTGAATCCCAGCTACTCAGAAGGCTGAGGTGGGAGGATTGCTTGAGCACAGGATGTAGAGGCTACAGTGAGCTATAATTGCACCACAGCACTCCAGCATGTGCAACAGAGAGAGACCTGTCTCAAATAAATAAATAAATAAGGGAAAAATGCACCAATATTGTAATTGCCTGTGTTCCCAGGTGGGGACTCCTCAAGGGCCCTCCCTAGGAAGTGTTCCTCTGGATGACCTACCTGGGGCAGAGGAGCCAGAATATGGGGGAGATGGCTGCGGTGGTGAGGGACTTAGTCCTGTGTCTTCCCCACCCAGTGCAGTCCCTAGAAGAAGAATGCCTGCTGCATGACCAACACCAGCCAGGAGCTGCACAAGGACACCTCCCGCCTGTACAACTTTAACTGGGATCACTGTGGTAAGATGGAGCCTGCCTGCAAGCGCCACTTTATCCAGGACACCGGTCTCTATGAGTGCTCACCCAACCTCGGGCCCTGGATCTGGCAGGTATGAGTGCCATTCCCACAAACATGAACCTCATAGCTGGGTGCATTGGCTTATGCCTGTAATCCCAGCACTTTGGGAGGCCAAGGCAGGTGGATTACCTGAGGTCAGGAGTTCGAGACCAGCCTGGCCAACATGATGAAACCCTGTCTCTACTAGAATACAAAAATTAGCCGGGCATGGCGGTGGGAGCCTGTAATCCCAGCTACTCAGGAGGCTGAGGCAGGAGAATCGCTTGAACCTGGGAGGTGGAGGTTGTAGTGAACCGAGATTGTGCCACTGCACTCCAGCCTGAGCAACAGTGCGAGACTTTGTCTCAAAAATAAAACAACAACAACAAAAACAACACAAAACATTAATCTCAGCAGAGGGCACAACCTGCCAGCCACTTGCAGAGAGGGCTTGGTCCAGGAATTTGGGTCTGAGGGTGGTGGACGCCCTGCCCCCTCCCACAGCTCTGGTCTCCTTCAAGGGTAAAGCGGCTGAGATACGTGGCTGACAGGAGTGTTCCGTCTCCTCCCCACTCAGGTCAACCAGAGCTGGCGCAAAGAGCGCATTCTGAACGTGCCCCTGTGCAAAGAGGACTGTGAGCGCTGGTGGGAGGACTGTCGCACCTCCTACACCTGCAAAAGCAACTGGCACAAAGGCTGGAATTGGACCTCAGGTGAGGGACGGAGGAGATGAGGTGAGGAGTGGGAGTGGGGCTTTGGGGTTGGGAGGGGTGTGGTCTGGCCCAGAAGCTAAGGGTCTTACATTCTCCTCCCTCAGGGATTAATGAGTGTCCGGCCTGGGCCCTCTGCCACACCTTTGAGCCCTACTTCCCCACTCCAGCTGCCCTTTGTGAAGGCCTCTGGAGCCATTCCTTCAAGGTCAGCAACTACAACTACAGCTGAGGGAGTGGCCGCTGCATCTAGATGTGGTTTGACTCAGCCCAGGGCAACCCCAGTGAGGAGGTGGCCAAGTTCTATGCTGCGGCCATGAATGCTGGGGCCCCGTCCCATGGGACTGGGGCCGTGGACATTGGTTCCTGATCCAAGAAGGGTCCCCTGGGGTTCTTCCGACAACCTATCCTAATAGACAAATCCACATGTGTCTTGTGTCTTGTAATCTGGGGACAAGTGGGTTGGAGTGACACATTGCTTCATCTTTCCTATTGATAGTCCCCGAATCAGGCTGGAACTGGCTTGACATTCACTGGGAAGTAGGCTGTGGAGGTTGAGCCAGAATCTAGGTATCTATCTATCCCTCAGCCTGGTTCTCCTGAGACCCTCCCGCTCACACAAAGCTCATTACCCCCACACTATACACGGACAAAAGCGCAGGTGGAAGGAAGATGGGCAGAAACAGGAGATGAGTTATTGGGCTTCAGGTGGGGAAGACAGTTTATTTCCTCTTCCCTCACTAGATGTGGGCTGGGAGGAGATACTGTTTGGAGAGGAGGGTCTCAATGATAAACACCTGCCTTGTTTTTATTTGTTTGAGACTGGGGTCTTGCTATGTTGCCCAGGCTAGTCTTGAACTCCTGGGCCCCAGCGATCTTCATTCCTTGGCCTCCCAATGTGCTGGGATTATTGCAGTAGGTCATTGTGCCTGACCTACTTTTTTTTTTTTTTTTTTTTTTTTTGAGACGGAGTCTTGCTCTGTCACCCAGGCTGGAGTGCAGTGGTGTGATCTCGGCTCACTGCAGCCTCTGCCTCCCATGTTCCAGCGATTCTCCTGCCTCAGCCTCCTGGGTAGCTGGGATTACAGGCACACACCACCACGCCTGGCTAAATTTTGTATTTTTAGTAGAGATGGGGTTTCACCATGTTGGCCAGGCTGGTCTCGAACTCCTGACCTCAGGTGATCCACCCACCTTGGCCTCCAAAAGTGCTGGGATTACAGGCATGAGCCACCGAGCCTGGCCTGACCTACTTTTTAATAAATGACAAGTAATGCTGCAATTAACAGTCTTGTACCAGCTGTTACAAGATTGTAACACTGAGCACCTTGAGCTCAGTGGCTCACGACTGCAATCCCAGCACTTTGGGAGGCCAAGGTGGGTGGATCACCTGAGGTCAGGAATGTCAGACCAGCCTAGCCAACATGGTGAAACCCCATCTCTACTAAAATATACAAAAATTAGCCAGGTGTGATGGCACATGCCTGTAATCCCAGCTACTCAGGAGGCTGAGGCAGGAGAATCGCTTGAACACAGGAGGCAGAGGTTGCAGTGAGCTGGGATCATACCACTGCACTCCGGCCTGGGCTACAAGAGTGAAACTCCGTCACAAAACAAACAAACAAAAAATCTTGTACCTAGTGGAATGTTATACTGAATTCCAGAAAGGGTTATTGGGTCAAGAGTATGTATAATTTTGATAGTTACAACTTTATAGAGATTTTATCAATGTGGCTCCTCCACCAGCAAAGCATGAGAGTGCCTGTTTCTCCGCTGGGTGTGTGAGAGCTCACACCTGTGATCCAGCACTTTGAGATTCTGAGGCAGGAGAATCTCTCGACCCCAGGAGCTCAAGATCAGCCTGGGCAACATGGTGAAACCCCATCTCTACAAAAAACTAAAAAAATCAGCTGGGCATGGTGGTGTGTGCCTATAGTCCCAACTACCAGGGAAGCTGAGGTGAGAGAATCACTTGAGCCCTGAGAGGTTGAGGCTACAATGAGCTGTGATTGTGCCACTGCACTCCAGCCTGTGCGACAGAGCGAGACCTTGTCTCAAAAAAAAAAAAAAAAAAACAGAGAGAGAGAGTGCCTGTTTCTCCACAACCTTGTCAACACAGTATGCCATCAAACTTTGGTTTTCTGCTCATCTTACAGGTGGGGAAAAGGGCAGCTCAGTCCAGTTTTCATCTGCCATTGTTCTGAGATCTTTCCATGTTGACCTATTGAGATGTTAAATTACTAGGTAATAATCCATTCTATGTGTACATCACACTGAATTCAGTCACATACTGATGGGCATTGGAAGGAATGGGGTTCTTTTATGATCTTGACATTGCTGAAAGCCACAGGCCAGTTATTTGGTAGAATACTGCTCCATTTGGGTTTGTTTCCTCATGATTCACTGAGGTTACACATTTTGGGCACGAATACCCTACACAGTTATTCCATGCATCGTAACAGGAGGCACGTGGTGAGGGGTTTGCCCATTCCTGGTGAGGTTAACTTTGATCTTTTGGTTGAGATCATGTCTCCCAGGTTTCTCCACTACACTTTCCCCTTTGTAAGTAATAAATATGTTGTAGGGAGAGACTGGGGACTATAGATACTCTATTCATCAGCACACTTCCACCTACATGTTCCACTGTCTGATGGACCTTTTTTAAAAAAGTAAAAACAAAACCGAAATGTGTCTTATTATGTTACAGCTCTTTCACCAATCTTTCAATGCTTTCCAGTGGTATCAACTGTAAAAACTAAACTTCTTCAAATTAGCACAGAAGACCATGCCCCTCCTTTGAGCCCTCAAGCCAAATCTTCCCCACACCACCCCATAAATGAGCTCCAGTCACACTTCTCATGTTGGGGGTCTTTGCTCCAGCAACTCCTCTGCGTGCCTGAAATGTTTTTCATTAATCCTCTGCAGACTGACCTGTTGTGGCCACTTAGATGATAACCTACAATTCCCCCCTAAAATGACTTCTGACCACTCAGCCTAAAGAAGCCACCCAGCCAGCTGATTTCTCATCACATCATTCTGTGCCCTTGCGTGGATTTTTGTCTACTGTGTTTGTTGTCAGCCTTTCTCCTAACAAAACATACTCTCCCCAAAGCAGGGCTGTGTCTGTGTCATTTTATGCTATATCCCCAGAGTCTGGGTCAGTGCCTGGCACCGAGAATGTGCTCAGTAAGTTAAGGAATCGCTGCATCCATTCTGTCAGTCAACAAGTCCTTCTGAGCATCCAGTTCACTGGCCCATGCTGGTCTCAGCCAACAGAAAGGGAATTGAGTTCCTTGCAAGGTCTGGTGGGGACAGACAGTTCTGAGAACCAGTGACTCTTAGAACAAGGAGATGAGGCTTTCACAGAGGGAAGCACAGAGTGTGGTGTTATTCTGCTGAAGCCCAAAGAGGTCAGGGAAGGCTTCCAAAGGAGTGTTTGCCAAGCACAAAACAGCACGGGGAATGGCATTCCGTGGACAGGTCTCAGCAAGTGCAAAGGCTTAGAGGTAATAGAAGTGCGAGCAGAATTCCAGGGTGGCTGAGAGAGAAGTTATGTGGGGAGTGGGCAGCGGTTAAGGCCAAAGAAGAAACACTGGATCTGCATTCCTTAGGACGGTGCCCTGTGGGCCCCTCACAGAGCTTCTCTCCTGCAACTGCTAGGTGAAAGAAGGCAGGCTTAGAATCGGACTGAGATCAGTAGTTTCTGCAGCTGGGAAGATGAGTGAGGTGAGATTGCATGTGTGATAGGCTGGCACTCAGGGAAGACCTCAGGGTTCTCTCCTCCCCACTCTGAGGCCCCTCTCCTGCTTCCTGAAGCCCAGAGTCTCCACCTCTGTGAGCCAAACACCTTCCTGTTATCTGCCTGGTCCTAGGGCAGCCTTCGGGTTGGGGTTAGAAGGAATGCCAATGGTTAACCTTGTGGTATTAAGCTTCCAGCTCAGGCAGATACTCTCTGGACTGGTTCAAGCTGACTGCCTGACTGTCCCTCCCTGCTGGCCCTAGCACCCAGACTCCAGATAGGCGCACCACCTCATCCTTCAGAGCAGGGCTCTGAGACTCCACAAGTGGTGAGGACTTACCAGAGGAACTGAACTTGACCTCCAACCCAACCTTCCATTTGCTGGTATTATTCTGAAGCCCTCATGGCCTAGGGAACTGCCTCAGGTAGCAGGTCTCACTCCTGCAGTGGAGGGGCCATAAAGTTCAGTTCATGATCAGCCCCCAAGCCATGGGCAGTGGATGAGAGGGCAGGAGCTCCATCTAGAGGAGCTCCCGTGTTCAGGCGTTCCTAGACACCTGCCTGCCCTTCTCCCATCAGCACTGGGGTATAAAGAAGGAAAGAGGCCTGAGGGTTCCAGAGGCCTCTACCTGCTGAGGTCTTAAGAGGACTCAACCCTCTGGGAAATACAAATAAAATCCTCAACCCTCCAAACAACTGAATGGACACCTCTTGGCCAAAGAGACCCCGGAAAAACTTTAAAATCCAAGTTTCCTGGCCGTGATGATAGCTTCCTCACGAACCGTTACCAGGCTTCTTTCCCAAGAGCTAAACAGAAACCAGCCCTGGAAAACCAAGAACAGGAGACTCCTTCACTGATTTCGATTTCAACCAACTGCCAGATTCCCTTTCCTTACCTGATTTTGACATGACAGCTGATCAGCTTACAAAACATTCCTGGCTGATCAATGACTCCCAACCATGGACCAGTTCTGGCTGGTTTACAGAGGCAGCACACAAAGTGCTTGGGTCCTGTGTTTCCCCTTTTGACATACAGAGGCAAATTTGACTGCATTTTTTTTTTTTTTTTTTGAGATGGAGTCTCACTCTGTTTCCCAGGCTGGAGTACAGCGGCGCGATCTCTGCTCAGTGCAACCTCCGCCTCTTGGGTTCAAGGGATTCTCCTGCCTCAGCCTCCTGAGTAGCTGGGACTACAAGCGCCTGCCACCATGCCCGGCTAATTTTTGTATTTTTAGTAGAGATGGGGTTTCACCATATTGGCCAGGCTGGTCTCGAACTCCTGACCTCAGGTGATCCACCCGCCTCAGCCTCCTGAAGTGCTGGGATTACAGGCATGAGCCACTGCACCCGGTATCAACTGCATTTTAATGTCTCCACTCCAAAGGGAATATGGGACATATGTAATATGTATGTTTGCTTAGTACACATGTGTGCAACTATCACAAATATTCATAGATTCTCCTAAAACCTATTAAATATGTATGTTTAGCCAACTCTTTTAGCATAAAACCCTTGTTCTACCCTCACTCCACTTCCCAGCCTGCACATCATAAGAAATAAAGCTCTCCTAGGCTGGGCGAGGTGGCTCACACCTGTAATCACAGCACTTTGGGAGGCCAAGGCGGGCGGATTGCTTGAGGTCTAGAATTTGAAACCAGCCTGGTCAACATGGTGAAACTCTGTCTCTACTAAATATACAAAAATTAGCAAGGCATGGTGGTGGGCACCTGTAATTCCAGCTACTCGGGAGGCTGAGGCATGAGAATCGCTTCAACCCAGCAGGCGGAGGTTGCAGTGAGATCGTGCCACTGCACTCCAACCTGGGCGATAGAGTGAAACTGTGTCTGAAAAAAAAAAAAGAAAGAAAGAAAAAAAAGGAAAAGAAAAAAGAAAAGAAAGAAAGAAAGCTCTCCTTTCTAAATGTAAAGATCTTGTGATTTTAAGCCAATATAATTGAAGACAAGAGTAGGATCCACAGAGCAGCCCAGGCTCCCCGCAGCGTGAGTGAATGCACTGGTGGCTGGTGGAGCCATTGACAGCTCAGTTGTCTCCCTGACAGCTTTGGGAGGAAGGTGGGTAAGCTCTCCCTGATCTAAGATCTCCTGGTTTTAGGTTGACATTTCAGAGACTTCATTTTTTTTCTCTGATCCTCTCCATCCAGACCCTGCAAGGGCTATCTTTGCTGTGTTGGGTTTCTAGTGGGGGAGGTTGGGGGCAGTTCAGCCTGACTCATCCGGCCCATCAGGTTTGGTGAGGATGCTTGCCCTCTAGTGGCACTCGCAGGGACGTCTTTAAGTAAATGCTGTTATGGGGAACCTAGGTTCTAAGGGGACAGACAGTCCCTGACCAGCTGCCATCAGGAAGTTACATGTTTCGGAATTATGAGAAAAAGTCTTGTGAATATTTGGGATCCTAGAAAAAGCTAACCTGGAACAATTAAAAGCTTTATATGCCAAAATGGAGATCTTTTGACAGAACGTTTGACATGCCTCAATTCGTTTATTAGTAGGCACAATGAGAACAGAGAGAGTTCTAGACCTCTGAGAAGCAATGGGAGGCCCTTTTGTGTGTGTGTGTGTGTGTGTGTGTGTGTGTGTGTGACAGGGTCTCACTCTGTCACGGGGACTAGAGCGTTGTGTACAATCACGGCTCACTGCAGCCTCGACCTCCTGGGCTCAAGCCATCCTCCCACCTTTGCCACCCAAGTAGCTGGGACTACAGTCATGCACCGGCACACCCTGCTAATTTATTTTCAATTTTTAATTTTTTTGTAGAAACAGGGTTTTACCATGTTGCCCAGGCTCGTCTCAAATTCCTGGACTCAAGGAATCCTCCCATGGGAGACCATTTTTAAGTGGTATTATGAGAGTTCTAAACACAGGAATCTCAGATAACCTCCTTAAATGAGATTAATTCAAAACTGAAGGAGTCTAATTCAAAACTTGACCAGCACATTCAAAACTATCTGCCACTATTGAACAGGTAGCTGGAGATACTGCACAAAGCCTTCCAGCCCAACAAAGTCTCTGAATTCCCTGGCTCAAGTAGTAATAGATAATTTAATTGCCTTAGATTTTCTCTTAGCCAAACAGGGAAGAGTCTGTGTGGTGGTCCCTAAGATCTGTGGCACTTACATCAACATTTCAAGTGAAGTAGAAACTATACAGGGCTGGGCCCAGTGGCTCATGCCTGTAGTCCCAGCACTTTGGGAGGCTGGGGCCGGAGGATCGCTTGAACTCAGGAGTTTGAGACCAGCTTGAGCAACATGGGGAAACCCTGTCTCTACAAAAAGTACAAAAATTAACAGGACATGGTAGCACACACCTGTAGTCTCAGCTACTTGGGAGGCTGGGGCAGGAGGATTGCTTGAGCCTGGGAGGCGGAGGTTGCAGTGATCAGAGATCATGCCATTGCACTTCAGCCTGGGAGAGAGAGAAAGACTCTGTCTCAAAAAATAAAAATAAAAAGAGAAAAGAAAGCTGGGCATGGTGGCACACACCTGTAATCCCAGCTATTCAGGAGGCTGAGGCACAATAATTGCTTGAGCCTGGGAGGGGGAGGTTGCAGAGAGTGGAGATTTAAGATTACGCCACTGTATTCCAGCCTGGGTGCCAAGTGAGATTGTCTCAAAAAAGGAAAAGAAATTCATACAGAAATAATTTTCAGCCGGGCATGGTGGCTCACACCTGTAACCCCAGCACTTTGGGAGGCCAAGGGGGGCAGATCACCTGAGGTCAGGCTTTCGAGACCAGCCTGGCCAACATGGTGAAACTTTGTCTCCACTAAAAATACAAAAATTAGCCAGGTGTGGTGGTGCATGCCTGTAATCAGGAGGCTGCATTCAGGAGGCTGAGGCAGGAGAATTGCTTGAACCCGGAGGCGGAGGTTGCAGTGAGCTGAGATTGTGCCACTGCACTCCAGCCTGGGCGACAGAGCGAGACTCCATCTCAAAAAGAAAAAAGAAAAAAAAAAAAGAATTTCCAAACAAGCTAAATGGTTACAAGATGTATGAACTACTGATCCCATCAATTACCTATTTAGTTGGCTTTCTACCACACTGGGAAGTTCCTTTCAAGATGCCATTCAAGTCCTTGTTATAGTAATAGTCTCCATTAACCTTTTCTTCTTAACATTTAATTACCTATAATATGTATAACCAACTGCTGTAAGTCTGCTGCTAAAACCAGAATTATGCTGGCTCAATGCGTAGATCTTATAGACAAGTTAAATTGGTAGCCCTACCTTTTGGCCTTTATGTTGCTTGATAGACCTTAGGGGTTGAGGTCTGCCCACCTCTATTCCTGTCTGGCCAGAGTTCAATTGGCTATAAGTCTCTTGGCCACAAGGGTCCCACCAAAGGACTGGATGGACCTGGAGCAGGCAACCTCACCATCCTGGCAACAACATGATACAAATTTTGCCATTGATGCTGCCTGTGGCTGATCTCAGCTAAAAAGAGGAAATGTGAAATAAAAAGAAAACCCGCCGGGTGCGGTGGCTCACACCTGTAATCCCAACACTTTGGGAGGCCGAGGCAGGTGGATCACCTGAGGTCAGGAGTTCAAGACCAGGTTTGCCAACATGGTGAAACCCTGTCCCTTCTAAATATACAAAAATTAGCCAGGCATGGTGGTGGGTGCCTGTAATCCCAGCTACTCAGGAGGCTGAGCCAGGAGAATCGCTTGAACCTGGGAGGCAGAGGTTGCAGTGAGCCGAGATCACGCCACTGCACTCCAGCCTGGGTGAGAGAGCGAGACTCTGTCTCAGAAAAAAAAAGGAAAAGAAAAGAAAAGAAAATCAAAGCCCCCTCAACTGACTGAACAAACCCATCTTGGCCAAGGAGACCCCACAAAAACTTCAAAATCTAAGTTTCTTGGCTATGATAAGACAGGAGGCTGGTCACACCCCAGTACACCCTCTTCCTTACTGTTACCGACTTTTTTCCTAACAGTTAAGAAGAAACCAGTCCTGGAAAACAGATGGAAGAATCCTGCTGATTTCAACTTCAACCACCTGATGCTGTGGCCAGACGTCCCTCTTTTTTTCGTGTTTTTATTTTGTTTTGTTCTTGTTTTTGTTTTTTTTTTGGAGACAGGGTCTCTTTTTTTTTTTTTTTTTTTGAGACAGGCTCTGTCACCCAGGCTGGAGTGCAATGGCATGATCTCGGCTCATTACAGCCTCTGCCTCCTGGGTTCAAGTGATCTTCCCGCCTCAGTCTCCCAAGTTGCTGGGACTACAGGCACACACCACCATGCCTAGCTAACTTTTGTATTTTTTTGTGGATATGGAGTTCTGCTGTGTTGCCCAGGCTTGTCTCAAACTCCTGGGCTCAAAGGATCCACCTGCCTTAGCCTCCCAAAGTGCTGGGATTACAGGCATGAGCCACTGGGCCCGGCCTCTTTTTGTGATTTTGATATGACAGCTGACCAGCTCACAAAGCATTCCTTCCTGATCAATTCCTATTAACCATGGGGTGGTTCTGGCCAATTTAGAGAGGCGGCACACAAAGTGCCTTTGTGTCCTATGTTTCGCCTTTTGATGTGTACAGCCTAAGTCTGCATTTTTTTTTTTTTTTTTTTGAGACGTAGTCTCGCTCTGTCACCCAGGCTGGAGTGCAGTGGCACCATCTTGGCTCACTGCAAGCTCCACCTCCCGGGTTCATGCCATTCTCCTGCCTCAGCCTCCCGAGTAGCTGGGACTACAGGCACCCGCCACCACACCCGGCTAATTTTTTGTATTTTTAGTAGAGACAGGGTTTCACCATAACACATGTTAGCCAGGATGGTCTCGATCTCCTGACCTCGTGATCCGCCCGCCTCGGCCTCCCAAAGTGCTTGGATTACAGGCGCGAGCCACCATGCCAGGCCTAAGACTGCATTTTAAGGTTAAGTCTTGGCTGGGCATGGTGGCTCACACCTGCAATCCTAGCACCTTGGGAGGCCAAGGTGGGAGGATTGCTTGAGCCTAGGAGTTCGAGACCAGCCTGGGCAATATAGTGAGACCCTGTCTCTCTCTTTTTTTGCGGGGGCGGGGGACGGAGTCTTGCTGTGTTGCCCAGGCTGGAGTGCAGTGGTGTGATCTTGGCTCACTGCAACCTCTGCCTCCCAGGTTCAAGCAATTCTGCCTCAGCCCCCAATAGTAGCTAGGATTACAGGTGTGCGCCACCATGCCCAGCTAATTTTTTTATTTTTAGTAGAGACGGGTTTTCACCATGTTGGCCAGGCTGGTTTCGAACTCCTAACCTCAGGTGATCCGCCCATCTCGGCCTCCCAAAGTGCTGGGATTACAGGCATGAGCCACTGCACCCAGCCTTCTTTCACTATTTTTAAATAAAAATATAAATAGGCCGGGTGCCGTGGCTCGCACCTATAATCCCAGCACTTTGGGAGGCCAAGGTGGGCAGATCACTTGAGGCCAGGAATTTGAGACAAGCCTGGCCAACACAGTGAAACCCCATCTCTACTAAGAAATAATATCAAAAAATAGCTGGGTGTGGTGGTGCACACCTATAATCCCAGCTACTCTAGAGGCTGAGGCAGGAGAATCACTTGAACCCATGAGGTGGAGGTTGCGGTGAGCCGAGATTGTGACACGGCACTCCAGCCTGGGTGATAGAGTGAGACTCTGCCCAAAAAAAAAAAAAAAAAAAAAAAACAGGCCAGGTGCCGCGGCTCACACTTGTAATCCCAGCACTTTGGGAGGCTGAGGTAGGCGGATCACTTGAGGTCAGGAGTTTGAGACCAGCCTAGCCAACATGGTAAAACCCCATCTCTACTAAAAATACAAAAATTAGCCAGGCATGGTGTCAGGCGCCTATAATTCCAGCTACTCGGGAGGCTGAGGCAGGAGAATCTCTTGAATCTGGGAGGCGGAGGTTGCAGTGAGCCAAGATCGTGCCACTGCACTCCAGCTTGGGCTACAGAGCAAGTCTCCGACTCAAAAATAAATAAATAAATGAAAAAATAAAAAAATTAATGTTAAATCTCAACCCCAAAGTGAACACAAGATGTATGTAACATGTATGTTTGCTTAGTATACATGCATGTGGCTCCCTTTCATGAACATTCATAGCTTTTCCTATAACCCATTAATATGTATGCTAGCCAACCCATTTTACATAAAACTCCTGTCCCACCCTTCCTCCCTCAAATTGCCTGCTTTTGGTCTCAGCCAAAGGCTCCACTTACCAGCCTGCAGGTTACAACCTGACATAAGAAAAAATATTGTTTCCAAATATATAGATCTGGTGATTTTAAGTTGACACTTCTCAGGTTGTCACAAGATTCAGGTATGGCTCACTGTTGCAGGACATAAGCTGGGATCTCCTGGGAATTGGTCTGCTTGCAGGCCCTAGAGAGCCTTCCTTCTTGGTTGATTTTCCTCTAGAGATCCAACTGTCTTCTCAGGCTCCCCTGCCTGCCTCCTCCTTGGGTCCTTTCTTGTGGCATTGCCCAGATTACTGGGCCCCCATTTTCCCTACACTTACTGCCACTCATAGTCTGATGGTTCCCACATCTGCATCCAACCTGGACTCTTCCCCTGAGCTTTCCCCTCTACAACCACCTTCCCCGGGCCAAGGGCACACAGGCACCTCGACAAAACAGTGTTCTATGTTTCTTCCTGCCCAAACCTGCCCCTCCCTCTCCCTTTTCCCATCTGTGGTACCACCATGGGCTCAGAGAATAAAAAAAATGAAGGCTTCTGTCATTGACTGGGGTGGAGATGGAGGGAAGAGTTAGCCCAGAATCACAGGTGCTGTAGAAAGGATACCTGAGTTGCCGGGAGAGGGGGTCCATGAGTTGGGGATGGAAGGAGAGCTTGGCCCTTCAAACAATTGAAGATCTGATCAAAAGATTCAGAACATCTGTGATTTTGTGGCTGGTGATGGGTGACACCTGGGCTAATGGGGTTGGGGGAGTTGGTGGCTCTACAATTTATGGCCTTGGGAGATCCTTGCTCTCTATAGCTGACTGGGAGGTTGGAAGCCTGGGCTCTAGCCCTTGCCTTGATCCTCCGGATCTCATTTTCCTCATCTGCCTAACAGGACAGAGGGGTTGGAAACTGATGAGATTAGCTCAAAGGATCCTGGCAGCTCAGGCTGCAAGATTTTTTTCAGACCTCAGTGTTTGGGAAAAAATTGGGTAGGTGGAGCTTAGGGACTGGCCTTAGGCCTGCACTGTTAATTCACCCCCTCCCACTACCCCATGGAGGCCTGGCTGGTGCTCACATACAATAATTAACTGCTGAGTGGCCTTCGCCCAATCCCAGGCTCCACTCCTGGGCTCCATTCCCACTCCCTGCCTGTCTCCTAGGCCACTAAACCACAGCTGTCCCCTGGAATAAGGCAAGGGGGAGTGTAGAGCAGAGCAGAAGCCTGAGCCAGACGGAGAGCCACCTCCTCTCCCAGGTATGTGACACTCCCCATCCCCCTTCAGAGGCCACACACCCTATGGCATTCCCACCATGTGTTAAGGATTTTCTGAACTGGAAGGGCCCTCTGTTTGCCTGAAGGCCAGAGAATCTTGAAGTGGAGACTGAGGCCCAGACCAGAGTGTGGCCTGCTCAAGGTTAAACGACAAGTTAGTGTTCATCCCCCTGAACTAGTACCTGGGCTCTAGCCCTTCAGTCCAGAGCTGAGTTCTCAGCTCTTCTAGTCTGGGGCCCCAAGGTTGGGTGTGGGGGTCATGATTGTTGGTGGGGAGGGGTCACAGCTGGACTAAGACCTGAAGGTGAGACTAGGCAGGTGGGAAAGGAGCTTGCAGAGTGATGCTGCTCAAAAGGACAGGAAGAGAGCCTGGCTTCAGAAGCAGCCACAGCAAGAGAGACTACTGACTGAACAGGTGGGCTCCACTGGGGGCTGGGGAAAGGATTTTCTCAGCCCCCATCCCCAGCACTGTGTGTTGGCCGCACCCATGAGAGCCTCAGCACTCTGAAGGTGCAGGGGGCAAAGGCCAAAAGAGCTCTGGCCTGAACTTGGGTGGTCCCTACTGTGTGACTTGGGGCATGGCCCTCATCTGTGCTGAAATGATTCCACAAAGATTAAACTGGCTATCATTTGTTGATTTCCCCCTTCTTACATTTAATCCTTGCAGGAGAAAGCTAAGCCTCAAGATAGTTTGCTTCTCTTTCCCCCAAGGCCAAGGAGAAGGTGGAGTGAGGGCTGGGGTCGGGACAGGTTGAACGGGAACCCTGTGCTCTAAACAGTTAGGGTTTGTTCCCGCAGGAACTGAACCCAAAGGATCACCTGGTATTCCCTGAGAGTACAGATTTCTCCGGCGTGGCCCTCAAGGTTAGTGAGTGAGCAGGTCCACAGGGGCATGATTGGATCCTGGAATGAATGAATCAACCATGAGAGAGTGAATGAACACTGGAATCAATAGAGTAGCAGAGTAATGGATTGTGGAGCAGGAAAGAGAGCTGCTGGGTGGGAATTCAATTCCAGGCTTATATGAGCCCTGCTGTGCAGTCGGCCTGGAGACAGCCCAGCTCAGGCCCTGCCTAGACCCCTGTCAAGGAGGCCCTGTCAAGAGGAGAGGAGGGGCAGCACGGGGGCAAGGCAAGCTTGTGAGCGGGAAAGGCATGTCCACTTTAGCGACTGGTATGTGGAAGATGAGTTAGAGGAGACAGATGGAGAGAAGTCATAGGAAATAAATTCTGAGCATTTTAGGAGGGCCCAGACACCTGGTGTCCAGTGGAGTGAAGGAAACAGTCGCCTCCCAAAATTCAGTGTCTGAGGTCAAAGGATTGAAGTTCTGTGATGACCAAGGAGAAGCCAGCTCTGTGGTAGGGGGCACAGGAGCTCCCCAAGGCCCCAGGGCTGTCCAGCTGGCTGTCCCCTGCCAGCACCCATGTCCTGTGACCCCACCCCACCAAGATCCCATGGTTTCCGGGAAGGGCCTACTAAACTAGCTTGAGTGATGAGGCTAGAAAGGGGCTGGGACCAAGGTTTAAAAAGCAAAACAAACTAACAAAAACCACACTGCAGCCCCCCCAACTAAAACATTTTTATAAACTTTTTTTTTTTTTTTGAGATGGAGTCTCGCTCTGTCACCCAGGCTAGAGTGCAATGGCACAATCTTGGCTCACTGTAACCTCCACCTCCTGGATTCAAGTGATTCTCCTGCCTCAGCCTCCCACGTAGCTGGGACTACAGGCACACGACACCGCACCCAGCTCATTTTGTATTTTTAGTAGAGACAGGGTTTCACTATGTTGGCCAGGCTGGTCTCAAACTTCTGACCTCAGGTGATCCACCCACCTCAGCCTTCCAAAGTGCTGGGATTACAGGCATGAGCCACCGCGCCCAGCCCATTTTTGTAAACTTTTACAATGAAGTAATTTGGTGTCAAAATCTGACCTGAAAATTAATGTGAGTTTATGTATAGTTTTAATTTATCCCACTAGTGTAACTGTTTCACCCCAGAATATACACTTGATTATTGGGTATATGAAAATTATATTTTCTTTGAATCACCTTTGATGAAATCCTAAAAAATTTTAACCCTGAAACATTTGAATAAGGCATTGTGGACCTATGGCAAACTCCTGGCTATTTCTGCATTTTGCCCAAATCCATCCTTGAATTATATCACCTGAACCTCGTGACCACCTGGAGAAGGCAATGAGGCTCAAGCCAGGGAGGGGTGGTGTCTAATCCTACCTTTCATTGGATCTGGGAAAACTGAGGGAGATGGGGGCAGGGCTCTATCTGCCCCAGGCTTCCGTCCAGGCCCCACCCTCCTGGAGCCCTGCACACAACTTAAGGCCCCACCTCCGCATTCCTTGGTGCCACTGACCACAGCTCTTTCTTCAGGGACAGACATGGCTCAGCGGATGACAACACAGCTGCTGCTCCTTCTAGTGTGGGTGGCTGTAGTAGGGGAGGCTCAGACAAGGATTGCATGGGCCAGGACTGAGCTTCTCAATGTCTGCATGAACGCCAAGCACCACAAGGAAAAGCCAGGCCCCGAGGACAAGTTGCATGAGCAGGTGGGCCAGGGGGTGATCTGGGGTGGTGAGGGACTGGCTCAGGAAGAGGAAACGAGGACATGGAAATGCCAAACCCCATTCACTGGTGAACTGAAGTGGAGGAGCCCTTCAGTTTGCATTAATATGGGTGACTATTTCACAGACACTGTGCCAAATGTCGGTACAATGCCAACAGTTCACCTTCTTGGTTGTTGAGTTTCCGCATTACAGAAATAAGGAAGCAGGCCCAAAGGAGAGCCTGGGAAATGAAGTTGGAGTGACCCATCCTGGGGTTGCTTGATTTAGGGATTTAGACTGGGAATGACTCCTCCAAAGATCTGAGGGAAGAAACTGCACACTGTGCATAGTGGCCTCTTTTCTGCCAGCCCTAAACAGCTCAAGAAGGGAGAGTCTCTCACATTATGAGGCTGTGTGCAAAGCATTCTTTTTTTTTTTTCCTGAGACAAAGTCTCCATATGTTGCCCAGGCTGGTCTCAAATTCCTGGACTCAAGTGATCCTCCCACCTCAGCCTCCCAAAGTGTGGGATTACAGAAATGAGCCGTACGCCCTCCTGAAGCATCTTGGTTCATGCATCTCGCAAAACTTTGGGCTGTGTCTCTCGACCACATTGGACCTGAGGTCTCCCTATAACATTTATTTTGCTACCACCCCTTTAATATCCTGAACATGATGATATAACTAAAGAAAAAGCAGAGGAAAAGTAATTTGTAGGCCAGGTGTTACGGCTCACGCCTGTAATCCCAACACTGTGGGATGTCGAGATGGGCAGATCACTTGAGCTCAGGAGTTCGAGACCAGCCTGGGCAAGATGGCAAAACCCCATCTCTACTAAAAAATAAAAAAAATTAGTCAGGTGTGGTGGCACATGCCTGCAGTCCCAGCTACTCAGGAGGCTGAGGTGGGCAGGTCAGTTGAGCCCAGGAGGCAGAGATTGTAGATCGTGCCACTGCACTCCAGCCTGGGCAACAGAGTGAGACCTTGTCAAAAGAAAGAAAGAACGAAAAAAAGAAAGAAAGGAAGGAAGGAAGGGGAGGAAGGAAAGGGAGGGAGGAAAGGGAGGGAGGAAAGGGAGGGAGGCAAGGGAGAGAAACTTGTAATACGCATTTCTTTTTTTTTTTCTTGAGATAGAGTTTTGCTCTTGTTGCCCAGGGTGGAGTGCAGTGGCACAATCTCAGCTCACTGCAACCTCCACCTCCCAGGTTCAAGTGATTCTCCTGCCTCAGCCTCCTGAGTAGGCACACGCCACCACACCCAGCTAATTTTTTGTTTGTTTGTTTGTTTTGTTTGTTGGTATTTTTAGTAGAGATGGGGGTTTCACCATGTTGGCCAGGCTGGTCTCGAACTCCTCACCTCATAATCCGCCCCTCTTGGCCTCCCAAAGTGCTGAGATTACAGGTGTGAGCCACTGCGCCCGGCCTTAAGTGCACATTTTATTTATTTATTTATTTATTTATTTATTGAGATGGAGTCTTGCTCTGTTGCCCAGGCTGGAGTGCAGTGGCACAATCTCAGCTCACTGCAACCTCCACCTCCCAGGTTCAAGCAATTCTCCTGCCTTGGCCTCCAGAGTAGCTGGGACTATAGGCACCTGCCACCATGCCTAGCTAATTTTTGTATTTTTAGTAGAAATGGGGTTTTGCCATGTTGGCCAGGCTGGTCTCCATTCTTGACCTTAAGTGATCTGTCCACCTCCACCTCCCAAAGTGCTGGGATTACAGGCACTATGTGAGCCACTGTGCCGGCCCACATTTTAATATTTAGCTTGTCAGCCTTAAGTAATGAGATTCAGGAAGCTTGAGGATAGGCACACAGGAGCATAGTTTCAAGTTGTCCTGAATTTTGCAGCCATCACAAGTTAGTTTTTAAGGAAAAAGATTAGTTCCTAAGTTGTTTCTCAATAACTTATAATAAAATAACATCCACAATTGATTGGCTATACATTGTTTTTTTGTATCACAAATTCCACAAACAGATAATGGGTGAGGCAGCTAGTCAGGGACAAAACACTTCCCAAGTAGCTGGGATTACAGGTGTCCGCCACCACACTTGGCTAGTTTTTTGTTTGTTTATTTTTTGAGATGGAGTCTTGCTCTGTCGCCCAGGCTGGAGTGCAGTGGCATGATCTCGGCTCACTGCAAGCTCCACCTGCCGGGTTCACACCATTCTCCTGCCTCAGCCTCCCAAGTAGCTGGGACTACAGGTGCCAGCCACCACGCCCGGCTAATTTTTTGTATTTTTAGTAGAGACGGGGTTTCACCATGTTGGCCAGGATGGTCTTGATCTCTTAGCCTCGTGATCCACCCGCCTCGGCCTCCCAAAATGCTGGGATTACAGGCGTGAGCCACCGCACCCGGCCTAATTTTTATATTTTTAGTAGAGACGGGGTTTCACCATGTTGGCCAGGCTGGTCTCAAACTCTTGATCTCAGGTGATCCACCTGCCTTGGCCTCCCAAAGTGCTGGGATTACACAAGTAAGCCACTGCACCCAGCCTGGGGTTACAATTTAAATTGCTTTTTTACCTTCAAATCTTTGACACCTCAGTGAGGCTTAATCTGACCGCACTATTACACTACAAGTCCCCATCCGTCTCTGCTTAATTTTTGTCCAAAGCAAAAATCAGGTGATGTGTTCATTGTTGTAACCCCAGTTTCTACAAAAGTACCTGGGTGAGAGTAAGTAGGATCTCAATAAAGGTTGAATTAACAAATTTTGTAATGACTGCAACTCCAGCAGGAGCTCCCTTTTGGGCTCCCACTGTCTCTGACGGCCCTCTCCCCTAAAGAGGTCCCAATAGCAAGTATTTTCCTGGGTGACTTCCAGTGGGCTGGGGAATCAAGGACTAAGAGGGGAGACACTGCATGTGGAATATTCTGGCTGTGCTGGCTGTGCTGGCTGTGGACTGAGTCCTCTGTCTTCCCCCATCCAGTGTCGACCCTGGAGGAAGAATGCCTGCTGTTCTACCAACACCAGCCAGGAAGCCCATAAGGATGTTTCCTACCTATATAGATTCAACTGGAACCACTGTGGAGAGATGGCACCTGCCTGCAAACGGCATTTCATCCAGGACACCTGCCTCTACGAGTGCTCCCCCAACTTGGGGCCCTGGATCCAGCAGGTATGCATGGCTTCCTGCAGGTACAAGACCTAGCGGAGCAGCTGAGCTTTCCAGGCATCTCTGCAGGCTGCAACCCCAGCTCCAGTTCTATTCGGGGCTGAGTTGCTGGGATTCTTGAACCTGAGCCCTTCTTTTGTATCAAAATCACCCAGGTGGATCAGAGCTGGCGCAAAGAGCGGGTACTGAACGTGCCCCTGTGCAAAGAGGACTGTGAGCAATGGTGGGAAGATTGTCGCACCTCCTACACCTGCAAGAGCAACTGGCACAAGGGCTGGAACTGGACTTCAGGTGAGGGCTGGGGTGGGCAGGAATGGAGGGATTTGGAAGTGGAGGTGTGTGGGTGTGGAACAGGTATGTGACAATTTGGAGTTGTAGGGCTGGCAGACCTCAAGATAGTTCCGGGCCCAGTGGCTAAAGGTCTTCCCTCCTCTCTACAGGGTTTAACAAGTGCGCAGTGGGAGCTGCCTGCCAACCTTTCCATTTCTACTTCCCCACACCCACTGTTCTGTGCAATGAAATCTGGACTCACTCCTACAAGGTCAGCAACTACAGCCGAGGGAGTGGCCGCTGCATCCAGATGTGGTTCGACCCAGCCCAGGGCAACCCCAATGAGGAGGTGGCGAGGTTCTATGCTGCAGCCATGAGTGGGGCTGGGCCCTGGGCAGCCTGGCCTTTCCTGCTTAGCCTGGCCCTAATGCTGCTGTGGCTGCTCAGCTGACCTCCTTTTACCTTCTGATACCTGGAAATCCCTGCCCTGTTCAGCCCCACAGCTCCCAACTATTTGGTTCCTGCTCCATGGTCGGGCCTCTGACAGCCACTTTGAATAAACCAGACACCGCACATGTGTCTTGAGAATTATTTGGATATGAATGGGAACGTGACTGTTTTGTTTTCCAATTCCCATTGATTGAAACCAGTGAGACTGGGCCAATTCCTAGCTCTGACAGTTGCTATAAACTAGCCTGATACTTAACTATTTTTCTAACTTAGGAGACATTCGTAGCTCTCAATTTCATTTTTTACTATTGCTCCAATCTAGAGCCAAGCCCAGGAATTTTTCATTTGTTTGTTTTGAGACAGGGTCTCACCCAGGAATATTTTGTTTGTTTTGAGACAGGATCTCACTCTGTCACCAGGCTGGAGTGCAGTGGCATGACCTTGATTCACTGTAACATCTGCCTCCTGGGCTCAAGTGATCCTCCCACCTCAGCCTCTCAACTTGAGACTGCAACCATGTGCCACCACACCTGGCTAATTTTTTTTTTTTTTTTGAGATGGAGTTTCGCTCTTGTTGCCCAGGCTGGAGTGCAATGGCATGATCTTGGCCCACTGCAACCTCCTCCTCCCAAGTTCAAGTGATTCTCTTGCCTCAGCCTCCAGAGTAGCTGGGATTATAGGCATGCACCACCATGCCCGGCTGATTTTGTATTTTTAGTAGAGACAGGGTTTCTCCATGTTGGTCAGGCTGGTCTTGAACTCCCGACCTCAAGTGATCCGCCTGCCTTGGCCTCCCAAAGTGCTGGGATTACAGGCGTGAGCCACTGCGCCCAGCCCCACCTGGCTAATTGTTACATTTTTTTATAAAGAGGAGATCTTGGTATGTCGTCCAGGCTGATCTCAAACTCCTGGCCTGAAGCAAACCTTTCATCTCAGACTTCAAAAGTACTGGGATTACAACCGTGAGCCACCACACCCAGCGCAGTCTCAGCTCACTGCAACCTCTGCCTCCCACATTCAAGCAATTCTGCCTCAGCCTCCCGAGTACCTGGGACTATAGGTGTGGGCCACCATGCCTGGCTAATTTTTGTATTTTTATTAGAGATGGGGTTTCGCCATGTTGGCCAAGCTGGTCTGGAACTCCTAACCTCAGGTGAACCACCCACCTCAGCCTCCCAAAGTGCTGGGATTACAAGTGTGAGACACCATGCCCAGCCTAGCTCAGGATTTTATCATTTAAACTGAACATAAGCTTCCCAGGGTTGATTCCTGTGCTGTGCTCAGCTCTCCAAAAGAAGAGGTGGGAATGGCTGTACCCAGCATGTTTTGGATGGGTTGCTGGGAAGAGGGTAAGGGTGGCAGCAAGAGCCATATGGCACTAACAGCTAATACCCACAAAGCATTTTCTGCTAGGCACTATCCTAAACTGTTTATACCGATGACATGTAGATACTACTGTCTGCATTTTCCATATGTAGAAACAGACACATAAATTAAAGAACATTGCCTGGCCAGGCACAGTGGCTCACACCTATAATCCCAGCTCTTTGGGAGGCCAAGTCGGGCGGATCACCTGAGGTCAGGAGTTCGAGATTAGCCTAGCCAACATGGCAAAACCCTGTCTCTACTAAAAATACAAAACTTAGCCGGACGTGGTGGTGTGCACCTGTAATCCCAGCTACTCGGGAGGCTGAGGCAGGAGAATCTCTCGAACCCAGGAGGCAGAAGTTGCAGTGACCAGAGATCACACCATTGCACTCCTGCCTGGGCAACAGAGCGAAACTCCGCCTCAAAAAAAAAAAAAAAAAAAAAAGAAAGGACATGCTCTTTCCCATCATGGAGTGAATAAATATGTGTGTCTTGAAGGGATAATGGGTCCATGGCTGACCAGAGGAGCTGGGCCTAAGCTGCTCTGCCAGAGCTAGGATGGGAACCCAAACTTCGACTCCTAAGCAGGTTCCAAACCAATAACCTGAAGGGTTTTAAGGCAGCGTTCTCCATTAAATATAGTTTGTAACCTTTGTATTAAGCCAGGTTATATTACAGTAACATTCGTAATATTTCTGTGGCATCATACAACTCACCTTTTTGGGTTTTTTTTGTTTGTTTTCTTTCGTTTAGAGACAGAGTCTCTCTCTGTCACCCAGGCTGGAGTACTGGCATGATTATAGCTCACGGCAGCTTCAAATTCCTGGGCTCAAGTGATCTTCCTGCCTCAGCCTCCTGAGTAGTTGGGACTACAGCTGTGAGCCACAACATCCAGCTAATATATACACATATAAAATATGTATTATATATATACAATAGTAAAGACAGGGAGGTTCTCACTATCTTACCCAGGTTGGTCTTGAACTTGCACTGAAGTGATCCTCTCAAAATGCTGGGATTACAGATGTGAGCCACTGTGCCTGGCCACAAATCATGTTTATTTCTTGCTCAAGCTGCAATGTTTAATGTGGGTTATCAGAGGGATTCTGTTCATTTCTCTTTCCTGGACTACATTAGCAGCCAGGGGGTTCTGCTTCTCATTCCAGGCCCAGGCTGATGGAGGCTCCATCTTCTATGAAACAGGAAGAGGGAACTTAGCGAATTCCATAAGGCTCTTCAAATTTCCACCTGTCACTTATATCATTGGCCAAATCAAGTCATGAGCATGCCTAAATTCAAGAAGGCCAGGAAAACATGATCTTATCATGTACTTGGAAGGACAGGAGAATCACAAGGTTTGCAACAGACCTCGTTGTTTTCTGGTCAGTTTCTATTTCATGCACGGTCATAGTTACAAATTTAATTTTTTGGTTAGATCCTAGTAAGAAGGAGGATCAACTCTTTAAACCTATGCAAATAACTACATCAACCCAGGCCGGGCATGGTGGCTTATGCCTGTAACCCCAGCACTTTGGGAGGTCGAGGCAGGCGGATCACTTGAGGGCAAGAGTTCAAGACCAGCCTGGCCAACATGGTGAAACTCCGTCTCTACTAAAAATACAAAAAAATCAGCCAGACGTGATGGCACATGCCTGTAAACCCCAGCTTGTTGGGAAGGTGAGGCATGAGAATTGCTTGAACCCGGGAGGTGGATGTTGCAGTGAGCCGAGATCCTGCTATTGCACTCCAGCCTGGGCGATGGGCAATGGAGTGAGACTCCGTCTCAAAAAAAAAAAAAAAGAAAAAAAAAAGAAAAACTACACACACACAGAAAAAACCAGAAAAACTACATCAACCCGAAAAGTGGAGCAATCCACTGCTGACCGCCCTGGGTAGTCTTGTAAACAAGGTCAATTGTTGCATCATGTTCTCTACAGGATCAGTGACACCATTTACAAATATGATTAGTTTACAGATATATTTGGATTAGTGGAATTAAAGATAAGTACCATCTAAAACCAACTTTTTTTTCTTTTTTTGAGATGGAGTCTTACTCTGTCACCAAGGCTGGAGTGCGGTGGCACAATCTCGTGTCACTGAAACCTCTGCTTCCTGGGTTCAAGCAATTCTCATGCCTCAGCCTCCAAGAAGCTGGGATTATAGGCATGTGCCACCATGCCCAGCTAATTTTCATAATTTTTAGTAGATACGGGGTTTCACCATTTGGTCAGGCTGGTCTCAAACTCCTGGCCTCAAGCAATCCACCTGACTTGGCCTCCCAAGGTGCTGGGATGACAGGCATGAGCCACTATGCCCGACCTATTTCTTTTACTTATTTATTTTGTGTGTGTGTGTGTGTGTGTGTGTGTGTGTGTGTGTGTGTGTGTGTTGGTTTTTGTTTTGAGACGGAGTCTCTCTCTTGTCCAGGCTGGAATGCAGTGGTGTGATCTCAGCTCACTGCAATGTCTGCCTCCCGGCTTCTACTGCCTCAGCCTCCTGAGTAGCTGGGACTACAAGCATGCGCCACCACACCCAGCTAATTTTTGTATTTTTAGTAGAGACAGGGTTTCTCCATGTTGGCCAGGCTGGTCTGGAACTCCTGGGCTCAAGTGATTCACCCACTTCGGTCTCCCAAAGTGCTGGGGTTGCAGCCGTGAACCACCAAGCCTGGCCCACTTCTTTTTTGGACCAAAAGCATAGGTGATGAATGCAAAAATTGATAAATTGGACTTAAAATTCAAAACTCTTGCCCTTTAAAAGACAGCCTTAAGAAAATTAAAAGACAAGCAACAGACTGGAGGAAATATTTACAAAACACATCTGATAAAGCATCTGTATTCATAATATACAAAGAACACTTACAACTCAGTAATTATAAGGCAGTTGACCCAATCAAATAATGGGCAAAAGAAATGAACAAACTTCATTAAAGAAGATACATAGGTCGAGTGCGGTAGTTCATGTCTGTAATCCCAGCACGTTGGGAGGCTGAGGCGGCCGGATCACTTAAGGCCAGGAGTAAAGACCAGCCTGGCTAACATGGCAAAACCCTGTCTCTACTAAAAATACAAAAATTAGCCAGGTGCGGTGACACATGCCTGTAATCTCAGCAACTCGGGAGGCTGAGACAGGAGAATTGCTTGAAACTGGGAGGTGGAGATTGCAGTGAGCTGAGATCATGCCACTGCACTCCAGCCTGGGTGACAGAGCGAGACTGTGTCTCAGAAAAAAAAAAAAAGAAGATACACAAATTATGAGTAGTTACGTGAAAAGATACTCAACATTATTAATCATTAGAAAAGTGCAAATTAAAACCCCAGTAATATACCATTTTATACCTATTAGAATGGCAATAATAATAAGATAGACAATAACAAATGTTGGCAAGGATGTGAACCCTCACACAGTGCTGGTGGGGATGTAAAATGGTACAGCCCTTTGGAAAACAGTGTGGCAGTTTCTCAAAAAGTTAAATGTAAAACTACCATACAACTCAAAATTCCACTTCCAGGTATCTACTCAGGAGAAATGAAAATCAACATAACAAAACTTAATTATGAATATTCATAATATTAGGTATCATTATACATAATAGTCCCAAGCTGGCAATAACCTATATATACGTATACACGTATACACGTATACACGTATACGTATGTACACGTATACACGTATACGTATGTACACGTATACACGTATACGTATGTACACGTATACACGTATACGTATGTACACGTATACACGTATACGTATGTACACGTATACACGTATACGTATGTACACGTATACACGTATACACGTATACAGACGTATACACGTATACGTATGTACACGTATACACGTATACGTATGTACACGTATACACGTATACGTATGTACACGTATACACGTATACGTATGTACACGTATACACGTATACGTATGTACACGTATACACGTATACGTATGTACACGTATACACGTATACGTATGTACACGTATACACGTATACACGTATACATACGTATACACGTATACACGTATGTATACGTATACACGTATACGTATGTATACGTATACACGTATACACGTATACACGTATACGTATGTACACGTATACACGTATACGTATACACGTATACACGTATACACGTATACGTATGTACACGTGTACACGTATACACGTATACACGTATACGTATGTACACGTGTACACGTATACACGTATACACGTATACGTATGTACACGTATACATATGTATGTATACATACATACATACGTATAAGTATACATATGTATGTATACATACATACATACGTATAAGTATACATATGTATGTATGTATATATATTTTTTGAGACGGAATTTTGGTCTTGTTGCCCAGGCTGGAGCGTAATGGCGTGATCTTGGCTCACTGTAACCTCTGCTTCCTGGATTCAAGCGATTCTCCTGCCTCAGCCTCCCAAGTATCTGGGAGTACAGGCACACACCACCATGCCTGGCTAATTTTTGTATTTTTTAGTAGATACAGGGTTTCGCCATGTTGGTCAGACTGGTCTTGAACTCCTGACCTCAGGTGATACACCTGTCTCGGCCTCCCAAAGTGCTGGGATTACAGACGTGCGCCACCGCACCTGGCAATAACCTAAATTTTTAGCAGCTGGTGAGTGGATAGACAAAATGTGGTAAATCCATACAGTAGAAGACTGCAGCAATGAAACGTGATGACACATGCTATGTTGTGGATGAACCTCAAAAACATTATGCTAAGTGAAAGGAGCCAGACCTAAGAGGCTTCATGTGGCATGATTTCACTTACGTGAAATGTGCAGGAAAGGCAAATTTATAGAGGCGGTAAGTAGAGTAGTAGCTGCCTGGGGCTGGAAGTGAGAACAGGGATTAATTGTAAATGGGCATGACGGGGGATGAAAATTACTGAGGGGATGATTCTGAGTTTCTGCGAGGTGTGCACATGAGGGAAACTATTCTAACAAATTTGGCATGTGGCTTCATAAAAATCTATCATCTGAGACAAACTCCATTCCCAATCTAAAAGATTGGTTGGAGGCTGAGTGTGGTAGCTCATGCCTGTAACCTCAGCACTTTGGGAGGCCGAAGAGGGTGGATGGCTTGAGCTTAGGAGTTTGAGACCAGCCTGGGCAACATGGTGAAATCAAGTCTCTAGAAAAAAAATACAAAAATTAGCTGGGTGTGATGGCGCACGCCTTAGTTCCAGCTACTTGGGAGGCTGAGGTCGGAGGATCTCCTGAGCCCGGGGAGGTTGAGCCTGCAGTGAGCGGTGATTGTACCACTGCACTCCAGCCTGGGTTGACAGAGTGGGACCCTGTCTCCAAAAAAAAAAAAAAAAAAAAAAAGATAGGATTTGGCAGTCAAGGAGTGAGTCTATTCTTGGTGTAGATGTAGATAACACCATTAGAGATGTTTATGAGGTAGCCCATTGACCAAGGACTTTTTTTAAAAAAGAGTGTTTATTCCAGCTGGCACAGGTAAGTTTTGCTAAACTGAGTGTTAGAGACCAGAGCCAGGGGAAAGAAAAAGGCTATATCATATGCCTAACCCCCTAAAAAATTAGAGAAAAGGGAACATGAAGTACATTACCAAAAATACCAAGACTATAACCACAATCATATCTCTTTCATTAACTTTCCTCTTTCCTTTTCTAGTTACATGTTCTTGGGCTAGCATCTTCCCCCAGAGAAGTCTTCTGCCTGAGGGCTGAAATTTTGCTAGAAATCCCTAGTCTGAGGACTCTGGTAGGTTGACTCAACCAAGTGTTAGTTTACGGTGATGATATCAGATACATGGGTTTATTTCCTGTCAGCAAAGTATAGCAGGTATGTTTAGACAAACAAGAGTGGAGAATAGAAACCAGCTGTTGAGCTGGGTGTGGTGGCATGTTCCTGTAGTCTCAGGTACTTGGGAGGCTGAGGTGGGAGGATCTCTTGAGCCCAGGGAGGTTGAGGCTGCAGTGAGTGGTGATCATACCACTGCACTCCAGCCAAGGACGTCAGAGTGAGACCCTGTCTTAAAAAAAAAAAAAAAAAAAAAAGGAAACCAGTTGTTGAGAGTATCAAACAGCCTGGCCAATCTATTCATTTTTAATATCAGAATGAAAGAAGAATATTCACTGGGGTTTACTACATAACGGCACAAACCTACTGGCGACTGCTAGATTTCATGAGGACTCAGATGATGGCTACATAGAACCTATTATTATTAGAACCTGGGGAGGGAGCAAGGGACAGGGAGGTTTAGTCTTCTCAACCGATTTAACTTTTTTCTTAATTTTTAGACAGTCTTGCTCTGACACCCAGGCTGGAGTGCGGTGGCGTGATCTCAGCTCACTGTAATCTCTACCTCCCAGATTCAAGCGATTCTCATGCCTCAGCCTCCTGAGTAGCTGGGACCACAGGCATACGCCACCACATCTGGCTAATTTTTTTGTGTTTTTGGTGGAGATGGGATTTCATCATGTTGGCCAGGCTGGTCTCGAACTCCTGGCCTCAAGTGATTCACCCGCCTCGGGCTCTCAAAGTGTTAGGATTACAGGTGTGAGCCACCGTGCCCAGCCTAACTTATGTTTGATAATTCTATGTGTCTTCTCTAGTTGGCTGAGCTCTGCAGGTGATATAGATAATGAATGTATTTACAAATCTTGAGGGCCTTATAGTCTATTTTGTAACACGTGTACTACAATTGCTACCAATAGTACAAGGTTAAACTATGGAATAAAATCAACATGGGCATAAATGTGACAGTCATCACGTAAGGCCTTGCACATGAATATGAGTATACTTTTATCCTTCCAGGAAGGTCCACAATCATACTCACAATACTTTACCTTGCATAAAAATCATCTTAGCTGGGTGCGGTGGTTCACATCTGTACAGCCTGGACAACATAGTGAGACCTCGTCTCTACAAAAAATAAATAATTAGCTGGGCATGGTGGTGCACACCTGTAGTCCCATCTACTTGGGGAGGCTAAGGCAGGAGGATCGCTTGAGCCCAAGAGGTCAAGGCTGCAGTGAGCAGTGTTTGTGCCACTATACTCTAGCCTGGGTGACAGTGAGACCCTATCTCAAAAAAATATCTAGAAGGAATGAGCCCCTCTTTTTGGTCTGACATCTTTCTCTACTTTGTGGACATGATGGACAAGGCAGCTCATAATACTGATAAACTAATTTTAAAAATATGGAGCATGCCAATTATACCTAATTATTTTTAGCATCCCTCCTTGTATCCTTCTTTCCTTATGAGTGTTATGCTGTGTGGGAGTGAATTTTTGGTGTAATCCAGTAGCTGTCTGGGAAGTGTAAGATGATTTTGCTGTTAAAAAAGAAATGCCTTGATAGTTATATTATTCTGAATTAGGACCTGATCTTGGAGGACAACAGAAAAAAGTGTTCTCTGGGAAAGGCCTTCATCTTGGCTGTGTAAGAAAACTATATTTCACAACAACCTTGTCATTAGGAACTCTAACTTCTTTATAGGTGAAGAATCCTATTGTTTTATTTTATATCATGACCCAAGACTGTGACATGAGTCAGCACAACAGGAAAATTAAAAAAAAAAAAAAAAGAAAGAAAAATAACATGCTTTTTGAGAAGTGAAATTCACATTCAGTTTGGGTAAGAACCTAAACTCTGCTGTCAGGGAAAAACACACAGGAAATAAAAAATAACTTTTGTTTCTTCATGTTAAAAGTAGACTTATACTCAAATGTTATACTCAAAGATGATTTTTTATGAGCAGCCAATATTGTTTAAAGCTTTCTATTTCTTAAAATAGAAGTCATCTGAAGAAGCACTTTTAGAAGGGCAGAATAAGGACGTTTGAAAATGCATTCCTCCATAAAAGCAAGAAAAACACTGGCAAAAATGGTCAAAATCAACTTTTTTAGCTGAGTGCGGTGGCTCATGCCTGTAATCCCAGCACTTTGGGAGGCCAAGGCGGGAAGATCACCTGAGATCAGGAGTTTGAGACCACCTTGGCCAACATGGTGAAACCCCGTCTCTACTAGAAATACAAAAATTAGCCAGGCATGGTGGCAGATGCCTGTAATGCCATCTACTTGGGAGGCTGAGGCAGGAGAATTGCTTGAACCCGGGAGGCGCAGGTTGCGGTGAGCCGGGATCACGTCACTGCACTTCACCTGGGTGACAAAGTGAGACTCCATCTCCAAAAAAAAAAAAAAAAGAAAAAAACAACTTTTCTAGAACTCTTAAAACTAACCAAAAATTTCAAAAATCTAAGGAATATTTGTGAGTGATGTCACCAACATGGTGGACTAGGAAGCTCCTGACCCTCTACCCATGAACATACCAAATAAATATCCCTTTGCCTCTGACAGAAAGCCAGAGGGAATTCCTCTGAGAGCCAGCTGAGAGACTCCTACCCATCCAGCAATTAAGGAAACATCCACACCGAATAGATAGGAAAAGCTGAGGCACACTCAGGCACAGACCTCACCCCAAGCACTGCACCATAAAAGTGGGAAAGAAATCCCAACACCCAGCTTCTCCCTGTGGAGAGATGGCATTAAACCTCACATGTACTGCCCTAACTCTAAATGTCCCACAGTTTGGCTCTTAATTCACCAACCTGGGGAGTGGAGGGAATTAGACCTGAACAAGTCTCTCCAGACCACAGGAAAAAAGCAACTTTTTTTTTTTTTTTTGAGACGGAGTCTCGCTCTGTTTCCCAGGCTGGAGTGCAGTGGCACGATCTCAGCTCACTGCAACCTCCGCCTCCTGGGTTCAAGCGATTCTCCCGCTTCAGCCTCCTGAGTAGCTGGGATTACAGGCGTGGTGGATTACAGGCGCGCACCACCACGCCCAGCTAATTTTTGTATTTTTAGTAGAGACAGGGTTTCACCATGTTGGTCAGGCTGGTCTCGAACTCCTGACCTTGTGATCCGCCACGTTGGCCTTCCAAAGTGCTGGGATTACGGGTGTGAGCCACTGGGCCTGGCCAAAATGCAACGGTTTTATACTAGCACTTAAGTATTTCCAAGGGCTTAATTCCCCGCGATCAATGCAGAGAGGGGACTTTAAAATGCACCTCCTGTTTCTCCCTGGAAGGGACACACTTTTCCAGTAGCTACTTGATGGTGTGGCTTCTAACTAATTTGCACGGGGGAGTTAAAGGGTCAGACAAATATTAACCTGCAGCCAGCCTGAAAAGCAGACTGGCACTTCCCAACCGTTCTACCCTAGCTCACTCCAGCAATACCCCCACATACATGAATACCCCCTGGAAGGAGTTTGTCCACACATCAATTGCCCCAACTTTCATAGCTTCAACCCAAGGGACTGCATCCTAAACTTCCTAGCTCTGGGAGGAGCTAGACCACAGGAAAAAAGTGGCAGCTTTATATGGGCATGTAAGTACTTCCAGGGGCTTCATCCCCCAGGGGTGGTGCACAGAAAGGGCTTTAAAAAATGCAGGTCCCAGCAGGGCATAGTGGCGCATGCCTGTAATCCCAGCACTTTGAGAGGCCAAGGCAGGCGGATCTCTTGGGCTCAGGAGTTCAAGACCAGCCTGGGCAACATGGTGAAACTCTATCTCTACAAAAAATACAAAAATTAGCCCAGTGTGGTGGTGCATGCCTGTAGTTCCAACTACTCAGGAGGCTGAGGTGGGAGGATTGCTTGAGCCTGGGAAGCGAAGATTGCAGTGGGCCACCGTACTCCAGCTTGGGTGACACAGTGAGTCCCAAAAAAAAAGAAGAAAGAAAGAGAGGGAGAGAGAAAGAGAGAGAGGAAGGAAGGAAGGAAGGAAGGAAGGAAGGAAGGAAGGAAGGAAGGAAGGAAGGGAAGGAAGAAAGAGAAATGCATCGCCCATTAAAAAAAAAAAAAAAAATCCACGTGTGCTGGCTCAGGCCTGTAATCCCAGCACTATGGGAGGCTGAGGCGGGTGGATCACCTGAGGTCAGGAGTTTGAGACCAGGCTGGCCAACATGGTGAAACCTCGTCTCTACCAAAAATACAAAAATTAGTTGGCATAGTGGCAGGTGCCTATACTTCCAGCTACTTGGGAGGCTGAGGCAAGAGAATTGCTTAAACCTGGGAGGCAGAGGTTGCAGTGAGCCAGAATCGTGCCACTGCACTCCAGCCTAGGCAATAGAGGGAGACTCCGTCTCAAAAAAAAAAAAAAAAAAGCCAGGCACAGTGGCTCATACCTGTAATTCCACCACTTTGGGAGGCTGAGGCAGGAGATTCACTTGAGGCCTGGAGTTCAAGACCAGCCTGGGCAACATAGCAAGACCTCATCTCTCTCTATATATATAAAGCAGCTTCCTGTTTCTCTTTGGAAGGGGTTTTTGGCATGCATCGAGTGCCCCAACTTTTCAGTTACCTCCCAAAGGTCTCCATCCTAAACCTTTTAAGTCTGGGAGCAGAAGGGACTAGGCATATGTGAGTCTTTTTTTTTTTTTTGAGACAGAATCTTGCTCTGTCACCCAGGATGGAGTACAGTGGAGTACAGTGGTGCAATCTCAGCTCACTGCAACCTCTGCCTCCCAGGTTCAAGTGATTTTCCTGCCTTAGCCCCCACCCCAGTAGCTGGGATTACAGGCATTCACCACCATGTCCAGCTATTATTTTTGCATTTTTAGTAGAGACAGGGTTTCACCATGTTGGTCAGGCTGATCTCGAACTCCTGACTTCAAATGATCCATCTGCCTTGACCTCCCAAAGTGTTGGGATTACAGGCGTGAGCCACTGCACCCGGCCATATGTGAGTCTTTCTAGATCACAGAACAAAGACGTAGTTTTAAATCGGTGCACAAACAGTTCCAGGGCTATGGTCCTTTGGAACAATTGAGAAAAGGGGAGGGAACATCTAGTTCCCATTTTCTCTCCAGAAGGGGCTTATAGTACACTTCCAGTGGCTACTTGATGACCTAACAGCTAACAAACTTGCACCACGGAGATCATGGAGCAAACAAACAATAGCCCTATTACAGCTTTAGCAAGGGAACTTCATGAAACTTTCCTCTGGCTCACCCCATAAATAAATCCAGGTCTACTCATTCTTACAGGAAGGAGCTTGGCCATGCACTGAGTGCCACTACTTCTATGGCTCCAACCCTGGGATCTGTCTCCTTAATGACCTAGCTCTTGAAGTTGATGGAGCTTTGCATTCCTGGGTGGGCTGAGACCACAGAAAATGAAGAGGTGAACATATAATAGGCACGCTTCCAACAGCTATTTCCCCAGGATCAGAAGGCACAACCTGAATGTTAGTAAAGGCATTTGCCACAGATTTTCTCCTCAGCTTAGTGCAGAGAGAATGGGAGATAAACACCTGTATTCAGGTTTACCACAAAGATAGAAGTAGCTGAAACACACACCCAACACTCCAACATTTCCAGCTACACCTACAGAGTCTGGCTCCTGCTTTACTGGTCTCAGAATACTGAAATGATATGACATAAACTCCAGGGGGGCACCAAAAACAGAATAGAGGTCTGGACAAACACAAAGACTTGAGAGGTACCTTAAAATCTCTGGTCAGACAGATAGGTGAGAGCCTTCTCCTACACGAGGCCAGTCGGACAAGACTGAGAGCGATAGTGATATGCTCAGGCTTTGTGTCCCCAGCCAAATCTCATCTTGAAGTATAATCCTTGTAATTCCCACAAGTCAAGGGAGAGGCGAGGTGGAGGTAACTGAATCATGGGGGCAGTTTCCCCCATGCTGTTCTTGTGATAGTGAGTGAGTTCTCAGGAGATCTGATGGTTTTGCAAGGGGCTCCTCCCCCTTTGCTCGGCACTTCTCCTTCCAGCTGCCTTGTGAAGAATGTGCCTTGCTTCCCCTTAGCCTTCAGCCATGATTCTAAGTTTCCTGAGGCCTACCCAGCCATGCTGACCTTTGAGTCAATTAAACCTCTTTCCTTTGTAAGTCACCCAGTCTTGGGAAGTTCTTTATAGCAGTGTGAAAATGGACTAATACAGATAGTTATTTTATCTAATGTGCAGAAACCAACACAGAGAGTCAAGGAAAATGAAGAAATAGAGGAATATGTTCTAAATAGAAGAACAAGATGAATATCCAGAAACTGACCTGAGTGAAGTGGAGATATGTGATTTACCTGACAGAGAATTCAAAATAATGACCATGGAGATGCTTACTGAGGTCAGGGGAGCAATGTAAGAACAAACTGACAATTTCAATAAAGAGATAAGAAGTATTTAAAAAGTACCGAATAGAAATAATAGAGCTGAAGAATACTGTAACTGAAATTAAAAATTCAATAGAGGGGTTCAATAGTAAACTAGATCAAGTAGGAAAAAAAATAGTGAATTTGAAGACAGGTTACTGGAAATTACAAAATCTGAGGACTAAAAAGGAAAAAATAATAAAAAAAGAGTGAGGATAATTTAAGAGACTTATGGAACACCATGAAGCATAACGACATAGACATTATCAGTATATCAAAAGGAGAAAACAAAGAGAAAGGGCTAGAAAACATATTCAAAGAAATAATGGCAGAAAACTCCCCAAACCTGGGGAAAAAAATAGAAATCCAGATCCACGAAGCCCAAAGGACATCAAATAAGATTAATCCAAAGAGACCCACACCGAGACACATCATAATCAAACTGTCAAAAGTTAAAGACAAAGAGAGAGTTTTGAAAGCAGAAAGGGAAAAGTGAAACATTACATGCAAGGAAACCCATAAGATTATCAGTGGGTTTTCAGCAGAAACCTTGCAAACCAGAAAGAAGTAGAATAATATATTCAAAATCCTTATAGGAAAAATAAATTTTAACCAAGTACAATACCAAGGAACCCTGTCTTCCAAAAAGGGAGAATGATAAAGACTTCCTCAGACTAACAAAAGCTGAGAGAATGTATCACCACTAGATCTGCCTTATGAGAAATGCTAAAGGGACTTATTTAAGCCAAAAGAAGAGGATGTTAATTAGTAACATGAAAATATATGAAAGTGTGAAACTCACTGGTAAAAGTAAGTACGTTGTCAGGCCCGATGTGGTGGCTCACACCTGTAATCCCAGCACTTTAGGAGGCCGAGGCAGGTGGATCACCTGAGGTCAGGAGTTTGAGACCAGCCTGGCAAACATGGTGAAACCCTGCTTCTACTAAAAATACAAAAATTAGCTGGGCACATGCCTGTAATCCCAGCTATTTGGAGGGCTGAGGCAGGAAAATCACTTGAACCCTGGAGGCGGAGGTTGCAGTGAGCTGAGATCATGCCACTGCACTCCAGCCTGGGCAACACAGCAAGACTCTGTCTCACACACAAAAAAAAGTATGTTGTCAAATTCAAAATATTTAAATGCTATAATGGCAGTAGGTACATTAATTTTATATCTCTAGTAAAAAAGGTTGAAAGATCCCAGCTACTTGGGAGGCTGAGGCAGGAGAATTGCTTGAACCCAGGAGGTGGAGGTTGCAGTGAGCCGAGATCGCACCACTGCACACAAGCTTGGGCCACAAGAGGGAAACTCCGTCTCAAAAAAAAAAAAAAAAAGTTGAAAGAAAAACTAGTAAAAACAAGTAAAGCTACAGTACTTTGTTAAGAATACAAATTATTTTACTTTAGAGAGCTGAGGCAGGAGGATCACTTGAGCTCAGGAGTTTGAGACCAGCCTGGGCAACATAGTGAGACCTTGTCTCTACTACACAGGTGTAGTTTGTACCTGTATAGGTAATGTAATGATATTGACAAGGGAATTTAAGACAAAAATTGTTAAGAGACAAAGGAAGTCATTTAAAAATGATAAAAGGGTCAATCCATCAAGAAGACATAGCAAATATAAATATAAATGCAACTATCAACAGAGTCCCAAAACACATGAAGCAAAAAATAACAGAATTGAGGAGAGAAATACTTTATTCAACAATAACAGTTGGAGATTTCCATATCCCGCTACCAGTAGTATTTAGAAAAACTAGGTAGTAGAGAACTTGAACAACACTATCAACCAACTAGACCCATCAGATATCTACAGAACACTCCAGCCAAACAACAGCAGAATATATACTCTTCTCAAGTACACATGGAACACCATATTTTGGGCCATTAAAAAAGGTACCAATAAATTAAAAATAATTGAAATAGAAGAAAATATCTTCCCTGATCACAATGGAATGACATTAAAAAATAAGATAAGAACATTCAGGAAATTTACAAATATGTATAAATTAAATATACTCGTAAATCACAAGGGAAATTAGAAAATGCTTTAAGATGAATGAAATGAAAACACAAAATACCAAAACCTAAGGGAGGTAGCTAAAGCAGTGCTTGGAGAGAAATTTAGATTTGTAAATGTCAATATGAAAAAGAAGAATAACTTAAATCAATAAGCTAACCTACTACCTTAAAAAAAACAGAGAAAGGGCCAGGTGCAGTGGCTCATGCCTATAATCTCAGCACTTTGGGAGACCGAGGCGGGCAGATCACTTGTGCTCAGGAGTTCGAGACCGGCCTGGGCAGCATGGCGAAACACCGTCTCTACAAAAAATACAAAAATTAGCCAGGCGTGGTGGCGTGTGCCTGTAGTCCCAGCTACTCAAGAGCCTGAGGTAAGAGAATCACTTGAGCCTGGGAGGCAGAGGTTGCAGTGAGCCGAGATGGCACCACTGCACTCCAGCCTGGGTGACAGAGTGAGACCCTGTCTCAAAACAAAACAAAACAGAAAAAGATGAGCAAAATAAACTAGGAAAAAGAAGGAAATAGTAAAGATTAGAGCAAAAATAAATGGAATAGAGGATAGAAAAACACCAAAAATCAACAAAATCAAGTTAGTTCTTTAAAAAATCAACAAAACTGATGAGCTTTATCTAGATTGATCAAGAAAAAAGGAGAGAAGAATCAAATCAATAAAATCAGGAATGACAAAGGGAAGATCAGTACTGACCTCACAGAAATATAAAGGATTATAAGGGAATAGTATAAACAATTGTATGCAACATATTAGTTAACACCGATAAAACGAACAAATTCCTATAAAGTCACAAACTACCAAAGATAACACAAGAAGTAAAGAATACAAATAGACTTGTGACAAGTAAAGAGGTTGAGTTAGTAATTTTAAAATTTCCCACAAAGAAAATTTCAGGCCCAGATGGCCTCAGTGGTGGTTTCTACAAAATGTTATTTATTTATTTACTTATTTTACAGACAAGGTCTCGCTCTGTCACCCAGGCTGGAGTGCAGTGGCATGATCACAGCTTCCTGCAGCCTCAACCTCTTGGGCTCAAGCAATCCTCTCACCTCAGCCTCCCAAGTAACTGGGATTACAGGTGCATGCCACCATGCCTGGCTAATTTTTTTTATTCTTAGTAGAGACAAGATTTCACTATGTTTCCCAGGCTCGTATCGAACTCCTGAGCTCAAGTGATCCTCCCACCTCTGCCTCTCAAAGTGCTGGGAGGACAGCCATGAACTACCGCACCTGGCTCAAATGTTTAAAGAACAATTCATACCAATCCTTTACAAACTCTTTCAAAAAATAAAAGGAGGAAATATTTCTCAACTCATTCTGTAAGTTGTATTATATGAGCCAGTATTACCTTGTTATAAAATCGGACAAAGATATCACAAGAAAAGAAAACATAGATCAATATTCCTTACGAATTAAGACATAAATCTGCTTAACCAAATATTAGCAAACTGAATCCAGCAACAGGTCAAAAGTATATACTATTACTAAGCAGGATTTATTCCAGGAATGGAAGTTGGCTTAGCATCCAAAAATCAATTGATGTTCACCGTATTATTAGAATAAAGGACAAAAACCACATGATCATCTCAATTAGTGAAGAAAACCTTGTTTGACAAAATTCAATATCCTTTCATGATTAAACAAATGCTGAACAAACTAGAAATAGAAGGGAACTCAACCCAAAACCCAATGAAGAGCATCTCTGAAAAAACACATAACATCATATTCAATGGTGAAAGGCTTTCAACCTAAGATCAGGAATAAGAAAAGGATATGTACTCTCACCATGTCTATTTAAATTGTACTGAAGGTTGTAGTTAGTGCTATTATTCAAGAAAAAAGAAATAAAAGGTATCCAAATTGGAAAGCAAGACGTGAAACTATTTTTACTCATAGATGATATGATATTGTATACAGAAAATTCTAAGGAATCCATAAAAACAATATCATTACCACTAAATGAGTTCAACAAGTTTCAGGATACCAGATCAAAATACAAAAATCAATTGCATTTCTATACACTAGCAGTGAACAAATATGAAAATGAATTTAAGAATATGATTCCTAATCCCAGCACTTTGGGAGGCCAAGGCAGGCAGATCACGAGGTCAGGAGATCGAGACCATCCTGGCTAACACGGTGAAACGCCGTCTCTACTAAAAATACAAAAAATTAGCTGGGTGTGGTGGCGCGCGCCTGTAGTCCCAGCTACTCGGGAGGCTGAGGCAGGAGAATGGCGTGAACCTGGGAGGTGGAGGTTGCAATGAGCCAAGATCATGCCACTGCACTCCAGCCTGGGGGACAGAGCATGAGACTCTGTCTCAAAAAAAAAAAAAAGAATATGATTCCATTCATAATAGCATCAAAAAGAATAAAATATGTAGGAATAAGTTTAACAAAAGTAAAAGTTACAAGTAAAAGACTTGTAACTATAAAACATTGTTGAAAGACATTAAAAACCTAAATACATAGAAACAAATCTCGTGTTCATCAGTCAGAATACTTAATATTGTTAACATTGCAATACTCTCCCAAACTGATCTACAGATTCAACTCAAGAGCTGTCAAAATCCCAGCTGTCTTTTTTGTAGAAATTGACAACCTGATTCTAAAATTCATATGGACATGAAAGAGATCCAGAATAGCCAAAGCAATCTTGAAAAAGAAAAAAATTGGAGAAATAACACTTTTCACTTTCACAACTTACTACAAATCTACAATAATCAAGACAGCATGGTAGTGGCACAAGGAGAGACATATACATCAGTGGAATCAAACTGGGAGTCCAGGTTTTTGACAAGGGTATTAAAACATGGGGAAAAGAATAGTCTTCAACAAATGGTGCTGGGACACAACTGGATATTCATATGCGAAAAAAAGTTGGACCTTTATCTTACAGCTTTACACAGGTGTAATACACTTGTATAAATACATCTTTATACAATATTAAAAACAACTCAAAATAGATCCATGACCTAAATAAACATAAAAGCAAAAATGATGAAAGTCTTTGAAGAAAACCTAGGCAAAGAGTTTCATGACATTGAATTAGGCAATGAGTTATTGAATATGAGACCAATAGCACAGGAAACAAAAGTAAAAATAGGTAACTGGACTACATCAAAATTAAAAACTTCTGTCCATCAAAGGACAATCAACAGGCAACATACAGAATGGGAGAAAATATTTGCAAATCATATACCTGATAAAGGGTGAATTCAGAATACATAAAAGAATACTACAACTCAACAAAAAGAAAACTCAATTTTAAAAATAGGCAAATGACTTGAATAGACATTTCTCCAAAGAAGATATACAAATGGCTAATAAGCATGGAAAAAGATGCTCATTATCACTAATTATTAGAGAAATGTACATCAAAGTCACAATGAGATATCGCCTCACACTCAACATGATGGCTACTATAAACCCAAAACTCCCAAAACAGGAAATAAGTGTTGATGAGGATGTGGAGAAATTGGAACCTTTGTGCACTGCTGATGGAAATGTAAAATGGTGTGGCCACTACAGAAAACAGTGTGGCAGTTCTTCAAAAATTAAATATAGACTTACCATATAATCCTGCAATTTCACTTCTGGATATATACCAAAAAGAATTGAAAGAAAGGTCTTAAAGACATATTTATATGCCCATTTTCATAGCAGTATTCTTCATGATAGCCAAAAGTGGAAGCAACCCAAAGGTCCATTGATAGATGAATAAATAAAGAAAATGTGGTACATACATACAATGAAATATTACCCAGCCTTAAAAAGGAATGAAATTCGGATACACCTTACAACATGGACAAATCTTGGGGACATTACGAAAAGCCAGTCACGAAAAGACAAATATTGCATGATTCCACTTGGACAAGGAACTTACAGTACAGTAGCCCAAATCACAGAGACGGAAAATAGAATGGTGGTTGGCGGGGGCTAGGGAAAGTGAAAGTGGGGAATCGTTTAATGGATATGGAGTCTCAGTTTTGCAGGATGAAAAGTTTCCAAGATTGATTGCAAACAGTATGACTATATTTGACACTGCTGAACTGTACCGTTAGAAATGGTTAAGATGGCACATTGTATGTCACGTGTGTTTTTACCACAATTTTTAAAAGGCCATCAAAAATTGCTTAATTATGTTTTCAGAAATGCCAGATGGTAATATATTGCTGTTTAACATATTTGAGACAATTTTAATTTTTCTGTGACCCTTGACTTCTATACCTCAACTTTTTTTTTTTTTTTTTTTTTTTTTTGAGATGAAGTCTCGCTCTGTCGCCCAGGCTGGAGTGTAGTGGTGCGATCTCAGCTCACTGCAACCTCTGCCTCTCGGGTTCAAACAATTCTTGTGCCTCAGCCTCCCAAGTAGCTGGGATTACAGTGCACGCACGGCACCACACCCCACTAATTTTTGTATTTTTAGTAGAGACAGGGTTTTACCATGTTGTCCAGGGTAGTCTCGAACTTCTGACCTCAGTGATCTGTCTGCCTCAGCCTCCCAAAGTGCTGGGATTACTGACGTGAGCCACCATGCCCAGCCTATACCTCAACTTCTACCTATGTCCACCTGGCTGCCCATAAATTAACCCAATAGCTGTCACTTAAGCCTACTCAGTATGTGCCAGGCTTTTCCCTATACAATTGTGAACAATTTTCTAGTGAGCAAACTGAAGCTCAGTAAGGTCCAGTGACTTTTCCCAAGGTTGTGCAAGAGATGGAGCTCTCATTGGGTCCCATTGGCCTGACCCTAAAGCCTGGGTTCTTTTCCACCAGACCTAATCTCCATCGAGCTGGCCTTATCCTAAGAACCACTTGGGGTATCTATAAAATCCAGATGCCCCCTGGTGATGAGCAATTCTCTAGATTTTGATGAAAGTTGAATGTGTGGATGCTGGAATGAGTAAATTAACAAGTAAGGAGATGAATGCAAGCAGGAATGACTAAATGGACAGACTCAGGGAGCCTTGAAGAGGGTGGGGTCTGGAAGGGAAGGAAGAGAGGAAGGAGAATAGCTAAGTAGGGAGATTTCACTCAGTGCTTACCAGAGCGCGTTGTCTACCCTGTACCGAAGACAGAGGCTGTGGGGACAGCCTAGGGGCCTGGATCTATTGCCTACTTAGAGAGAGGCCAACTCAGACACAGCCGTGTATGCTCCCAGCAGCAACGGAGGTTCAGGCAAGATGCCCGAAGGAGGGAAGGGTGACAAGGGCAGTGGGGAGACTTGGAGAGTTTGTGCAGAGGGGAGGAACACACCTTTCTTTCTGTATTGTATTGTATTGTATTGTATTTTTTGAGACAGAGTCTCGCTCTGTCACCCAGGCTGGAGTGCAGTGGCACGATCTTGGCTCACTGCAACCTCTGCCTCCTGGGTTCAAGTGATTCTCCTGCCTCAGCCTCCTGAGTAGCTGGGATTACAGGTGCCCACCACCTCGCCTGGCTAATTTTTGTATTTTTAGTAGAGACGGGGTTTCATCATGTTGGTCAGGCTGGTCTCGAACTCTTGACCTCAGGATCCACCCACCTCGGCCTCCCAAAGTGCTGGGATTACAGGCGTGAGCCACTGTGCCCGGCCACATCTTTCTTTAGAAAGATCATGCTGGCTCCTGTGGGGAAGGCAACTTGAAGGGGAAGAAATTGGAAGAGGGAAGACTTGACACTAAACATAGAGCCATGGTCAGTAAGTTTTTGGAGGGACCTTTACCAGAGAGGGAGAGGAAGCAGTATCCATTATCCACTCTTTAGTGACAGAGCCCAAAGGAACAGCTCTGTAATGGCTGGGGGTGGGGGCAAGGGCAGCAATGAACAGAGGAGGCGAGGGCTGCTCCTGTTGTTGAGTGCCTTCCAGGACACTAAGTGCTGGTCTGGCTGCTCCAACATGGGAAACTTTCATGTTGTCTCTCAGATCTAAGGGTCTCTCTGCATTTTTAAAAAAATTATTTTGAATTTTTTAAACTTCTATCGTTTTTCAGGTGGTTTTGGTTGCATAGATAAGTTCTTTAGTGGTGATTTCTGAATTTTAGTGCACCAGTCACCGGAGCAGTGTACACTGTACTCAGTATATAGTCTTTTATTCCTCACCCCCTCCTCACCTTGCCCCACCCCCAGTCTATATCATTCTCATCTGCATTTGTTTTTTGAGAGGTAGGGTGAGGTCTGCTGCATTAGCCCAGAGACAGCTGAGGAGGCTGGAAAGGAAAATGGCTTTCAGAGAATAGGGAAGGAAAAAGTCTGAGGAAGCAAAACTACTTAAAAAACACTGCTCTTTCCATTTCCGTATCATTTAACCAAACACCATCCTGTGGGTTCTGTCACTTGATCCTCATGCTGATCTGAGAACTCGGCAGAGCTGGGTCACTGCCTTCCCCAAGGCTAACCTGGTTTCTAAGCTGGCACAAGACCCCAGGTGATCTATCATCTAACCACAGAGCCCTTGCTGGACAGAGGGTGAAGACATTATGTGTCCCTGGCTCTGTTCAGGGAAGCAGAGGATAGACCTGAAGAATTTAATTACTTGTCATAGATAAAGCCTAGAGAAAAGGTGAGGGCGCAAAGTATCTCCTCCAAATTGGGAAGACTCCCCCAGGGCTCACTCACTAACGCCAGTTCTCCTGAGCCTTTAAAGCCTGGGGGTGAGGGAGCCCTCCTGGTCAACCCTCTCTACCCTAGCCTCAGGGAGCTTCAGGGCCCCAGCATTGAAGGAACAGGGTCTGACCTCATTTGCCACCGTAGGGTTGGGGAGACTGAGGCAGGAGGTGAATGGGCTCCCAGCTTGGAGCCCTTTCCCCTCAGGACTTGGTTTCCCTACCCTAGCTCCGCCTGCAGGGACAGAAAGACATGGTCTGGAAATGGATGCCACTTCTGCTGCTTCTGGTCTGTGTAGCCACCATGTGCAGTGCCCAGGACAGGACTGATCTCCTCAATGTCTGTATGGATGCCAAGCACCACAAGACAAAGCCAGGTCCTGAGGACAAGCTGCATGACCAAGTACGGCTGGAGTGTGCCTCTGCTAAGGAGGGGGCTTGTTCTAACAGGGAGGAGAAAGTCAGGATGGTGGGAGAGGGATTGAGGGGTCAGATACCTCCACATCCTGAAGTTTTCCTGTGGGAGAAGATGAAGGTGGAGTAGGAAGAGTGGCTGAGGTGATTTTAGGGGGGCCCTCCCCGGAGGTGGATACCATGTTGACAATGATATTGAGTCGTCATTCGATGGGCACCTGTCAGTTGTCATGTGTTTTTTGTACAAAATTTCATATTCCCAGGGGTTCTTGGATGTAGGTAGATGATATTCTCCACATTACACAAGTAAGTGAAAATGAGGCTCACAGAAGCACATGGGCCCACACAGGAGCTGGACATGAATGGCCCCTGTGGAGGGGTAGGAATAGGAGTGGGTTAGGCTCCTCCTTTGGTGGGTGACAGACTAGGGAGTCGCTGGCTTTTCCCACCCTCACTAAGTGCCATTTCCATGGAGTGCCAAGGGAGAAGAGGAGGAGGCCCTTCTGGCTGTAATTTGAGGCACAGGGGCTGGACATTCACACAGTCTATATACATGTATGCCAGGGGATTGCAGCCTTATTAGACTCAATGTCTCCCTTTTATGACAGATTTTTTTTTAGATTCTCTTTTCTATCCTGCAATGAAATTCAAAGAACCTATTTGTATGCATAATTTTTGCAAATATCAACATAATGCTCTGTAATATAAAGGAGAAACACACAGAAAGTAACTTGTAATAAAATAATATATATTTCAATATGTCAGTTCTCTGGTATGACTACATTAGAAGGCATTAGGAAATAGCACATGCTTGCTTTTGTCATAAAATCATTATAAGTGGGGAGCTACAAATGAAGATTGATACAGGTATATTCTATTGGTGACTTAAACACTATAAGATACTATAATATAAGCAATGTTGCTGTTGATGTCATACTTTTCTAAAATAGTGAATAATTCTAGTAGAATAAACCACATAGTACAGCCTTCTATTTCATGGTATTTGCAGTCCTGGAAAACCCAGTCTAGATTAAAATCTTGTGAAAACATGATGTGCCTATATGTAAGATAGAGATACATTTAAAAAGTAGGGCTTTTGCTTACTTTTTTTTTTTTTTTTGAGAAGGAGTCTCACTCTGTTGCCCAGGCTGGAGTGCAATGGTGTGATCTCAGCTCACGGCAACCTCCGCCTCCGGGGTTCTGGTGATTCTCCTGCCTCAGCCTCCCAAGTAGCTGGGGCACCCGCCACCATGCCTGGCTAATTTTTTTGTATTTTTACCAGAGACGAGGTTTCACCATGTTGGCCAGGGTGGTCTCAAACTCCTGACCTCAGGTGGTAGACCTGCCTCGGCCTCCCAAAGTGCTGGGGTTACAGCTACGAGCCACCACGCCCAGCCTGGCTTTTGCTTACTTTTTCCAGCAAATATTTTCATGGGCCTACTATGTGTCTGGCACTGGCCTAGCCACTGGGGACACAGATCTTACTACATGCCAAGAAGAATAAATATATTCAAACTCCATTACTCCATGGCTCGCTCCCTCTCTTCCTTTGCTCAAAATGTCACCAATGTGGCATTTCCTAACCTATTTAAAATTTCAGCAATTCCACATTACCATTTCCTGCTCATATCATTTAACTTTTCCCATATCATTTATCATATCCTGACATACCATATATATATATTTTTTAAGTTTCTTACTGTCTGTCTCCTCTGACCAGAATGAAAATTCCATGAATACATATTTCTGTCTGTTTTGTTCTCTTCTGTATTCCCAGCATCTATAACCGTGACTGGCATAAAGTAGGTGCTCAATAATTTTTAAATGAGTAAGTGAAAGGACTTTTTATGAAGTGTTACATACCTCATAAATGATAACTATTATTCCCAAGACAGGGTTTCCCCTGGGCTCCCACAGTCCCCTGATCACACGGTTGTAATTGTGTTTCCTCCAAGAAAGGGGTTCCTGGAGGCCTAGGAGAGAGGGACCATCATCTGGGAACCTGAGTGTTCTCAGGACAACCTGCCTAGGGCAGAGGAGTAAGAACCAAATGGGGGAGAGACACGAGGTGGCAGGAGGAGGAGGGTATGGGGAGGCACTTAGTCCTGTGTCTTCCCCACCCAGTGCAGTCCCTGGAAGAAGAATGCCTGCTGCACAGCCAGCACCAGCCAGGAGCTGCACAAGGACACCTCCCGCCTGTACAACTTTAACTGGGACCACTGCGGCAAGATGGAGCCCGCCTGCAAGCGCCACTTCATCCAGGACACCTGTCTCTATGAGTGCTCACCCAACCTGGGGCCCTGGATCCAGCAGGTAGGGTGTCTCCCCCCCACCCACCCCAGCAGACTGCCATCCCCCTCAGTCACTTCAAGGCGATGGCTGCCAGCATCCCTGGCTGAGAGGAGCCCTGCCTCCCCACCTCCCACCCAGGTGAATCAGAGCTGGCGCAAAGAACGCTTCCTGGATGTGCCCTTATGCAAAGAGGACTGTCAGCGCTGGTGGGAGGATTGTCACACCTCCCACACGTGCAAGAGCAACTGGCACAGAGGATGGGACTGGACCTCAGGTGAGGGTGATTGAGTTGGGGTTAGGAAAAAGGAGATTGAGGTAGGGTTTGGAAAATCTTCAAGGATTTGGGGTGGGGTGAAGATTTCTGGGGGTGGCCAGAAATGAGCTTTGGGCCCAGGGGCTGAAAGTCTGTGTCCACCATGCCTCTCCCTGCAGGAGTTAACAAGTGCCCAGCTGGGGCTCTCTGCCGCACCTTTGAGTCCTACTTCCCCACTCCAGCTGCCCTTTGTGAAGGCCTCTGGAGTCACTCATACAAGGTCAGCAACTACAGCCGAGGGAGCGGCCGCTGCATCCAGATGTGGTTTGATTCAGCCCAGGGCAACCCCAACGAGGAAGTGGCGAGGTTCTATGCTGCAGCCATGCATGTGAATGCTGGTGAGATGCTTCATGGGACTGGGGGTCTCCTGCTCAGTCTGGCCCTGATGCTGCAACTCTGGCTCCTTGGCTGAGTTCAGTCCTCCCAGACTACCTGCCCTCAGCTTGGATAACCAGGCTGGGCTCAGCTCAGCTCCCACAAATGACAGCCCCTTAAGCATGCTTCTATTAGTCACCTAACCCTCTGTCACCCAGTCTGTTGCTGCTCCATGGTGGGGCCAAGAGTCACTTCTAATAAACAGACTGTTTTCTAATAATTCCATGTCTGTGGAATTGTTTTGGTTGTGAGTTTGTGGGTGGGTGGGAGACAGATTCTACGGCTTCTGGATTCCTTCAAATTAGAGCAACTAGACCTGTGTTTGAATCCCAGCTCTGCTACTTTGTGAAAATGAAACAGTTGCTTCACTGCTCTAAACCTTTGTTTCCTTCTGGATAAAAAGAGGATAATAGTCCTGCCCTCAGGCTTGTGAAATATACAGGAGCTGTTGCCTAGAAAGCCCGTGAGCCCAGTGTCTGCACATTAATAGTCTTCAGGGATCCTGTTGTTCCTGTTGCCCCAAGTGGGAGCCAGGTCCTGAGCTTATTTGTCTTGGTCTCCAAACAGCCTCCTGGTCCTCCAGCCCTTGTGCCTGGCTCTGTGCTCGGCTCTGTAACAGGAAAGCTGGGAATGGGAGTCCAGGAAAGGATTCAGATTGCCAGTGGGATGAAAAAAATTCACAGTGGGATGAAAAAAACGTGATGCACATTGAAGGAGCAGAGTTGGGGCCTGGGACTCTCAGAGGAAAAACAGAGCCAATTGGAGAGGGCAGTGTAGGGGGTTTCTGGAGTGGAATACTCAAGAGCCTGGAACTGGTTCAGCGCTTTGGTGTCCTGGAGGTGTGGCTGGAAGAGTTAGAAACCCTTAAGGGCTTCCCGGGGTCAGGAGCCTCTGGCACCTTTGTCTCCTCCTGGGATTGGCAGATATGCCTATCTTGAGGGGGTTGCTCTGTCTTTGCAAAGCCCTCGGGAGCTGGGCCTAAGTTATCTCTGGGTCTCCCAACACCCCTTTCCCTTTGGATAAGTCTTTGTTTGCACACTCCTACTACAACTGTCCCCAGAGAGGCCCAGGTAAGTCTCTGAGAACACCCTGCAGGTAGGTGGCCCAGCTAGGACTAGAACCCAGGTGTGCAGACTCCCAGTCCAGGTCTCTCCCCCACTACCAAGGATTCCCCTCACATCAGGCTCATCTTTTCTTATACTAAAAGGTGGCTGATGAGAACGGTGGCACAGATTGTAGGATGAGTTATTGGGTTCTGGAGGCACTGTTGGGTGGGTGGGTGGATCTCTTAGTTATTATATTTATCTAGTGTGGAAGGCCCCACAGAGCCCCTTCCACGTCCCAGGCTCTGCTCCAGCTGGGTTAAGTCAATGCATATTTGAAATAGAGGAAGGAGCTCGAGGGACTGACCCGGGCTCCGTCAACAGGTTCAACGTAGCAAAGTGAAAGTTCTCTCCCAGGTTAAAGGGATTCTCCCACGGCGGCCCAGGAGATGGTGGCGGCGGGCGCCCGGCTGGAGGCCTGCGCCTTTAAGGAGCCAGGGGGCGGAGGGGCGGGGCAGGAAGACGACTCCCCGGAGACGCCGCCACCGGCTAGGTCTTTTTTTGGGAGGGGGCGGGCCAGACCCTTTTATGGGCTCCGCCCCCTTTGCGGCTGCCGCGTCCCCCTTCCGCCCTCGGCTGGAGGGGAGGAAGCTAGGGGGGCGTTGCAGCGGACCCCGTCTGGGAGCTCCCCGCTGGGCGTCCGGCCCGCGGAGGCGCGAGTTTGCTGACTCGGAGGGAGCCGCTGGGGCGGGGGCGAGTGCTAATAATACCCGTTCGTTCCGCAGCCGCGCTTTACAGTTTACACAGCTGTCACCTTCGTTTCTCCTTAATTAATAATAAAAATAGCCGCCGTTCGGGAGCGCGGGCTGGGCGCCAGGCCCGGTGCCGAGCGCGGTACGAGCTCGGCCCCCAGAGCCGGCCCTCGCCACAGGATCCCCATTTTCCAGAGCGGGAAGCCGACGCTCAACCCCGCGCCGCGACTTGCCCGAGGTCACCCAGTGGGCCAGCGGCTCCGGGACCGAGGCGCGGGGCGGGGTGAGGCGAGGCGCGGTGCTGCCCCCGGCTCCCCGGGGCGGCGCGGGGCGGGGCGGGCGGCGCGGAGGGCGGGGGCGCGCGCGGATGGCCATCTTAAGTGGCCGCCTGGAGCCCAGGGCCGCTGTCCGGGGAAGGGGGCGCCGGAGCAGCCCGGGAGGTGGGGGTCTGCGTGCGGCGGCCGGGATCCCGGGAGGGAACTTTCTACTAGACGGGCCAGGGATCCTCCTGGCTTCGGACTGCTGAACCCCCTCAAGGCCCGGCCTGCGGGTGTGGGGGGTGGTGCTGGGGAACTTGGCCGAGAGGGGGAAGGGCTCTGCGGGGCTGGGAGGGGCTGCGTGAGAGGCTCGAGAACGTCGCACCTCGTCTGGGCCCCCCGCCAGAGTAAGAATCTTCAGAAGCCTGGTTAGCCAGGGAATCTCCCCGCAGGCTTTGCCGGGGGACGGTTCCCGTGGAGTTGGGGGTTCAGATCTAAGAGGGGGCTGCATTTCGCAGGAGTTGGGGGCCCCGCCCGCTTGGGTGGAGGGAAGAGGATGGGTAGGGGGTGGTCCTGGATCCTTCGCAGGTTTGGGGAACTCGATGCAGCCAAGCTGTAAGGGGGACGAGAGGAAGAGCCATGGAGTGGAATCAGACCTTTATGGGGCTTAGGGGTCATATCATTGGGAGAACTGAGAAGCGCTGAATTCTCCAGGGGGTGCCTGGATCCCGAAGTGTCGGGGCCAGGATGGGGGGACTCGGATTTCGATGGGGATTTGGGGACTGGATCTCCTCGGGTGAATGATGGGGGCAGGATCATTGTGGGGTCTGGGAGGTCCCGGGCCCTTCGGGAAGGTGGGGGCACCGTCCCCGCAGGAGGAGCTGGGGGCAGGGGCGGCCCGGGCTGCGGGCCGAGCGGAGGGGGAGGGGGCGGCAGCCGGCCCTGCGCTCCGCTCCTGCCCCTCCCCCGCCGCCTCTGAACAAACTTTTCTTTCTCTTCAAGTTGAGGCCGGCGCTGCAGGCAGCGGCGGCTGCGCGGTGAACGAGGCGGCCTGCGCGGCGGAGTGCTGAGTCCCGATCCCCGGCTCTGTCCGGCCCACGGATCCTCAAGCCCGGGCCCCGGGCCCGGCCCCAGCCTCAGCCCTGAGCGTCTCGGGGCGGATGGCGCGGGGCGGCGGGGGCGGGCGGTGCTGAGCCCTGCGCGGGCCATGGCCTCGGCCTGCGGGGCGCCGGGCCCGGGGGGCGCCCTGGGCAGCCAGGCCCCCTCCTGGTACCACCGCGACCTGAGCCGGGCGGCCGCGGAGGAGCTGCTGGCCCGGGCGGGCCGCGATGGCAGCTTCCTGGTCCGAGACAGCGAGAGCGTGGCGGGGGCCTTCGCGCTCTGCGTCCTGTGAGTGGGGCGGGGGCTCCTTGCGGGCTGGCGTGGACCGGGAGCGCGGGCACGGCCGGGTGTGGAAAGGGCCCGGGTGAGGGTTTCTGGGGCGGTGGGACGCCAGACCCGCCTCCACCCCCCAGAGTGGGAGCCTTGGCTTTCTCCTGGGTCTGAGGAGGGACGCAGGGGCACTTCCTGCTGTGTGTCTGGGGGCACTTTCAGGAGCCTTGAGGGTAGAGAATATGGGGTTCTGTGGCCCAGTGTGACTGTGATGACGAAAAATTCGGGCATTCCCCGGCAGACCCCTTCAGGCATCCTCCAGGTAGAAGGGAGCAGGGGAGAGGATGTGCATTCCACGTTGTGTGCAGTCCCGTTTGGATAGGGACTGAGTGGTGAGCAGGAGAGGGAGTCGGGGCAGAGGGACTGACGGGGTGTGTGGGGATGCCTGGCAGCTTCCTTAGGGCCCCTTTCGGTGCTTTGGGGTTCTGCCTGGCCGTGTATGGGTGGTGGGGGCGGTGATGGGTGGTGTAGAGAGGAAGGCTTGGGGAAGCAGAGGCTGAGGCTGTATGGGACCTTGCCATTATTTCTGAACCAATGAGTGAGTGTTTGAGCCCTGGCTCTGGGCTTGAGCCCTGGTTACCTGGCTGCCCTAGCCCTGAGCTATGAGTGCTGAGTGAGAGCAGAGCCAGACTTGGTGCTTCTCTGAGTGGGCCAGGTCCTGTGGCTGTGCCTTTCAGCCCAGTGTGGTTGGTAGTGGTGCTGGGGTGAGTTAGCACTCTTGGTTTTGCAGCCTTCTAGCGGCTTTGTACCTCCTGCCCTGCAGTCTGACATTGAGTTGGCTTCTGTGGGCCCAGTGAGTGGGAATCTGTGGGGGCTGCTTTATTTAGATCAGTTATTTAGATCTTTATTTAGATCTTTCTTAGCTCTGTGAACCCCCTCCCAAACTCCTGTCCCACTGTACCTTCCTTACCCCTTTGTTCTCCTGACATCTTTGGTCGGGGCGCACATTAGCCTAGACCAGGGGAGACCTTTTTTTTTTTTTTTTTTTTTGAGAAAGAGTCTCGCTCTGTTGCCCAGGCTGGAGTGCAGTAGTGCAATCTCGGCTCACTGCAACCTCCGCCTCCTGGATTCAAGTGATTCTTCTGCCTCTGCCTCGCCAGTAGCTGGGATTACAGGCGCTCGCCACCAAGCCCAGCTAATTTTTGTATTTTTAGTAGAGATGGGGTTTCACCATATTGGCCAGGCTGGTCTTGAACTCCTGACCTCAAGTGATCCACCTGCCCCGGCCTCTCAAAGTGCTAGGATTACAGGTGGAGCCACCTCGCCCAGCTGGGGAGACATTTTTAATTGTCACAACTGGGATGGTGCTATTGACATCTAGTGGGTAGAAGCCGGGGATACTGCTAAACATTCTACAGTGCACAAGAGAGTCCCCCACAACAAAGAACTGTGCAATCCAAAATGTCAGTGGTATGGAGGTTGAAAAACTCTAGCCTAGGCAATTGACCCAACAAGGAAGGGGCCCTATAAGTCTTAGCTTAGGCCTCAAGTCTGAGGCCCAGTAGGGGGAGACTAAGGAGGGACAGACTAGGCAGATGAATATCCCCAAGTCCTGCTTCCCAGCCCCCTCTGAGGCATACCCCCTAATTAGGCTGGGGAGGGAGGCAGGTGCTGGGTCAGCTGTTGAGTGGGAGGGGGACAGCTGGGGCCTGTGTCTGGGTGAGGAACATTATTGTCCCAGGAGGGGGAGAATCCTGGCCTCATTGCCAAGGGAGGCTGTGAATGGGGTGAGGGGTCTGTCTGTGAGTGGGGGCTTCAGGTTTGCCAGCTGACTCTGGCTCTTCCCCGCATCTCAAGAGCCTGGGGGTAAGGATCAGACGTGGGCGATCAGACGTGGGCAATATCTTAGATTTGCCAAATACACACATACTTGCTTACCTGTATACATTCCGGGTGTTCATGGATAACATGCAAGACACGCCCCTGCCCCAGCAGGCACAGGCAATCTGACCAGCAAGCTAGGATACTGGCCCTGGCTTCTGCCATGGTTTAAAATCCCAACTCCACCTTTTACTTACTCTGTGGCCTTAGGAAAATCACTTTTATTCTTTGAGCCTGTTTCCTCAGCTGGAGAATGGGGATAATAATATCTGTTTAGAAGTGTGAGAATTAAGTAAGATTTATAGGACACTGGGTACCCAGCGTGTCACAGATAGGATTCAGTTAATGGTATGCTATTGTAATAAACACAGATAGTGTTTGTAATAGTCTACAAAGGAACACCTGGTGACAGACACTCACCCAGCATAAGCAGCCAGGAGAGTCACCTAGGGTGACTCCTGGGTGACTCCTTGGGGAAGCATGCCCTGAGGTGCGGAGGCAGAGGATCTTCCATCCCCCGCTGATTGTGCACCTGGCTCAGCTGCCACCTGCTCAACTGCGGCTCCTGTCTGTCAGCACCCCTCTTGCCCCTCCTTGGCTTGGGGCTCCTAGAGGCCCAGGTCTCCCATGGGGGCCCTCTTTGGTGGGAAGGCCTAGGGTGATGCCCCCACACTCCTCGGCACAAGTGCCCTAGACATACCCGACTCCAGCAGAGCCAGAGAGCAGCATAAACACAGGAGGCATACACACGTGTTAGCACGTTGCCCGTGTGTGCAAATGGGCTAACCAGGCTTCTGAAGACTCTTACTCTGGCGGGGAGCCCAGACTGGTACCACAGCCCAGAGGGGCTGTTTAGACAGCTGTGGAGGCCACAAAAGAGCTCCCTGTTGCTTCTCAGGCCCTGCCCTGTGGTGGGTGTGGAGTCTGTGTAGGTCTGGTGGGGAGACGGGGGTGTTCTGGTCATTCCTGCCCAATAGGCAACACCAGGAGGGTGGAAGTGGACCGGCCACATCATTAACCCTGTGCAGCCTGGGCAGGTGGTTTTAGGGAAACCAAGCTGAGGGGGTTGGGGTGCTGAGCTTGCTGGCAGGAGGAAGGGGTGCTTTGGGTCTTAGACCCCAGCCTGGGGGTGACAGATTCTGGCCCTGCCTTGGCATCAGGTATCAGAAGCATGTGCACACGTATCGCATTCTGCCTGATGGAGAAGATTTCTTGGCTGTGCAGGTAGGAGCTTGGGCCCCTGACCCCTGACCTTGATCCAGCCTAGGGCTTGGGGACCTGCTGGCTGACCCTTCCTCCCACCCTTGCTGGCCCACAGACCTCGCAGGGTGTGCCTGTGCGCCGCTTCCAGACCCTGGGTGAGCTCATCGGCCTGTACGCCCAGCCCAACCAGGGCCTTGTGTGCGCCCTGCTTCTTCCTGTAGAGGGTGAGCGAGAGCCGGACCCACCGGATGACCGGGATGCCTCAGGTACTTCCCAGTGTGCAGGTCCCCTCCCTGCCCCTGTCCCTTGGCTCTACCTGCCTCTTCCCATCCCCCCTTCTCAACCCCACCTCTCCTGTAACCCCCTTTCCCTTGGCCATGATGCCGGGGCCCTTTAACCCTCTTTCCATGGAAGTCACTTTACAGCTGCATCGTGCCTCCTACTCCACTGAGTGTGGGAGGCCCAAACGGCTGCCCACTGACCCCTGCCCACAGATGGGGAGGATGAGAAGCCCCCGCTGCCCCCGCGCTCTGGCTCCACCAGCATTTCTGCCCCCACTGGGCCCAGCAGTCCCCTGCCAGCTCCTGAGACTCCCACAGCTCCAGCTGCTGAGAGGTGAGACCCCCATCCCATCCACTGAACAGGAGACCCTTTCTCCTCTGAGAACTATTTCCCTACCAAAGGTGGGGAGGCCTTCTAAGACCCCACCAGGGACCCCCACCCCACCTCAGCCCAGAGGCAGATAACCTGATCCATCCCGCCCTGGTTGCCACAGGTACTATCTCCTCTAGGGATGGGGCAGAGGTGCTGGGACAGGTCAGCAGGACCTCCACTGACTTCTTAACCCCTCCCCAAAGTGCTCCCAATGGGCTGAGCACCGTCTCGCACGACTACCTGAAAGGCAGCTATGGGCTGGACCTGGAAGCTGTGAGGGGTGGAGCCAGCCACCTGCCCCACCTCACCCGTACCCTCGCTACCTCATGCCGGAGGCTGCACAGGTATCTGGGACATCCAGCCCCATGTATTACACCCTTACCTCTGACCTGTCCTCACCTGCTTCCCGGCTGCACAGGTGCCCTGATCTCTGATCCTGAACAGTGAACTAGCCATTGCCTCTTGACTTTCCTCACTGGTAGCCTTTATCCTTGTGGTGAGGTTGAGGCTACACCCAGCGCCCCCTTCCCTATACTTAGGTCGGGGTGGGAGTTCTTTTGATCTGATGTCTTCCCTAGTGAGGTGGACAAGGTCCTGTCAGGCCTGGAGATCCTGTCCAAGGTGTTTGACCAGCAGAGCTCGCCCATGGTGACCCGCCTTTTGCAGCAGCAGGTAGATTGTAGGGAGACCTCTGGGAGGTGCGTTCGTGTTCTGGAGCTGGGTGGGAGGCTCTGCTTAGGTGACTCATGTACAAGCCTGGTTCTTCCTCCCCCCAGAACCTGCCACAGACAGGGGAGCAGGAACTAGAGAGCCTGGTGCTGAAGCTGTCAGTGCTAAAGGACTTCCTGTCAGGCATCCAGAAGAAGGTGGCATGATCTCTGACCCTTGACCCCCGATTCACTGGCCACTGTCATTGGCCTAGCACTGATCTCAACCCTCAGTCTACAACTTAACATTGGCCCCAAGGTCAATTGTGTCCCTCCCTGCCCCAGCCTTCAGTGTGTCCCCTGACCCCGCCCTGCCCTTGTTCCCTCCAGGCCCTGAAGGCCCTACAGGACATGAGCTCCACAGCACCCCCAGCTCCGCAGCCATCCACACGTAAGGCCAAGACCATCCCCGTGCAGGCCTTTGAGGTACATGGCAGTGGGGCCTCACAGGGCCAAGGGTGGTTGGAGGTGACCAGGGTGCTGCCTACTCCAAGGTCTTGTCAGCAGCCTCCCCACCTGGCCTACAGGTGAAGCTAGATGTGACCCTGGGTGACCTGACCAAGATTGGGAAGTCACAGAAGTTCACGCTGAGCGTGGATGTGGAGGGTGGGCGGCTGGTGCTGCTGCGGAGACAGCGGGACTCCCAGGAGGACTGGACCACCTTCACGCACGACCGCAGTGAGCCAGGGCCAGACCTGGGAGGGGTGGGCAGGGCGGAGCCCCTGGCCTAGGGGCACAGGCCCATGTGACCGGTCCTCCATGCCCTAGTCCGCCAGCTCATTAAGTCCCAGCGTGTCCAGAACAAGCTGGGTGTTGTGTTTGAGAAGGAGAAGGACCGGACTCAGCGCAAGGACTTCATCTTTGTCAGTGCCCGGGTGAGCAGCAGGCTGGGCCAGGCCACTGGGGACTGCGGGGGTCCCCCACATGGGTGCTTCCCATTGGAGGGTAAGAAAGGGAACACATGATGTAGGCATGCCATCCCTCCTGGCAGGGGTAGGTCTGACAGGGTAGAGGGTGTTGAGAACGGGTGGCCTGAGGGTGGATAACATTTGCCAGCACTGTTATATGCTTGAGCAGTGGGTATGCAGTGGAGAACCAGACAGACCCTCTCCTCATGGACATGAGCCAACTGGCAGGGTATCCCTGTGGACGGGGGGCTTCCTGGATGCCTACCCGCCCCTGAGTGGCTGCTGTTCCCCCAGAAGCGGGAGGCCTTCTGCCAGCTGTTGCAGCTCATGAAGAACAAGCACTCCAAGCAGGACGAGCCCGACATGATCTCAGTCTTCATAGGCACCTGGAACATGGGTCAGGCCCGGGCTGGGGCTGGGGCGGGAGAGAGGGATGGCCCCAGAGCAGGTGCCTAACCCCTCCAGACCCACCTCACCCCCTTCACCTCCAGGAAGTGTACCACCTCCAAAAAACGTGACATCCTGGTTCACATCGAAGGGTCTGGGGAAGACCCTGGACGAGGTCACAGTGACCATACCCCATGACATCTATGTCTTTGGGACCCAGGAGAACTCAGTGGGCGACCGCGAGTGGCTGGACCTACTGCGCGGGGGCCTCAAGGAGCTTACGGATCTGGATTACCGCCCGGTGAGGGGGGGTCATCTTGTCCAGGACCCTGTCCTCACACACCACCTCCAAACTAGCCTACTTGACTTCATGGGCAACCCTGGGAGCACAGCTTCACTGGCTTTTTCTCTGGTCCCTGAGCATATCCTTTGGGAGATCTGACCTGAGTCCTTCATGCCACGAGAGGAACCATTTCTCTCCAGTCCGTCAGGAAGAGGGGTGGCAAGCCTTCCTACCCTGTGATGGACACAAAAGTCTATTTATAGTGCAGGGGGAAATGCAGGCAGTGGGTGCAGCAGGGCAGTGGTGACCATGCACTCTCTACCCAGATTGCCATGCAATCACTGTGGAATATCAAGGTGGCAGTGCTGGTCAAGCCAGAGCACGAGAACCGTATCAGCCATGTCAGTACGTCCAGTGTGAAGACTGGCATCGCCAACACCCTGGGTAAGTGGGGCTGGCAGGTGCCCAAGAGTGGCAGCGTCTCTCTGTCCATGGCTTCTGCTTCCTCTCAAGCCTAGGATTGCCCCATTTTTGGTGATCTTAGTTTCCCCATATATAGGGTACTTTGAACTTTGAAAAACATATTCATATTCTAAATCTCTCCCAGCACCACTGGGAAGGCAAGGCCAGGATAATTACCCCCTTTTCACAGATGATAAAACTCAAACCCAGAGTGGTTGAGTGACCTGCCCAAGGTCACACAGCAAGTAAGTGGTGGAGCCAGGCATTGTGCCCAGGTCTCCTGATTTTCGGTCTGGTGCTCTCCCAGGTAGATTCTGCGCAGAATCTGCAGGGCCTTTCAGCTTCACCCTTGGGGTCCCCTGTGATCTCCAGGGGCTCTGCTCACACATACAGACAGACTCAGGCCATCCACACAGACCATGTGTGCCCAATGAGGACCCCCCCCTCCCCCAGGGAAGGTGTGGGTGTGTGCAGGGGCCTGCCCATGTCACAGCGTCTGGTGGGCTCAGCGGGAGGATCCTCTCACTGCAGCTTTGAGAGGCAGAAGGGAGAGTTGGGAGCCCTCTGAGGATGACCCAGGCCTTCCTCTCTTGCTTGCCTTAACAGGGAACAAGGGGGCTGTGGGCGTCTCCTTCATGTTTAATGGCACCTCATTTGGCTTTGTGAATTGTCACCTCACCTCGGGAAATGAGAAGACGGCTCGGTGAGGGGGCGCCTTTCCCATGGTCTCTTTACACCCATCCCATTCACCTGAGGCCTGTTCCCGCTCCCATACCCTAGCCCATGACCCTCCCGCAGGCCTGTCTCCAGAGACCCCCTGCTCTCTTATCCCAATTCAAGACCCTTCTGTTCCTGACCCTAACCTTGTCCCCAGGGGCCCGGATCTTTACCCCATCCCTGACTCCTGAGACTTCTTCCCTTTATGCCTATCCCTGACTTCTGGCCCTGACCCTGGGGATCTACCCCTCCCCACCACGCACCCCTCACCCTAGGAGGAACCAAAACTACTTGGACATCCTGCGGCTGCTCTCGCTGGGCGACCGGCAGCTCAATGCCTTTGACATCTCTCTGCGTTTCACACACCTCTTCTGGTTTGGGGACCTCAACTACCGCCTGGACATGGATATCCAGGTGCGAGCAGGGCCCTGCCATGGCTGTAGGGAGGCTAAGGGCCACATGGGCTATCACCCCTGGCTCTGGCTCCGGAGGAATGTTTCTAGCCTTTGTGTCCTCCACCCCAGGAGATCCTGAACTACATCAGCAGGAAAGAGTTTGAGCCCCTCCTCAGGGTGGACCAGCTCAACCTGGAGCGGGAGAAGCACAAGGTCTTCCTTCGATTCAGTGAGTGTGGGCCTGGTAGGTGGTGATCTGAGGGCTAGGAGACTTGCAGTATCCCTGGGTGTCAGGGCCCTGAACCCCACCTGTCTCCTGCTTTCCTTAGGTGAGGAGGAGATCTCCTTCCCACCCACCTACCGCTATGAGCGGGGTTCCCGGGACACATATGCCTGGCACAAGCAGAAGCCAACTGGGGTGAGCCAAGAAAACGGCATGGGCCTTGGGGGACCGCAGGCCTGCGATGAATCAAGAATTTGGGTCAAGGGTATGGGCCTCTGCAGCTTCCACTCCAGCCTCCATGGCCCCTCTGAGGCCTTTGGGTGATCCTGGGTATTTTGAGGATCCAAGAAGGGAGGTGGGTGCTAGGGCCTCTAGTAATAGAAGTGTGGGGACTCATCAGCTCTGGAGTGGGGTCCATGCCAAGCAGCCTCCTAGCTGTCAGCTCTAACCATGCTGCCATCCCCTGCCCCAGGTCCGGACCAATGTGCCCTCATGGTGTGACCGGATTCTGTGGAAATCCTACCCTGAAACTCACATCATCTGCAATTCTTATGGTCAGAGCCTCCCGGACAGAGTGATGGGAGATCTGGGGTGGTCACCATCTGGACTCTGCCCTAACCTTGGGAGGTGGGAGCCGAGGGTGGGAATATTCCCCCTGAGTCCCCATTCCTATCCCCTCTCCCCAGGTTGCACTGATGACATCGTCACCAGCGACCATTCCCCCGTGTTTGGGACATTTGAGGTTGGAGTTACCTCCCAGTTCATCTCCAAGAAAGGTGACTGTTCCAGATATGCTTGTGGGTGTGGCATAATCTAGGTGGGCACAGGTGGTGGCCTCGGGATGTACATAGGTTTGACTATGTAAGTGTGTGTGTGGGTGTGTGTACCAGTGAGTGCAGGAGTGTTTCTCAAGGTGTGATGTGTCAGGGTGTCTGTGCGCCTGGGCCATCACAAGAGTTGTGTGCCCATGAGTGTGTGTGCATACGTGAGTGTACACCTATCTATGTGTCTGTGTCTGTCTAGGGCCACGTGTGTGTCCCTGAGTATGCCTGTAGGTGTGGGAATCCTGCAGGCATTCTGGTCCCCAGCACCCTCTTCAATGGGTTTTTTATCCTTGGGTTGTCTCTTTGCTCTGGTCCAGGGTCTGGCCTCTGGAGATTCCCTGTTGGTGGCTTGGGACTGGGGAGGCCCCTCCTGGCCCTGCCTCCTTGCTCTGGACCCCTGATTTCCTGTCCCAGGGCCCTGTTTCTCTGTCCCATTCCTCCTGTGATCCTCTCAGTCCTCCTGTTTGTTCTCCTCCCTTTCTCCTCAGGGCTCTCAAAGACTTCAGACCAGGCCTACATTGAGTTTGAGAGCATCGAGGCCATTGTGAAGACAGCCAGCCGCACCAAGTTCTTCATCGAGTTCTACTCTACCTGCCTGGAGGGTCAGAGGCGTGGCAGGGGCTGGGTGTGGGCCAAGGAGGATGGGAGGCAAGAGGGTGCAGTCAGCCCCCTACTTAGGGGGAAAGGAAGCTGAGAGGTGGTGCTCAGTTGGGTGTCTCCCACCCCCACCCCAGAATACAAGAAGAGCTTTGAGAATGATGCCCAGAGCAGTGACAACATCAACTTCCTCAAAGTGCAGTGGTCTTCACGCCAGCTGCCCACGGTGAGGCTGTGGGCAGGGCCCCTGCTTATGGGTGAGGGCACAGAGAGGGGTACATAAGAGTTTATTGGAGAGCCTGCCTGGGAGGGAGTGTGGGGCCAGCAGAGAGAGAGAGAGAGAGTGTGTGTGTGTGTGTGTGTGTGTGTGTGTGTATGGGCATGGGCATGAGTGAGGATAAAGGCGTTTGCTTTATTTTGGGAGTGTGGAACCTTGTTGCAGTTTGTTCATTCATTCAGGAGATGCTTCTTGAGCTTTTGCTAGATGTCAGGTCCTGTGTTAGCTATTGAGAAAATTAATTAGTTACAGTGATGCTAGGTGCTGTAAAAGGCCTGTATAGGGCTGTGTCTTCTGCATTAAGGATTTGGCTCTTCTCTGAAGAGTTGAGTGTGAGTGAGCACAGATGACCTGAGGGTGGGGATTGAGTGGTGTCAGGGGGCAGCGCGTAGGAGGGGCAGGAGGAAGTGGCGGGGCTTTGTTCCTCACTGGGCCTCCCTGCTTCCCAGCTCAAACCAATTCTGGCTGATATCGAGTACCTGCAGGACCAGCACCTCCTGCTCACAGTCAAGTCCATGGATGGCTATGAATCCTATGGTGAGGGGTGAGGGGTGCTGAGGGGAACAGGAAGCCAGACAGGGCCCTAGATTAGCTTGGTAATTTGCTGGTTTGTCCCATCTGCTCCTCAGGGGAGTGTGTGGTTGCACTCAAATCCATGATCGGCAGCACGGCCCAACAGTTCCTGACCTTCCTATCCCACCGTGGCGAGGAGACAGGCAATATCAGAGGCTCCATGAAGGTGCGGGTGCCCACGGAGCGCCTGGGCACCCGTGAGCGGCTCTACGGTGGGGACTCCACTGGGACATGAGATAGGGTGGTGTGAACAGATCAAGGAGGGCAGGGTGCGGGGGGCATGTTGGAATCTCTGGGATACCTGGAGGTTCTGCAGCCACAGCTGGGAATAGTCCTGCCCCAAGGCATAGCTGGGAAAGGGCTGGCAGGCCCACTGGGTGTCTGTGGGATCCAGGAGCCCAGGTCTCCTCTGAGTCTCCCTTCCTGCCCCCTCAGAGTGGATCAGCATTGATAAGGATGAGGCAGGAGCAAAGAGCAAAGCCCCCTCTGTGTCCCGAGGGAGCCAGGAGCCCAGGTGAGCTAGGGCTGTGTTGAATGTCATATGAAAGGGTACCTGGGGGCATCTGGTCAACCCCACTTCATCTCTCTCCTGTGCATCCCTGGCAGGTCAGGGAGCCGCAAGCCAGCCTTCACAGAGGCCTCCTGCCCGCTCTCCAGGTTATTTGAAGAACCAGAGAAACCGCCACCAACGGGGAGGCCCCCAGCCCCACCCCGAGCAGCTCCCCGGGAGGAGCCCTTGACCCCCAGGTGAGAGGAGGAACCTGTCACCGCCCCCCCTTCCCCCACCCACCTCTATCCATCACTATCCCCTGCAGGGTCTCAGGGTTGGCCTGGAGATCATCAGCTGCTTAGGTGCCCTGCCACTCTGTGGTTGGAGCTGCCATGGCCTTATGCCTGTGGCCAGCCAGGCCACCCTTAGCTGTGGCTCTGAGTCAAAGGGAGCAGTCAGCCTTTCCTCTCAATTCTGCCTTTAAAAATGGAATGCGAAATTGTTTCTAAGACAGCTCCCTCCATGTAAACAGACCTAGCTTGAGCCTTCTATTTGGAGGAGGCACATGGCTCGGCCTGGGATTTCCCAGGGTACCTTCTTTGGAACTCTGTCCTGCAAGAGGCCCCAGTTGAAATGGGTTTGTGGTCAAATGAGTTTGGGAAATGCTTTTTCTAGATTCTTTTCTTAGACATTCCCAGTGCATGTTAGTATTAGCAAAAGCTCTGAGCATGTGGACAGGAAGGAAACCTCTTTTCAGCTCTGTTTAATATAGTTTCCCAAACTTAATGGGCCAGGAAACTTATTTTCCATGTAGTAACTATTAACGTTCTGGGGAATTAGTGCTCTGTGTCACACTTTGGGAAAGTGAGGCTTGCTTTCTAATTATATCCGATTGTTGCTTAAACTTACATAAACTCCTAGGTACAGTTTGGTGCTTTTTCACTCATCTTCAGCTGTTGTCAGTCACCCCGGTTTTATCCCTAGGCTTGAATAAGACCCACCTGAATCTCTGAGAAAGATTCTGCAGCGGATTGACTGTGGGTGCCTCAAGAGGCTTTCCAAACCTGGCCTCTCATTGGAGGCTTCTTGCCCTGTCTTCTGGCACCTCTATTCTGACCCATTTAGCTTGGGTTTCACAGCTACAGATAAAGTCATGAAAGATCTAAGTATCTTAGCAAGTGAGGCAAGGGATTGTAGGGTTATCCATTCAAAGGGTTATCCTCCCTCTGACCTTTAGAGATGAAGAAACTAAGGGCAGGTGATGTGCTCAAGGTCATGAGAAAGTCTAGGACCAGGGGACTTTCTGACTCCCGTCTAGTTCTCCTTCCACTGCTTCCACTGCCTTAGACCTGGGTTCCTGGATCCTGGCTTAGTCGTTCTGCTTCCACACCCAGGTTGAAGCCAGAGGGAGCTCCTGAACCAGAAGGGGTGGCGGCCCCCCCACCCAAGAACAGCTTCAATAACCCTGCCTACTACGTCCTTGAAGGGGTCCCGCACCAGCTGCTGCCCCCGGAGCCACCCTCGCCTGCCAGGGCCCCTGTCCCATCTGCCACCAAGAACAAAGTGGCCATTACAGTGCCTGCTCCACAGCTTGGGCACCACCGGCACCCTCGTGTGGGAGAGGGGAGTTCTTCAGATGAGGAGTCTGGAGGCACACTGCCCCCTCCAGACTTTCCACCTCCACCACTGCCGGACTCAGCCATCTTCCTGCCCCCCAGCCTGGATCCTTTACCAGGGCCAGTGGTCCGGGGCCGTGGTGGGGCTGAGGCCCGTGGCCCACCACCTCCCAAGGCCCATCCAAGGCCTCCACTGCCCCCAGGCCCCTCACCAGCCAGCACTTTCCTGGGGGAAGTGGCCAGTGGGGATGACCGGTCCTGCTCGGTGCTGCAGATGGCCAAGACGCTGAGCGAGGTGGACTATGCCCCTGCTGGGCCTGCACGCTCAGCGCTCCTCCCAGGCCCCCTGGAGCTGCAGCCCCCCCGGGGACTGCCCTCGGACTATGGCCGGCCCCTCAGCTTCCCTCCACCCCGCATCCGGGAGAGCATCCAGGAAGACCTGGCAGAGGAGGTGTGTGGAGCAGGGTGGCTGTCTGTGTGTGCCTGAGTGTGCTTGCCCACAGACTGGTACCCTTTCACTCCACCATTCAGCACTCATGGTGTCCCTGCTACCCTGAACTGATCACTGGGAAGTTGGGAGACACATGTATCAGCCCAGCCCTTCCCTTCCTTTTCCCCAGAGCATGCAGCAGAATGTGACTGCAGGTGTTTCTATGGGGGGCACTCAGCTCCCCCTGACATGCCCTGTTTCCTTAGGCTCCGTGCCTGCAGGGCGGGCGGGCCAGCGGGCTGGGCGAGGCAGGCATGAGTGCCTGGCTGCGGGCCATCGGCTTGGAGCGCTATGAGGAGGGCCTGGTGCATAATGGCTGGGACGACCTGGAGTTTCTCAGGTGGGGGAGGGGCTGGCCCCGGGGGCGGAGCTGGGGCCCTCAGGATCCCCTTGCCCATCTCACTTCCCAGCCTGTTTTACTCCACAGTGACATCACCGAGGAGGACTTGGAGGAGGCTGGGGTGCAGGACCCGGCTCACAAGCGCCTCCTTCTGGACACCCTGCAGCTCAGCAAGTGATAGCGGAGGCACCACGAAGCTGTGAACTCAGAGCCCCTCCCTGCTACCAAGGCCCAGCTATGGCCCCAGGGTTGAAAAGTTATGAGGGTCAGGGCAGTATCTCTCTGCCTATTTATTGGGGTGCCTATTTATTGGGGATCTGCATTCCCCGCTGCCCAATCATTTGCAATGCCCTAATTAGGGCATCCTGCCCCTCGCCTTTTAGGCTCAGGACGGAAGGTCAGTTGCCATGGTTACCGAGGACCCTGGTTACTCTGGTGCTGTCCTGTTTTACTGGACCCCGCCTCCCAGCCCCAGGGGTGCCTGTGGGGGTCCATTTGGGTACGTCTGGGCCCCCACTTTCACCAGTTTCTGCGGCCTTCCACCGGGCCTGAACCACAGCGGAGGAGCTCCGCTAAGACCTCCCCACCCCCGCTGGGGGTGGGGGCGGGTGTCCGTCCGGAAATGAAGGAATAGCCCGAGGACCGGGCTGGGGTTTATTTAAACTGTTCTGTGTGGGTCTGGGGAGGGAGAGCACCTTAATATTATTGGGGTTGGTTGGGGTGGGGCAGGATCTCAGCCATAAAGTGCCAGTTTGCTTAGTTCTCACTGTCTCCTGGTCTGTGCTGCCCTGCTCTGGGGATGCACGGCGGCAGGGTGGGGGAGGGAGGTTCCTCGCAGGTCTCAGCCCGGGACAGGGTCTTGCAAGCAGCCTCCTGGGCAGTCGTAAGGGTTGCGGCGTGATGTCTTCAATAAATTAAGTTTTATTTGGATTGAGTAAAACTTCAATAAATTACAAGTTTTTCAAAGAAAAAGGACAACCAAAAAAATTAGGGAAAGAGAATCCCTCTGTCCCATTCCCCAGGCAGCCCCTCCACTCCTCTAACAGGTCCACCCTCTGTGCCAGACGGGCTAGGGAAGAGAGGAGACACGTGAGGGATGAATTGGCGGTGGTCATTAATTATCCCGGCGACCACCAGCCTCTGTACGGGTGGGCCCGAGGGGTGGGGCAGCGGGCTTTCCTGATCACCAGCGTAAGGGGTGACCCAGCCGCTGCAGAGCCAGGGAAGGGGGCTGTGCCGATCCTCCTTGAGGACCTTCACTTTGAGGGCACTGTTAGGGACAGGCCTCATGTGATACCGCATCCAAAGAAGGCCAAGCTAGAAGGAGCTCCGGGGTTCTCCTGGAGGAGGTCCCGGTATAAAGAACTCCGCTCTGCTGGTAGAGGGTGGGTGAGGACGAGAGTGGCCCTGACTTGGTCTCCAAAGTTGGGGAGGACACACCGAGGGGTGAGACAGTAGGGAGTGGAGACGGATGGGGACTTCCAGGCGGGTGGCCAGGATGGGAGGGGCTGTCAGGTCCTGGAGGGGCAGGGACGTCTCTGGGGGCAGGCTCGGAGCCTCCAGAGGCCGGCAGCTAGAAGAGATTGGTCTTCAGGGCGGGGCCGGGCTTCCGGTGAAAGGAGGACAGAACCCCGGAGAAGGGCCCGGGGCCGGACTCCGCCGGCTGCCAAGCCTTAAGTAGTTCGGCCGCTCCCGCGCCAGGCCCGCCGCCCCCACCGCCCGCCACACCGGCCCACAGTGCGCCCTTGAGCGGCTGTGGCCCCGGCCCAGGTCCCGGCCCGGAGCCCAGTGCGACGGGCAGCGGGCTGGGGCTCAGGCGCGGGCTGGCCAGGCCGGGCGCAGGCGGCGGCGGCAGCGAGGCGGTGCTATCGGGCGTGGGGCTGCACGTGGACTCCTTGGAATCGTCGTCCTCGGAGGAGCAGCGCGCCTCGCCCTTTTTGGCGCCCGCCGCGCCCGCCGCGCCCTTGGCGCTGGCCGCGCGCTCCTGTTTGCGGAACTTGGCCCGGCGGTTCTGGAACCAGACCTGCGGGCACAGGGGCCAGTCAGCCTGGACGAGGGTCGGAGAACGCACGGGGTCAGCCCGCGGCCGCAAGGCTCGAGTGAGATCCTGGTTCGGAAAGAACCGGGCCCGGGTTCTTACTAGTTGGAGGGGCCTTCGGCCCTCCGCACGCAGCCCGCTGCACTCCGCGCTCCACTGGCCCCTGCCTCCAGATCCCTGGGTTCTTGCCCTTGGGATCCACTCACCCGCTGACTCTGCTGCCTCCCAGCACTCTTGGTCTCCCGGAGGGGACCCTGCCTTCGTTCTCCTCACTCTAAGTTCTTCCCCCAATTCCTTCTTTTAGGAAGCTCTGGGACTTCCCTCCTGGAGTGTTCCAGGGCCGTGGAGAGCAGTTTAGGGCGCCAGTAAACCTTTTGTCTAGGGCATCCAGTCAAGGCGGGCCAACTGAACATCTGTACACGGAGTTGTACAAATAGACAACAGTCTGCTCTAGCCCGGCTCTCTTCGGCCCTGTGCCTGCCACAAACTCAGCCTCCCGGGCTCCGGGTTTTCAAAGCTGCAGCGCCGGGGTAGGGAACCCCAGGGGTGCTGACTGGCCTGCCCCCTCTCCTCCTCAGCTCGGCCCTGAGGTCCCCTGGGTCTCCCCCTCTAGCCCCTCGGCCTCCCTCCTGGCTTCTCAAGCATCACTCGGAACTTTCTGCCCTAAGAGGGAGACAGAGCGGAGGTAGCCTGGAGCTAAACAGATCGGGTCTCCCAAGGGCCTCCAAGTCCGGGCCCTGCTGCCTCCCGTAGCTGCCCAAGCACCCTGGGACCGCGCCCTGCCTTCGGGCTGCATCTGCCTGTATTCCCCTACCCCCAGGTGTTAGACATTAAGCTCCCACACCTCCTTCCATGCGCACTCTCGTACACACACGTGCATACACGCACCTGCACGCGAGCCTCAGTGAGGTCGATCTTGAGCGCCAGCTCCTCACGCGTGTAAATGTCGGGGTAGTGGGTCTCAGCGAAAACGCGCTCCAGCTCCTTGAGCTGCGCGCTGGTGAACGTGGTGCGGATGCGCCGCTGCTTGCGCTTCTCGTGCAGGCCGGATGGCTCTGGGAAGAACTTGTAGGGCACTGCGGGTGTGTGCAGGGGGGCCGGGGGGGGGGCAAAAAGGATGGGGGAGTGAGAAGCAGAGTTCAACCCGTTGTGTCCAGCTCCGGGGGAATCACACGCCTCCCCCGTCCCTGGCCTGATCCCTCGTCTTGGTCCCGGCAGCCTGGGGCCGAGCGTCCTCCCTATTACTCAATGGAGCCGGCGGGATAAAGGCGGAGGGAGATCAGGGAGACCTGAGCCCCAAGAGCGGCCAAGGGGAAAGCATAATCCAATACTCCAGCCAAGACACTCCCTCCCCCACCCCACCCCCGTCGTCGCCCTCCTCCCAAGCCCTGTTCCCTCCATCTCCCCCTGCACCCCCATTCAACCGTGCCTCCGACCCTTCCCTCCTGTCTGTCTCTCAGCCCGTCTGTCCCCTCTGTCTACCCTGGCCCTGGATGTCTGTCAGGTCTCATCAGCATTGCCAGTCTTCCCACTAACCAGTTCTGGGCCAAGGCTCTGCAACAGAGACCCTCCCACCGGCCCTCCTTTCAGCCCTACCACCAGCCTTCCCACCGGCTCTCAGCTGTATACAGATTTGGCTCCCTCCACCCATCCACCTCTCCCCTTCCCAAGCCTCATTTCTTCAATTCTGCCCCACTCCCCTGACCCCCATTCTCCCCTAGATGTCCCCCTCTCCTCTTCCTAATCTTCCTCCATTTGAATCTCTCTTCAACTTTCCATTTCTCAGCCACTCTTCTCTTTGTGCCCATTGAGAAGACTTCCTCCATCTTCTCTTTGCGCCCATTGAGAAGACTTCCTCCATCTTCTCTTTGCCCTCCTTCTTCCTCCCCAGGCACCTTCTCCATGTCCCATCTCCTCCAAAGCCAACACTGCCCCCCAACTCTCTTCCTATACCCATCCCAGTCTCCACTGCCCCATAGGTAGTGTTTCTGACAGTACTTCCCTTCCCTGTCTGTAACCCTGGTTTAAGTCTTCATATTCACCAGGGGTCTCCAATCTCATCTTTGTCCCATCCAGGCCTCCATCTCCCCTGATTCTTGTCTCCAGCACCCCATTTGTATTCTTATCTTCGTCATCTCTATTTCTAATCTTCTTTGGTCCCCATCGCCTGATACTTATCTCTATCTCCCCAACCCTGAGTCCCCATTTCTCCTAGGATTTCCAGTGCTTCCATCTCTGCTCCCATCTCTCTGTACCTTATCCCCATCTCTCTGGTCTCAAAACCCTGTATCTCTGGAGGCTGTCTCCCCTCTTCCCAATCCCTACCCTCATCTGGCTCAGGGTACCCAATCTCCCCACCCTGGGCCTCATTTCTCCAAATCCAGGTTCTCATTTCTCGTATCTCTTCCCCAAACCCCAGCCTAGGGCCCAGTCTTCTTCTTCTTCTTCTTCTTTTTTTTTTGAGACCGAGTCTCATTCTGTCACCCAGGCTGGAATGCAATGGCACAGTCTCAGCTCACTGCAACCTCTGCCTCCCAGGTTCAAGCGATTCTCCTGCCTCAGACTCCCAAGTAGCTGGGATTACAGGCGTGGGCCACCATGCCCAGCTAATTTTTTTTTTTTTTTGTATTTTTAATGGAGATGGGGTTTCACCATGTTGGTTAGGCTGGTCTTGAACTCTTGACCTCAAGTGATCCACCCGCCTTGGCCTCCCAAAGTGCTGGGATTACAGGCATGAGCCACCGCGCCTGGCCCTTAGGCCCCAGTCTTCTACTTGGGTCCCCGGCAGTCTTCCCAGGAGGGAAGGCGATAAGATTACATAGGGCAGGCTGGGACTCTAATCAGAGGGCTGAGATGACTGAGAAGCTCAGTGAGGTTGAGGGTTTGGACAGGGACTTGGATCTAAAGTCTTGGGGATGCAGGAGCTGCTTCCGGGTTCTACAGAACTCTAGCTGGGAGAGTCTGGGGGAATGGGGAAATACAAGTGGCTTAAAAACCCGGGCCCCTTTATTGCGGGCTACGGGATCTGGTTTTGGTGGCTACAGAAGGGTTCGGTCCCAGGCAGCGTGGGTCCAAGACAGGGCAGGAGGGGCCTGATGGCCACGCGAGCTCTAGGAAGCTTCCCGTCTGGGCAGCTCAGCTGCCTGGAGAGGTCCTTGCTGGGGGTCATGCATCTCGTGGGGCAGCGGTGATGGGGTGGGGTGATAAGTGGTGATAGGGCTGGGCTGGGAGCCTTTTTCAAAGATCCAGCGCTTGTAGAGGTTTAGTGGTCAGTCTTTGCAGGTGGTGAGGGGAAGGCCTGGTAAGGGGCCCAGAGCTGGATGGGGATATATTTCCTTGACCTGAAGGGCACGAGACAGAGATTTGGCAACGAGAAAAAGGAACAGGAGAGATGAGAGGGTGAGGCTCATTCCTGCGGAGGAGAACCTCGTATTCTGGGGGTCTCTCGGGGCATTGGAGGGTCTGGCCAAGGCAGGAATGGGGGCGGCTGAGGGGGACAGTCGCATTCACTTGGCGAGCGGGCCCAGGGATTCTGCAGGAATTGGAGGGAGGGTTGGGCCGGGGCTGCGCTCACCTGCCGAGTAGGGCGCGGGCTGGTGGTCGCGTAGGGCGCCAAGTGCGCAGTTGGAGGAGCCGAGCGCGGGGCAGGGCGGCCCTGCCGCGGGGAAAGCGGGCCGCAGGGGGCTGTATTGGAAGCCGCCGGGCTGGCTGCAGGCGCCAAAGTCGCCGTAGGCGGACGCCTCCATGGCCGCCACGCACGAGTCGTACGAATTGAGGTAGGAGTAGTCCATCGGCCCGGGGGGCGGGGGCGGGGGCCGGGCCAGGCCGGGTCGGGGTCGGGGTCCGGGTGGAGGTCGGAAGGGAGGTTCGAGCGCCAGGCTCCGAGGACCCGAGGCCAGCTCTGAGCGCCCGAGAGTCCGCCCGCCCCGTCGCGGCCGCACTCAGCCCGGGTGCAACGCAAGTGCAGCCAGCCCGGCCCGCGCGCCTTTTAACGCGCAGGACCCCGCGGAGGGGGGCGGGGCGGGGCGAGCTCCGAAGGGGCGGGGCCTAGGAGGCCCAGACACCGCCCAAAGCCGCCCCGACCCCCACCCCGAAGGGTCCCCGCCGCCGTCTTAGGGCTCAGAGGTGTGGAGCTGGGATGCGCGGGACCCTATCCCCGGAGTCCCTATCCTGCCCCAATCCGGACCAGACCTTCGGTCTCTACACAGCGTCCGAGGCCAGAGGGTCCCGACCCTTTTCCCGGGCCTCCCCACCTGCGGCCCCGCGGAAGGGAGGGGAGGCAGGCCTGGCGGCGCTCGTGTGAAGAAGTTAATTCAATTCGCTCTGATAACCGAGTTATTCCGATCTGGCCCCTCAGCCCCGCCCCCAGCGAGGTCCCATCCCGGCGGAGACTGCGGAGGCGGCCCAGGAAGGGGGATGGAGACCGGGAAGAGACGGAGCCTGGGATGGGGACAGGGAAGGGACGTGGATAGACAGAGGAAACAGAGACCGGGAGAGAAAGGGGCAGAAACAGTGATGGAGACAGGGACAAGAGATACAGGTACACAGAGGGAGACAAGGACGGAACATACACAGCGAAAGACAGGATGGAGCGGGGACAGGGCAGAGACAGGAGATGAGGGTAAGAGAGAGACAGGATGGAGCGGGGACAGGGCAGAGACAGGAGATGAGGTTAAGAGAGAGACAAGAGGAGACAGGGAGACAGGGGGACGAGAAAGAGAGTGAGGGAGGCATGGAGACAGAAGGGGTCGGGATGAGACATGGACGGCAACCAGGACTGCGGTGGAGAGCAAGGGAGGGATGAGACAAAACAGAGGCAGGAATCGTGAGACAGACACATATGCCCAGGGACAGTCTGAGAGAGACAGGGCCAGGGACAGCCACAAGCGCGGGAGCAGAGGCTGAGAGCGGAGAGAAAACGCCTCCGGGGAGCTTAGACACGAGGGCTGGAGCGCAGAGGGGCCCAGGGATGATGCTGGAGGCTCTGGGGTGCGGCCTCCACGGGGCTGCGGAGAGGGAGGGTCGTGGGAGCCAGGTCCCTCTACCCTGACTTGTCCCGAGGCCCACACGACCTTGCACCTTCAGGGCCCGCCTGCCTCTCCCCCCGTTCCCTCAGCTCCATCTGCAGTATGCGACCCTCTCCTGTGACCTTGGGCTCAGGATGCGATGGATGTCAGAAAGGGAACGTACCCCGTGACCTCTTTATTGTTCTTCAGTCTCTTACCCCTGTTCTCCAGGGCCCCCCGCTTTTTTTCTCCAGGGAAACCACCTAGACTCAGTCTGCACCTGGCCCAGACATCCCTGCACAGATTCAGTCACCAGCTCCCTCGTGCTGTGGGACAGCGGGACACATTCAGAATCCTTACCAAGAGAAGGGAACAGATAACTTTTCCGTCGCTCCTGAGCTGGGTTGGGCAGCTCGTCCACTCAACCCCCAGCCTCTTCCACCGATCTTGGCAGGTCTTGTAGATGGGGAGTCCTAGACCCATGGAGAAGCCGCGGGAAGGGCGTGTCTTTGTTTCCAGCTGAAGTCCTTGGGGGTTGATAGAAGGACTCCTGGAATTCTCCCCAAGTTTGTCAGGACAGAGGGGAGTGCGCCTCTCCTCAGGTAATCCTTCCCCCATCATCCGTTCTGGGCTTCCCAGGAGGACTCTCTATCCCCAATCTCCGGAACCACTCCATGCCAGGGGATTTCTTTGAGGTTTCTCAAATTACCTCTTGTCAAATGTTTTTATTGTGGCAAAATACACATAACATAAAATTTACCATCTTAGCCACTTTGAGCTATAGTTCTGTGGTAGTAAATACATTCATATTTATGTATTAATACATCCATCTCCATAACTCTTTGAATCCTGTAAAATCAAAACTCTACCCGTTAAACAACACCTTCCATTTCCCCATCCTACCTGCAAACCGCCATTCCTCTTTCTGTCCCTATGATTTTGTGTTTTTTTTTTTCAGACAGTCTTTCACTCTGTCACTCAGGCTGGAGTACAGCAACGAGATCATGGTGCAGTCTTGCATTCCTTGGCTCAGGCGATCCTCCCGCCTCAGCGTCCTGAGTAGCTGGGACTACACGTGCACACCACCATGCCTAGCTAATTTTTAAATCTTCTGTAGAGATGGGGGTCTCACTATGTTGCCCAGGCTGGTCTCTGTTATTTTGACCAGGGACCTCGTATAAGTGGAATCATACAGTATTTGTCTGTTTACTTACTTATTTTTGAGATACTCTTACTCTGTCACCCAGGCTGCAGTGCAGAGGTGGGATCATAGCTCACTGCTGCCTCAACCTTCTGGGCTCAAGCGATCCTCCCACCTCAGCCTCCCAGAGTATTGGAATTACAGGTGTGAGCCTCCACACTCAGCCCAGTATTTGTCTTTTTGGCATAACTCCTTTTATATATCCCATTTCCTTATCCATCCATCCATCCGTGGACATTCGGGTTGCTTCCACATTTTAGCTGTTGTGAATAATGCTGCTATGAACATGGGTGTACACATATCTGCCTAACATATTTGTATCTGCTTTCAATTCTTTTCAATATATACCCAGAAGTGGAATTCCTGGATCATACAGTAATTCTCTTTTTGTTTTTCAAGGAACTGCCACAATGTTTTCCACAGAGGCTTTTCCATTTTACATTCTCACCAGCAATGCATCCGTATTCCAATTTTGACACATCCTTGCCAACACTTGCTATTTTCTGTTTTTCTCAAATGACTTTTTAGGTCTAAACTTGTAGAGATTGAGACCTGACAGCTCAACTGCTTCAAAAAGTTATCCCTCCTGGTGTGTGAGGTGCACCTCTCCCCCTCAATATATACTCTACAGGGAGTCCAAGGGATCTCAGAATTGGGAAATCAGATGGGATCACTGCTCTCAGACCCTCCCATGGCTCTCCATTGCCCTCATGATCAAGTCCAAGCTCTTGCTGGCACGCCACGTCCTCAGTGCTAGCGCTCCAGCCTGCCTCCCCCTGTTCTTGGCTTTCTTTGCAGCCATCACACACTAATCTTTTGGTTCAGAGCTGTTCTCTCTGGCTGGAATGCCCATTTCATTCCCTGCCCTCCCACACAAAACAAACAAAACCGAACAAACCCAAGCCTGGTTGACTCCTGTTTATCCATTGGGTCTCAATTTGGATATCATTGCTTCCTGGAAGCCTTCCCTGATGCTGCTAGACTAGGTTGGGCATCCCTGCCATGTCCCATAGTAGTACTTCCTCTCTTTTGGTCACTCAAATGACCTTGCTGAAGTGTTTGCAATACAGTGCAAGGTCTTAGGGCAGAACTATGTCATCTTGTTTCTCACTCACTCCCCAGCCCTACCGTGGTGCCTAGCCCATCACTCTGCATGTCATAGGTCCTCTCTTATCTGTTTGTCAAATGAATGGATTAGGCTAATCTGAAATCTTCGTGTTGGAGAATCCTGCCCTTGCTTCCAGGGAAGAAATTCTCATCCCCTAACTCCACTCTGCACTCTCTGAAGAGGGATCATCCTGCCCTCTTCATTTCCTCTCTCTCCAGGGACAGGAAACTTCTTCCCTCACGAGTCAACCTCTGCCTGGAAGAAAGTCCTTCCTCATCTGAGGAATTTGCAGGTGGCCATACCCCTTCCCCAGTGAAGCTGACCAGCACTAGGAGCAACTGAAGCTTGCATGCAGGGACAAGCAGAGATATAAGGGGAGGCAGAGTCCCAGTGCTGCCTAAGGCCCTGGCTCCAGCTGTCTCAGAGACCATGATCTAGCCCTGTCATTTTTTTTTCTTTTTTTCTTTTTTTTTTTTTCTTTTTGAGACAGAGTCTCCCACTGTTGCCTAGGCTGGAGAGCAGTGGCGCAATCTCGGCTCACTGCAACCCCTGCCTCCTGGGTTCAAGTGATTCTCCTGCCTCAGTCTCCCGAGTAGCTGGGATTACAGGCGCTGCCACCATGACCAACTAATTTTTGTGTTTTTAGTACAGACGGGGTTTCACCATGTTGGCCAGGCTGGTCTTGAACTCCTGGCCTTAAGTGGTCCACCCACATCAGCCTCCCAAAGTGCTGGGATTACAGGCATGAGCCACCATGCCTGGCTTAAGCCCTGCCATTTCTACAGTTTGGTCCTTGAATCAATAAATTCCCTTCTGTCTAAACTACTTTTGGTTGGGCTTCTGACACTTGCAACCAAGAGTTCTGGTCAATACAATCTTTAAAGACTTAACACATTTATAGGTAATCAAACAAATGGTAGTGGTGATTAGAAGCTTTATTGTAAGATGCTACAGGGTTAGCTGGGCAGGAACTGGCCTTTCCAGGCCGCAGGATGTGGAGTTGGGGTTTCTGCTCTGCAGGCATCCATTTGCATCTGCTGATCAGCATAGGAGCTGAGAAGCATTCCAAGGAAGTGTTTTAAACCATGTCCACTACTGGGTTCAGACCTATATAGACAGGTCTCTCAGATGGCAGAGGTGAGGGAACTTTGGAAGCCAGCCTGCACATGTGTGCACGTGTGTGTGTGCATGTGTGATAGGGGTAGGCAAAGAGGCTTCCTGAGAACTCACCATCAAAGAAGAAGGAGACAGGCAGAGTGGGAAGGACTCTGCAAGGGCTTCATACCAGAACGGCTGGTGGTTGAGAGTCTGATATGGGGAGCTCATCCTGACTAAGGCCTCCACCCCCAAAATGTGTGTACTCCTGGGGGAGCTAAAAATGCTCTAGCATGAAACACTGTCACTGCAATCTTGCTGTGAAGCCTCCTTGCAGAGCAGGACAGCTTCACTTCCAAGAATGATGACAAATTCTGGAGCCTGGTTGCTGGGTTTCAACTCTGGTTCCACCATTGATGAGCTGTGTGACTTAGGGTAAGTTATTCAACCTCTCTGTGCCTCAGTTTTCTCATCTGCAAACTAGTTTTTGTTTGTTTTTTAGAGACAGGATGTCTCTCTGTTGCCCAGGCTGGAGTGCAGTGGCACGATCACTGCATCCTCGAACTCCTGGACTCAAATGATCCTCCTGCCTCAGCCTCTCCAGTAGCTAGGACTTCAGGCACAGGCCACCATGCCCAGCTTAAATTAGTTCATTTTATGATTAGATGAATTAAAATATATGAAGTGTTGGAACAGTGCCTGGCACATTAAATAAATCAGCTATTTAACCACCACCACCACGACAACCCCTTCTCCCTCTTTTTAAAAATTTTTTTATTTATTTTTAAACCCAAGCTGACTTTCATGACAATTAAAAAATTTTAAAATATATCTCTGGCAAAGAATAATGCAGGGGTAAGGATCCAGGCACAGTCCAACATCTCTCTGAGGCCTCCACACAGGCCCCTCAAACCGCACCCACTCTGACCATGCACCACTTTCCACAGACCTGGTCCCACAGCTGTCCCTTCCTTTGGGGAAGTTGGGAAGGAATGGCTTTAGGGGGATGCAGAGCCCGTCCTCAGCCCTGCCATCTGCCCCACTTCTTAGGACTTCCTGGGATTGACTGTCCTTCCCTTGACTCCCCCATCCCTCTGGTCCCCTGGTCTCACACGGCATGGCCCCTCTCACCCTCTGGCTTCTGCTGGTTCTAACCATTTTCTCTGATCCCTAGTGCCACCTCCCCATGGTCCTCCTCAGCCACTTCAGCCTAGTCCTCCTTCTCAGGTAGAGACCTCTGACTTGACCCCAGTCCTGTCAGTCCCTACTGTAGAAAGCACACAGTCCCTGCTCCCTGAGGCTCCACTCTTCTGGACCTGGCTGTACAGGGCTGAGTTGTGGCTTTTGCTGCTCCTGCCAGTTGCAGTACTAGGTTCAGGGAAGGCTGGGCCCTGGGACTTGGAAGCAGGGAGGGTCTTTGTTCTCTGGGTGGGTGGCATAGCGTAGTCATCAGTGGCAGGGTTGTAGGGGAGCTTGTAGCCCTCCTACTTCACCTCAGCTTGACATCCCACACATCTTTGGGCTCCTAAGGCAGATCATAAAGGCCCTGGGGAAGGGCTGGGGCCAGGCCCTCGGGTTCATCATAGATGGGATCCTCTTTGGGGTCCGTCAGCTTGGCCTTCAGCAACTGCTGCTGCTCATGCTCATACAAGTCCCAATAGAGAGGTTTCTTCCATTGTACTCCCTCTCCTGCCCGAGCAAGAGTGCCGTCCAAGAGGTCTGAGTATAGGGAGCCCTGGGATGGGCCTGAAGCAATGTGCAGGGAGTCTAAGGGCTCAGCATACAGGGCTGGGGGGCTTTCAAGGAGCTCTTGGGGTCCAGGTGGGGAAGAGAACTTCCCCTCTACCACCTTCCTTTCATGGGAATCAGCTCTGAGAGCATTGTGCCCCTGTCTGGCCTTTCCCTGGGCCTTCTGCCGGTGGATGGCAGTCTCATCTGCCTGGAAGATGTCATTTCCCTGTGCCGTCTGGAAAGGAAGGTTCCAGGGCCCAAGAGGCAGCGGCGCTGGCCTCAAAAGAGAACATGACCTTGTCCCGGCCATAGCAATGCAACAGAGTGTAGGGCCAGGACAGGAGCAGCTCCGGTACCTGACTCTGGGCTCCCATGGTCAGGAGAGTCAGCCTTTCAGCCTCCACCCTCAGCACGTAGGAGGCATGCAGGCCACAGTGCTCGACCGCCTCAGTCCTCTGCACCGTTACCCAGAACTGGGATCCTTCCCAGGTGGGGCTGCACAAGGAGTTCTCCAGCATCTCCAGGGCAGAAAGCTCAGGTGGGTTATTGGTAGGTTCCAGAGTCCAGCTGCCTTTCCGAAGGGGGTTTTGGCACAGCGTCTGCAACCAGGCTGCACTGGACGGCACATCAACAGCCAGCAGGTGCTAGTGCTGTGCAGTGTCCAGGCGGAAGGCAGTGGCGCTGGGCTCAGGGAGGCTCTCCACGGCCACGGGGACCAAACTCACACACTTCGCCAGATGGATCACCTTGCAGTCCAGGCAGCACGAGCTCCCTCGGCCACTCCCAGAGCTCGACCCCTTATGGTCAAAGAACTTGAGCCGCGCTAGCCATGGGGACTGGCCGGGTAGAGCATGGCCCAGGTCTTCCTCCACCTCTTGGTCCCAAAGTGCTGACTCTGCGAAAAGAGCGGCCCTTCTGTCATAGCTCCGTCCATGGCCCCCAGCGGTTGCTTCCCCCCTTCTCCCTCTTATCAAGTGACTGAGTACTGTGGCACTGATAGATCCACACCAGACTCTGGCCAGGCTCCCTCTGATCTGTTACTCCTGAAACTTGCATATATAACCCAGACACGATGCACCACAGCATCACCTTTACCTGAAAGATTCAGAAGGCATCAGGGCCCTGCAGAGTTACCCAGCGTGATGGCTTCATTTTTGCAGATGAAGAGACCAAGGCCCAGCGAGGGATCCTATAGAAAGAGTAAAAGTAAAGCCAATGAGCATGTGTCAGAGGAGGAGTCCCCCACAGAAGGAGTGGCAGGTAAAAGGATCCTTGTGGACAGATATAGTGGGGACTGCTCTGGATCTTCTGCTTCGTTCCCTGCTCTGACATTAACTTAGTCTGTGAGCTCAGGCAGTGGAAGCGGTTGAGGAAGGACCCGTGCCCTGGAGAACTCTTTTTGCCAGTGATCATTTGGAGAGTGGTATCCTGGGGATTCCCAGGTGTCACCACTTTATTCTCACTTCTGCCAGAAACACTGATCTTAGCCTCCCCTCAGAAATCTGAGCAAGAATGTCCTGGGCTCAGAGTGTGGCCACTATGCTGGCTTCTTACTCCAGTGCACTCCTGCCAGCCCTCCTCTCCTCTGGGGGAGCACACGGAGCCACAGCTCCTCCCTAGCATCGAAATGCATCTTTGTACCCTCCAAAGTGATGTCTTCAGTGTCATCGTTATTCAATTATGCTCAGAAGCTGAGCTTGATCAGACATCCAATATAACTTCCATCAAGTAATGAAACTTCTTTTTTTTTTTTTGAGACGGAGTCTCGCTCTGTCACCCAGGCTGGAGTGCAGTGGCACAATCTCGGCTCACTGCAACCTCCGCCTGCTGGGCTCGAGCGATTCTCCTGCCTCAGCCTCCCGAGTAGCTGGAATTACAGGCACGTGCCATCGTGCCTAGCTAATTTTTGTATTTTTAGTAGAGACGGGGGTTTCACCATGTTGCCCAGGCTGGTCTTGAACTCCTGACCTCAGGTGATCCACCCGCCTCGGCCTCCCAAAGTGCTGTGATTACAGGCGTGAGCCACCGTGCTGGCGGGATGCTTTCTTTAAGGATTTCCCAGTCTGGTGGGCACATGGAAACTTACCTGGGGAGAGGGGGGATTTCTCTTTAGAATGTCTTAGTTGTTTTTGTAAGACAATGGTACAGAGAAGTCTTGTTGCTTCCTTTAAAAAGGGGAAAGAAAAAACAAAGTTTGACCCTACCAACGTTGCTATGCTCTGACAAGCTTATCCAGGTGATATGGTTTGGCTGTGTCCCTACCCAAATCTCATCTTGAATTATAGCTCCCATAATTCCCACGTGTTGTGGGAGAGACCCGATGGGAAGTAATTGAATCATGGGGACGAGTATTTCCTGTGCTGTTCTTGTGGTAGTGAATAAGTCTCACGAGATCTGATGGTTTTATAAATAGGAGTTCCCCGGCGCAAGCGCTCCTGTCTGCCGCAATGTAAGACGTGGTTTTGCTGCTCATTTGCCTTCCGCCATGACTGTGAGGACTCTCCAGCTATGTGGAACGGTGAGTACATTAAACCTCTTTCCTGGCCGAGTGCGGTGGCTCATGCCTGTAATCCCAGCACTTTGGGAGGCCGAAGTGGGTGGATCACCTAAGGTCAGGAGTTCCAGACCAGCCTGGCCAACATGGTGAAACCCCGTCTCTACTAAATATAAAAAAAATTAGCCGGGCATGGAGGTGCCACGCCTGTAGTCCCGGCTACTCGGAAGCCTGAGGCAGGAGAATCGCTGGAACCTAGGAGGCGAAGGTTGCAGTGAGCCGAGATCATGCCACTGCACCCCAGCCTGGGCGACAGAGTAAGACCCCATCTCAGAAGAAAAAAAAAAAAAGGTTCTTTCCTTTAAATTATCCAGTCTCGGATATGTCTTTATCAGTAGTGTGAGAACAGACTAATACACCAAGTTATTGTGCATGGGAAGGAACCTGCCAATGGGCTGCCATAATGAACAATTATGGAGTGGTCATCCAGCACCATTCTTCCCTCTTGGGAACTGTCATATCCATCTAGATGGCTACCCAGGGACCATTGCTTTTACATAATCCTTCCCTCAGTCATAATTGGTCCAGGTGTGGACCCTTTTCAAAGATGGGTCAATAAAACCTTTCCTTACCCTTTTTTCTTATTTGAACTTAGAAACAAGTCATTCTTTTGTTTTTTGTTTGTTTCTTTGTTTTTGCTTTTTAGGAAATAGAGTCTCATGTGTCACACAGGCTGAAGTTCAGTGGCGCAATCATAGCTCATTGCAGCCTTGACTTCTTGTGTTCAAGGGATCCTCCCACCTCAGCCTCCCAAGTAGCTGGGACTATAGGTATGTGTCACCACAGCCAGCTAATTAAAAAAGATTTTTTTTCTGTAGAGTTCTACTATATTGTCCGGGCTGGTCTCAAACTTCTGGGCTCAAGTGATCCTCCCGCCTTGGTCTCCCAGTTCTCTGGGATTATAGGTGTAGACCACCATGCCTGGCCCAAGTCATTCTTTTTTGAATGGTGAAAGGCCATAAATATGAAGTTCAGGAACTGTCTGCAAGCATATTCTCCATCATGAAGAGAAGAAAGGTGCTCTGCAGTGAGGAAAGCAGAAATAAAAAGTTGAAGCAAAAGATAAGGATAATTCTATTAGGATTTAAGTTCCTAGTTCCAGTTATTCCTGAGATATCCTTGCTCTTTTTGCAAATTAGTTGTTCAGCCCCTTATTGGATTTTATTACCCAACACATTCTTCTTTATGTTTAATCTGGCTCAAGTTGGATTTCTGTCACTTCCAAGCAAAAGAATCCCAATTTAAAAATCGGTACAAGGTGTAGAGTGATGCACATGGCAGAACCTAAAACATGGAACTGGCCCTGTTGATGTTGAGGGTGGGATATAGTAAGACTCCCTCCATCCTGAGTCTGGGAGTGAGCTGTTCGTTAGGTGACGACTGAAGCAGCCAGGGAAATGACTGTATGGTGTCTTTTAGAACAACCTCCCCTATGTCTGCCCGGTGGTTGCAGCTTCAGAGGATTCAGTAGGAACATGGCAAAATATTGGAGCACATTGTCTACACTTGGCAACCCCAGGAAGATACTTCCAGGGAGGGACAAGCACATGACGGGCAGTATGACAATTTGTAACTCTGGTGAGGCCTCCTCTGCCTGGGGCTGGCAATCCAAGGTGGCTGCAGGAAAATAATCATGTGCTTTGCAGACTGGCTGCAGGCAGATTCCGTGCACACCCTAAAGTGAATGCATTGATTAGGAAAGGGGGACTGTCTGAAATGGGGATATCTGGGATGAGCTAGAGGAATCAGGGACCTGTGACTCTCCCAATCCCCCCTTGGCACCCTGGCCGGACAGTAAGGGTCAACCTTTGTTTTTCTTTTTTTGGCATCTGGCATCTGAAACCACTTCTAAGTTAGGGAAATTCCCCATCTAATAGATGCCAGATACTTGTTTTCTGAACTTCCCTCACAACCAGGTGTAGACATTTGACCTTGTCTCAGCCAGTCCCGTACATGGATCACAGACTAAGCTAAGAAATCTGTAGATAAGGAAGTGAGGATTCAGAGACCCTCAGAACTCCCTCCAGGGACAATGGGCTTGTAGTAAGACCTAGTTCTAGAGGCAGCAGGGACCCTACAGAGCTTGCTCTTGGCAGCAGGAAGGGGCAGTGGTGGCAGCATTGTCCTCCTGGAGAAAACCCTGCAGCTTAATTTAGGGCATTGTTCTGGTTTCCTGTGTGGCTCTCTATCTGGTTCTCTAGTTGTTTCTGTAATTCTCTGAGATACCTAATATCTTTTATACAGTTAATGAGTTATTTTTTTGCTTAAATAAGATGGAGTTGGTTTTGTGGCTTGTAACTAATGACTCTGACTGATATATAAATTGGTACTAGATTGACTGAAGGCATCAGACTTTCAGAGAAATAGCTGGAATCTAGGAATGGTTGTGTGGCCTGTTGGGGGACTAAAGGTAATGAAAATCCAGAGATGGGGTGGCACTTGGTGGCAAAATAGCTCATCCGCTTATTACTAGTGGTTACCTGGAATGAAGTGTCCATTGAGAACAAAGACTTGGGGGACTGTCTGACATGAGTCTGAAGGGAATGAGGAACAAATGGATTGTGAGGTGGTGTGGACAACTTAAAGCGAGAATGAAAACATCAGACTCAAAGTTTGCTCTCACTCTATCATGTGTGAGAACTAGAGCATTGTTTGGAAGAGGAACATACTGGGGTGGTTATGTATGGGAGAATTTGGATGGCTGAGAGCTCTGAGCTTCTATGAACCAGGGCTAGGTTGGATACCACCTAAGGGAAAATCCAAAATGACAATGGTATAAACAAAATAATAGATTCTTTCTTCTTCACTAAAAATAAATCTGTGGGTAGGGAGTCCAGTGCTGGTGTGGCTACTCCATGGGCCTCCTACTCCTTCCTTCTTTTTGTTTTCTCTTCCTAGAGTGTGGTTTCTATCCTCAAGCTCACCTAATGTTCTAAGATAGCTGTTGGAGTTCTAACCATCACATCCACATTCTAGGAAGCCAGAATGAAGAAGAAAGCAAGCAAAAAGTACATCTCTCAGTGAGACATCTCCCTGTAAGGAACCTTCTTAGAGGCTCTGTGCAGCACTTCTGTTTACTTCGTATTTGCCTGAATTTAGTTGTATGAGCACATCAAACTGAAAGGGAGACTAGAAAAAGGAGTGATTTTTAACTGGGCACATTAGTATCCCAAATGAAATAGGGTCTTCATTGCTGAGGAATAAGGAGAGAATCGATATCAGGCAGGGATGTTACCCATTGCTGCATAACAATTACCCCACAACTTAGTAGTGGAAAACAATACACATTTATTGTGTAATAGTTTCTGTGCATCAGGAATTTAGGAACAGCTTACCTGAGTCCCCTGCTTCAGGGTCTCTTCCAAGGCTACAATCAAGGTGTCAGATCTGCAGTCTCAAATGAGGGCTTGGCTAAGGCAAGGTCGGCTTCTAAGCTCACGCACATGGCTCTTTTTAGGGCTCAGTGCCTCAAGAGCAATTGGACTGAAGGGCTCTGTTTCTTATCAGATGTTGGCCAGAGGTCACCCTCACTTTCTTGCACTGTGGACCTCCCCATCAGGACAAGCATGTTAGAAGGGTCAGAGGGAATGTCAGCAAGACAGAAGGCAGCCTTTTGTAACCTAATCTTGGAAATCACATCCTGTCATTTTTGCCATATTCTGCTCCTTAGAAGTAAATTACCAGCCAGGGGCAGCGGCTCACATCTATAATCCCAGCACTTTGGGAAGCTGAGGCAGGAGGATCACTTCAGCTCAGGAGTTTGAGGTCCTGAGCAACATAGCAAGACACCGTCTCAACAGAAAGTATAAAAAGTAGCCAGGCATGGTGGCATGCACCTGTAGTCCTAGCTACGCAGGAGGCTGGGGCAGGAGGATCGCTTGAGCCCAGTAGTTCCAGGCTGCTAGTGAGCTATGATCACAGTATTGCAACCCAGCCTGGGTGCACTTACCAAAGAGTCTGGATTCCATGTGTCCGTTCTAATAGCTGGGGGTAGTCCTAATAACTTTTATTTATTTATTTATTTATTTATTTATTTATTTATTTAGAGACAGAGTCTCAGTCTGTCACTCAGGCTGGAGTGCAGTGGCACGATCTAGGCTCACTGCAACCTCTGCCTCCCAGGTTCAAGTGATTTTCTTGCCTCAGCCTCCCAGGTAGTAGCTGGGATTACAGGCGTGCACCACCACGCCCGGCTAATTTTTTTTTTGTATTTTTAGTAGAGATGGGGTTTCACCATGTTGACCGGGTTTGTCTCGAATTCCTGGCATCAAGAGATCCACTAGCCTTGGTCTCCCAAAGTGCTGGGATTACAGGCGTGAACTGCCACACCCGGCCTTATGACTTTTTAAAAAAGGATGAGTTAATTGTTTTCTAGAGCCTATAATAACATTATTTACTTTATCACATATCCATCCACCTATTCTTCTGCCAATCCACTGTATTTTTTGAATGCATTTCAGAGTAAGTTTCAGACATCCATATGCTTGGCCTCTAAATACTTCAGTGTGTATATTATCATGTTGAAAAATTGTTGGTTTTAAGAAAGTGTTAGACCTTTTCCCAAAGGGTTGTGCCATTTTACACTTCCACCAATAATGTATGTGAATTCTTGTTTCATATCCTCTTGAACATTAAATAGTGTCAGTATTTTTAATTTTATTCATTCTGATGGATATATAGTGGATTTAATTGCTTTTTCAGTTGGTTGACTGAAACCTGGATTCCATGATGAAGTTAAATGAAATTGAGATGCCAAGAATCCTTTGGTAAAATGTGGAAGAGAGAATCCAAAGAATTAGGGAGACGGGAATTTGGTGTGGGTTTATAAGTGTGACTCATTCACTCCTAGCTCTGTCCCCTAGGAGGGCCCGGGGACATTCTCTTCACCAAGGCATTGAGAAATATATTTGTGAGAGTGATGATATCTTCAGAAAGTACTGTAATAACCAGTTTCTGTAGGTTGGAGATATTGGGGGAAGACACTACAGATGAAACAGCCTCCCTGATTTCTTTTTTTTCTTTTCTTTTTTTTTTTTGAGATGGAGTCTTGCTCTGTTGCCCAGGCTAGAGTGCAGCAGCATGATCTCGGCTCACTGCCAGCTCCTCCTCCCGAGTTCACACCATTCTTCTGCCTCAGCCTCCTGAGTAGCTGGGACTACAGGCGCCCGCCACCATGCCTGGCTAATTTTTTGTATTTTTAGTAGAGATGGGGTTTCACCATGTTAGCCAGGATGGTCTCGATCTCCTTAACCTCGTGATCCGCCCACCTCGGCCTCCCGAAGTGCTGGGATTACAGGTGTGAGCCACCGCGCCTGGCCTTTTTTTGTTGTTTTTTTGAGACAGGATCTTGCTCTGTTGTCCCGGCTGGAGTGCAGTGGCATGATCATGACTCATTGCAACCTCCACCTCCCGGGCTCAAGTGATTCTCCCACCTCAGCCTCCCAAGTAGCTGGGACTTCAGGTGCATGCCACCATGCCCAGCTAATTAAAAAATTATATATTTTTTAGAGACAGGGTCTTGCTATGTTGCCCAGGCTTGCCTTGAGCTTCTGGGTTTAAGCCACCTTCCCACCTTGGCCTCCCAATGTGCTGAGATTGCAGGCATGAGCCACCACTCACCATGTAGGTGCCCTCATTTCCACCAACATGATGGAATCCTAGGGTTGTGAGGGTGGGGTGGGGTACTTCACTGCCAGGGGCAAGCTGGGTGTGGTTACTCTGATTGCCAGCTGCTCTGAGTGGTCTGACCTGCAGAGATCTTTGCTGGTTGATCATTTTGAGATCACTGAGTCCCTAGGATTAAAGAATGTAAGCAGTTCACTAAGATTCTAACTGATCTGTAAAACCCAAAACCCTCTGGAACTGGTGAAAAGGGGACCCACTTAAGACAATAGGATGGGGAATAATGGAGTTATGATCTCTCACTGAATTTCCTGTCCTGGGTTTGTTCACAGACTTACAGCCCCATGAATGGGGTGAAGGCAAGTTTACTTAAGCAAGATTTAGAAATACCTCCTTATATATTTCTTTCTTTCTTTCTTTCTTTCTTTCTTTCTTTCTTTCTTTCTTTCTTTTTTTTTTTTTTTTTTTTTTTTTACAGAGTCTCACTCTGTCACCCAGGCTGGAGTGCAGTGGCATGATTCTGGCTCACTGCAACCTCCACCTCCCGGGTTCAAGCAATTGTCTTGCCTCGGCCTCCTGAGTAGCTGGGATTACAAGTGCCCACCACCATGCCCGGCTAATTTTTGTGTTTTTAGTAGAGACAGGGCTTCATCATGTTGGCCAGGCTGGTCTAGAAATCCTGACCTCAAGTGATCTGCCCACCTCGGCCTCCCAAAGTGCTGGGATTGCAGGTATGAGCCACAGTGCCCTGCCTCCCTTTGTATTCCTTATAGGGTCCCCCAGAAAGGCCTGTGGTCATTTTCCAGGATAGCTATTGTAGGTTTAATTGTGTCTCCTCCAAAAGATATGTTGAAGTTCTGGTCCCCAGTACCTGTGAAATAGGTGACCTTATTTTGAAATAGTTTATTTGCAATCAGGTTAAGGTGAGGTCATACTGGTTTAGCCCTAATCCAATGATGGTCTCCTTAGAAGAAGCTTTTTTTTCTTTTCTTTTCTTTCTTTTTCTAACCTTATAAAAAAGGAGAAATTTGGACACAGAGGGAACACCATGTGAAGATGGAGAATAAATTTCCGTGGTTTCAGGCTACCTTGTGTATAATATTTTGTTATGGCAGCCCTAGGAAACAGATCCAGTAACTGTGACCTTGGGAGTGTTGGACATTGGCTCTAATGCTAATCTTTGGAGTTGTAGTTGGCACAGTGATTAATGAATCACTCAGAGTGAATGAAGGCTTATGGAGTCAAGTGATAAATTGACTTTTGATTTTTTTTCTGAGACAGGGTCTTGCTATGTTGCCCAGGGTGGAGTGCAGTGGCATGATCATAACCCACTACAGCCTCGAACTCCTGTACTGAAGCCATCCCCTTGTCTCAGCCTCCTGATTAGCTGGAACTACAGGCGTGTGCCACCATGGCTAGCTACCTTTTTTTTTTCTTTTTAAATTTTTGTAAAGACAGGGATCTCACCATGTTGCCTAGGCTGGTCTCGAACTCTGGGCTCAAGTGATCCTCCTGCCTTGGCCTCCCAAAGTGCTAGGATTGCAGGTGTGAGCCACTGTGCCTGGCTGCAACTTTTGATTTCAGTCTACCTTACTATCATCCCAGTTCTTAAACCCATTTTCCCATCATTTCTTTAGTTCCCGAGTGTATAGTTAGACTAGATGCATTCAGCAAATGGCAGAATCCCCATGTTTCTCCAGTCCATGGAATATGTGGTTGAAAGGGTCGAGCAAAAGCACTAAACCTTCCTCCCTATTTAAATTATAAACAAAGAGCAATAATGCCTTGCTGGGGGAAATGCGAGATTAGTGCAACCATCAAAGATCTGAAAATTTAGAGGTGAAAATTCTTGTTACTTATCCATTTAATTTACCTGTTTGGCTCACAAAGAAGTCAGAAGGGCCTTTGAGAATGACGGTGGATGATTGAAAGTTTAAGACAGGTGATGACTCCAGTTGCATTGCTCTTGCAGATGTGGTTTCTCCACTAGAGCAAATCAACAGCGCCTCTCCCACCTGCGATGAAGTTATTAACTTGCAAATGTTTTTTCCCTATTTCAATAAGCAAAGAAGACCAGAGGTAATTTTGTTTATCCTGGCAGGGGCAGAAGTACATTTTCACTATTTTGCTTCAAGAACTATGTCAGCTCTCTGCCTCTGTGCCACAATTTAGTACACAGGGACTTTGATAATCTTAAAGTCCCATAACACGTTACACTGGCGAACTATGATTATGATAAAGTGCTGATAAATCCTAAATAGCAGAAAGTACTCGGTACCCTGAATGCCTTAATGAGTTGTTGTCGTCAGCGTTTTGGATTTAAGCCATTCTAGTAGGTACATAGTGATATCTCATTTATTGTTTTAATTTGCAATTCCCTGATGACATAATGTTGAGCATCTTTCATGTATTTATTTGCTGTCTGCACATATCCTTTGGTGAGGTGTCTGTTCCTATCTTTTGCTAATTTTTAAATCGGGTGATTGTTTCTTTATTGTCAAGTTTGAAAAGTTCTTGTATATTTTGGACACCAGTCCTTTATATGTGTTTTACAAAGATTTTATCCCAGTTCGTGGTTTGTCTTCATTCTCTCAAAAGCATCTTTTGCAGAATAGAAGCTTTTAATTTTAGTAAAGTCTAACATATGTTTCTTCTTTCATGAATTCTGCTTTTGGTGTTGTATTAAAAAAAATCACCGTCTTCATTTATATAGTAGTAAGTAAACTTTAAGAATAGTAAAATAAATAAATAAGTACATAGAAAATCGTCACCAAACCCAAGGTCATCTAGATTTTGTCTTATGTTATCTTCTAGGAGTTTTATAGTTTTGCATTCAATTTTTTTTTTTTTTTTTTGAGACGGAGTCTTGCTTTGTCTCCAGGCTGGGGTGCAGTGGCGTGATCTCAGCTCACTGCAACCTTTGCCTACCAGGTTCAAGCAATTCTGCCTCAGCCATCTGAGTAGCTGGGACTACAGTTGCACACCGCCACACCCAGCTAATTTTTGTATTTTGAGTAGAGATGGGGTTTCATCATATTGGCCAGGGTGGTCTTGATTTCCTGACTTCGTGATCCTCCTGCCTCGGCCTCCCAAAGTGCTGGGATTACAGGCATGAACCACTACGCCCAGCTAATTTTGTATTTTTAGTAGAGACGGGGTTTCTCCATGTTGGTCAGGCTGGTCTCGAACTCCCAACCTCAGGTGATCCGCCCGCCTCGGCCTCCCAAAGTGCTGGGATTACAGGTGTGAGCTACCACGCCCAGTGTCCCATTTTTTAAAATTGTTATTAAAAAAATTTTTTTAATTGTTATTTTAAAAAATTTTTAAATTGTTATTTAAAAAAATTAAAAAAAAATTTTTTTAAATTTTTAATAAAATAGAGATGGGGGTCTCACTATGTTGCCCAGGCTGGTATTAAACTCCTGGGCTCAAGTGATCCTACTGCCTCAGCCTCCCAAATTGTTAGGATTACAGGCGTGTGCCACCATGCCCGGCCCAGAGTCCCATTCTCTTGAATCACTTTTTAATCTCTAGGATGTTGCTGCTCATGCTTTTTTTTTTCTTTTTTTTTTTCTTTTGAGACAAGGTCTCACTCTATCACCCAGGCTGGAGTGCAGTGGCGCGATCTCTGCTCACTACAACCTCCGCCTCCTGGGCTCAAGCAATTCTCCTGCCTCAGCCTCCTGACTAGCTGGGATTACAGGCACACACCACAATGCTCAGCTAATTTTTTTATATTTTTAGTAGAGATGGGGTTTCACCATGTTGGCCAGGCTGGTCTCGAACTCTTGACCTCTGGTGATCCACCTGCCTCACCTTCCCAAAGTGCTGGGATTACAGGCGTGAGCCACTGTACCTAGCCGTACTTATTAAAACACAATATCCTACTTCATACTTTCAAGACTATTGGTGATACTCTTGAAAAAGAGAGATCCACTATTAACAGTGAGATTTTCTTCCAAACAACTAATATTCATTCTACAAGTTCTGATAGTGGCACTTTCTTGAATTTATCAGAAGGTATGTGTGAAAACTTTCTAGACAATAACCAACACTCATTCTTTCCTCGAATGGTCCTTAAGTGGACTAAAATGCTCAGGAGTGGCAGTTATCCAGCCATGCCACCAGGAATAACAATCCCATGTAGGCGTGGCAGTGGCATCTCTACCACGGCCACTTCCTGGTTGACGGTGATTCTGATGGTTCTCAATTTCAGATGTTCAGATTTCAGTTTTGATAACACATGTATCTTGACATCCATGAAACAAACAGTAGTGGTATACCAATTTTATCAAAATTTAGTTGCACTTTATGTCTTAATCAGGTATGTATCATATATTGACCATGATTATTTTAACTTCTTTATACCAATTTTTGCTTTTCCTGGAATTCATAGTTGTCTTTTTAAAAATTTGCTTTGTTTTCTAAGTTGCTATCATTATCACTCTTCTAGGGAATTGTAAACCCTTAGAGATACTCTTTTCCACACAGTCAAACATATTAGGTCTTCTATCAATCCCATTATTTTTTTCCTGGAGACTTCTCTTCTGGAGCTTTCTGAGGTCGGCTGGATTATTATTCCCAGTTCTTCACTTCCTCTCTGTTACAGAATAGAATGATATGCCCATGCTTTTTGCCATGAACTTTGCAGTATCTCCCACTAGAGTAGGGAGAGTATATTTCCCTGCCCCACTGATGGTGAGCATGGCCCTATGACTTGCTTTGGCCCAAGAACGGTAATAGACATGAGAGGAGCAGAGGATTAAAATGTGACTGTGTAACCTGGCTTGCTTCTTGAGCTTCTGCAGTTCCCCCTGACAAGTACAAGGCCTGGGTAGATGTTGGTTCAAGGAGAATGAGAAAACATGGGGAAAAGACCTTAACAGGAACCTCATTCTAGAGCCAAGCCCAGCTAGGTCCAGCTGTATTGACTGAACCCTCGTCAGAATGCATAGTCATGAACATGAATCATCTTTGTTGTTGTAAGCCACCGAGATCTTGAGGTTTCCTTTTACTACATAGAAAACACTGACCAACTGATATGGTTTGGCTCTGTGTCCCTACCCAAATCTCATCTGTAATCCCCAGGTGTCAAGGGAGGGAAGCAATTGGATTATGGGGGCGGTTTTCCCCCATGCTGTTCTCATGATAGTGAGTGAGTCTCATGAGATCCGATGGTTTTATAAGTAGAATTTTCCTGTGCCCACCCTCACTCCCTCCTGCTGCCTTATGAAGAAGGTGCCTTGCTTCCCCTTGACCTTCTGCCATGATTGTAAGTTTCCTGAGGCCTTCCAGCCCTGTGGAACTGTAAGTCAATTAAACCTCTTTCCTTTATAAATTACCAAGTCTCGGGTATTTCTTTATAGCAGTGTGAAAATGGACTAATAACACCGGTATACCTTCTGCCTTCCTGCACCAATCTGGACTAGCAGTTGCTCTGCAGAGCTGTTGTTCTGGGATATCTCTTTGCTTATCTCTTGGGTTGGGTCCCCCATTTACTGAATTCTGTGACTTTCTTCTTCTCAGTTTATTTCCTTGTTTTGATGAAGCCCATCTTCAAATAGCTTTCTGAGAATGGGTGCAATGGTAGGAGTATTTTTTGAGATCCCAAATATCTAAACATGTTCACTGTATTATCACATTTGATTCATAATTTGGCTAGATGTGGATTTCTAGGTTGAAAGTAATTTTCTCTCAGAATTTTGAAGGCATTCCTATGTTGCCTTTCAACTTGCTTGTTGTTTTTAAGGAATGCATTATGATTTCCTATTTGCATGTGATTTCTTGATATGGTTTGTCTCTGTTTCCCCACCCAAATCTCATCTCAAATTGTAATCCCCACGTGTCAATGGAGGGTCCAGGTGAAGGTAATTGGATCATGGGGGTGGTTTCCCCCTTGCTGGTCTTGTGATAATGAGTGAGTTCTCAGGAGATCTGGTGGTTTTGTAAGTGGTTGGTGATTTCTCCTGTGTTCATTCTCTTTCCTGCTGCCTTGTGAAGAAGGTGCATGTTTCGCCTTCCCCTTCTGCCATGATTGTAAGTTTCTTGAGGCCCCCCCAGCCATGTGGAACTGTGAGTCAATTCAACCTCTTTCCTTTATAAATTACCCAGTCTTGGGTAATTCTTTATAGCAGTGTGAAAACCAACTAATACACTTATTTTTCCTTTGGAAGTTTTTAGAATCTTCTTTATGTCCTGAGTATTCTGATATTTACTGATGATATGGCTGGCTCAGAATCTATTTTCAACCACTGGGCATCAGTGGATCTGAAAACTGATGTCTATTAGTGATGAAAACATTTCTTGTGCTATTTATTTGATAATATTCCCTCGCTCAATCTCTTCTTTTTGAAGCGCCTATCATGTGGATGTTGGACATCCTTAATTATTTTTCTAATTGTATCTGTTCTCTTACAATTTTCTGTTTATTTTGGTTCTACGTCTTGGGAGATTTTCTTAAGTTTATCTTCCAATTGTTTTTTTTTTTTTTTTTTTTTTTTTGAGATGGAGTCTCACCCTGTCACCAGGCTGAAGTGCAGTGGCGAGATCTCGGCTCACTGCAACCTCCGCCTCCTGGGTTCAAGTGATTTTCCTGCCTCAGCCTCCCCAGTAGCTGGGACTACAGGCGTGCTCCACCACACCCAGCTAATTTTTGTATTTTTAGTAGAGACAGGGTTTCACCATGTTGGCCAGGATGGTCTCCATCTCTTGACCTTGTGATCTGCCCGCCTCGGCCTCCCAAAGTGCTGGGATTACAGGCATGAGTCACTGCATCCAGCCCTAGTTGTTTTATGGATTAAAAAAATTTAGCTAACATGTCTTAAAATTCTAAAAGTTATTCGATTCTGTTAGTGTTCCTTTCTTTCTTTTTTTTTTTAAAGGCATATTGGCCAGGTGCAGTGGCTCACGCCTGTAATCCTAGCACTTTGGGAGGCCAAGGTGGGCAGATTGCTTGAGGTCAGGAGTTCGAGACTAGCCCGGCCAACATGGCGAAACCCCATCTCTACTAAAAATACAAAAATTAGCCGGGCGTGGTGGCACATGCCTGTAATCCCAGCTACTCGGGAAACTGAGGCAGGAGAATTGCTTGTATCCAGGAGGTGGATACAAGCAGTGAGCCGAGATCATGCCACTGCACTCCAGCCTGGGCGACAGAGCTAGACTCTGTCAAAAAAAAAAAAATTAAGGCATATTGTTTTTTTTTTGACGGTCGTTATTATTTTTTCTTTTCTCTCTCGATAGTATAGATTTCAGGGGAAGGTTTCCTGTGTTGTTTCTGCTTCCTGTTGGTTTTCTTTTTCCTGGTTATATTTTTGGTCTTTCATGTTCAACCTTTCCTTACATGTCTGGTGACTTTCTTTTCCTTTCTTATTTAAGAGTGTGGTACCACAAAGTTTCTTGGAAGCTGTGTGTGTGTGTGCCAAGTTTGTGAAATGTAGTGTTACTGTATGGTGATGGGATAGGGACTCAGCCATTTTGCTGGAGGATGTAAAATGTCCTATCTATAGCCTTTTTCTCTAGGATCATTCAGTGTCTTCAGTGACAAATTTTCAGTATTCTGCCCAGGAAGGAAATATGCCTGGCTGCCACTGTGCTTGGAGCTTGTGCCAGAAGGGCTAGGGTGTTACAGTAGGCTTGTTTTCAATTGTGTTTTTTGGCACAGCTCTTGCCTTTTGCTGTTCCTGGGTCCTAAGCCTGGAGGCTTTCAGGGTAGATTCATCCACAGGCTAAAGCTTCAGACTCCTGTCCCTGTGGGGAAGGTGTAATCAGCTGACCAGAATGGAGGAAGAGACATGGAAATCTTACTGCATTTTAAAAATAAATGTTCCGGTCAGGTGTGCTGGCTCACGCCTGTAATCCCAGAACTTTGGGAGGCCGAGGCAGGTGACTTACTTGGGGCCAGGAGCTTGAGACCAGCCTGGCCAACATGGTGAAACCCCATCTCTACCAAAAATACAAAAATTAGCCGGGCGTGGTGGCATGTGCCTACTCCAGAGGGTGAGGCAGGAGAATCTCTTGAACCCAGGAGGCGGAGATTGCAGTGAGCTGAGATTGCACCACTGCACTCCAGGCTGGGCAAAAGAGTGAGACCTTGTCTCAAAAAATAAAAATAAAAAAAAAAAGTTCAATCCTTGCCCCTATTTTCAGCCCCATGTTGCATCCCACATTCTCAGAGCACCTGGTGCTTTGCATTCCTGAACTCTTCTGGGGTTCTGTGTTATGAACTTGATTCTTTCTTTCTGACATCCCCTCTGTAGTTATTGGGTATGCAGCTTTCTTAGTTCTCCTGACTTCTCTATCATTTTTCATATTTTCCGTTTTTAAGAGTATGGAAGAGTATTAGAAAAGACAGCTTATAATTTCACTGACTAGATACTCTCCAATTAAATTACATGCACTGGCCAGATGATTAAAAAGAAATAAAGTAATAAAAAGTTTAAATGAAAAGTGAGAAGTATTCCTTCCCTGTTTCTTCCCCTAGTCCCTCTCTCAAAAGGAAATATTTGTGAACATTTCCTTGTTCAACATTTCCTTGTTCACAATTTCCTTGTTTAATTTCTTTTTTGTGTTTTTGAGACAGGATGTTTGCTCTGTCACCCAGGCTGGAGTGCAGTGGTGCTATCACAGCTCACCGTGGCCTCGACCTCCTGGGCTTAAGCAATCCTCTCACCTCAGCCTCCTGAGTAGCTGGGACAACAGGCGCCAGCCACCACGCCCAGCTAATTTTTGTATTTTTAGTAGAGACGGGTTTTCACCATGTTGCCCTGGCTGATCTCAAACTCCTGGGCACAAGGGATCTGCCTGCCTGGTCCTACCAAACTGCTGTGAATACAGGCATGAGCCACTACACCTGACTCTTGTTTAATTTCTTCTAGAAATTAAAAAAAACACACCCTGTATCTATGTGTTTGTGCAGGTGTGCACATACACAAAAAGGATAAAGCTATACAGCTATATAGATAAGATTTTTTTAAAAATCAGGGTCTCACTTTGTCACCCAGGCTGGAGTACAGTGGCACAGTTTCAGCTCACTACAGCCTCGACCTCCCGGGTTCAAGTGATCCTCCCGCCTTAGCCCCCCAAGTAGCTGACACTACAGGTGCACTACCATGCCCAGCTAATTTTTGTGTTTTTGTAGAGATGGGGCTTCCCTATGTTGCCCAGGCTGGTCTTGAACTCCTGAGCTCAAGTGATCCGCCCACTTTGGCCTCCCAAAATGCTAGGATTACAGGCATTAGCCAGCACCTGGCCTTAGATAAGACTTTTAATAATATTCCTGGGGCTAT